>NC_000014.9:54157167-54460197 GCF_000001405.40 Homo sapiens
TGCTACAGTTGCTATAACAGAATACCACAGCCTAGGTGGCTTAAACAGCAGAAATTTATTTCTCACAGTTCTAGAGACTGGAATTTCAAGATTAAGGAGTTGGCAGGTTTGGCTTTTCCTGAGGCCCCTCTCCTTGGGTTGCAGGTGATCACCTTCTCACTGTGTCCTCACAGAGCCTTTTCACAGTGCATGCACACATCTGGTGCCTCTTACTCCTCTAAAAAGAACACCAGTCATACTGGAATAGAGCCCCACCCTAACAGATCTCCTCTTTAAAGACCCTATCTCTAAATAAAATCACATTCTGAGGTAATGGGAGTTTTAGGACTTTTCCTATCCATTTGTCACAGAAAAAGGTATCAACCCAAACTCCAGAGCGAGAAACCTGAGAGTTATCTTTGGTTCCCCTTTTCTTTCCCCATGCTCCAATTCTTTCCAATTGTTCACCAAATGCAGCCTCTACATCTCCATTACCACTGCCATGGCCAGAGATCATTACTACCCTCTTAGACTACTGCAACAACACTCAACCATTTTTTCTAGCAACCAGCCAGCCCCCACTCAATCTAGCCTCCACTCTGCTAGTAGAACAATCTATATTCATTCAATGATAAAACCTAGTAATGGTGTATCCTGCTTAGACACCTCCACTCTATCATTCACAGGAAAAAATCCAAACTCTTTTGCTTGGCTTAAAGCTTTTCCTATTAACTGTCTTCAATCTAGGGTTTCATCTTATCTTCCAGCATTCTATCCACTTATAACCTGAGTTCCAACAACACAAAACAAATATGTCACCAAATCCATCCTGCCCTCTCACCCTGCTTTGCTCATTCTGTTCCCTAGCCTTGGAATGCCATTTCTTCTCTTCTCCTTCAGGTAAGGTTCTAACTATTCTTCAAGGACCAAATCAAAGTTCCTCTACAAAGTCTTTTCAGTATTCTTCAGTCAGTCCCTCTTCTATTCCCCCAAACTCTGTATCTATATTATACACATTTATTCAGTTATAGTAATTTTACAGCTTATTTTTTCTTTCTTCTCCACCAGGCTATATATGTCTCAAAGATAAAGGCACTATTTCTTTGGCACTCAATAATGTTTTTCCCATGAATGGTTGCAGAGCGTTCAGACAGCCCTTTGACCCATAGCTTCCCAAACTCAACAGTCCCAAATGGAACTCACAGTCTCCGCTTTCATGAGTTCCCCTCCCAATGTTCATGTTCCTGCCATGGAACCCACTATTTTTCTTGGACATATGGGGTTCAAATCTTGGACTGCTCTTGAATTTCATCTCTGCCTTCATTACCAAGATAAAATCAGCTGCCAAAGTGTAGATGTTTGTTCCTCAAAAAGTCGCTGCTCCTACCAGAAACTAAGTCTGCACCACTTCTACCTGCCTGCCCTATCCTGGCATCCCTGCTTTCAGCCTCTCTCAACCCAAATCCACTAAATGCCATTTCTGGACAGTTTTCCTTAAACATCACATTTAAAGTATTGTTTTAGAGGATCCCTATTTCCTAAGGAGTTTATTTCAAACTCCTCACTCTGGCATTCGGAGAAGTAAAATCACGGATCTGCCCTTACTTCCCACAGCTACCCATCATAGACTCCAGGTACATCATTCACATTCCCTGACAACATTCTCTCTCTTTCTATGCCCCACACCATTCATTCAATACCCTGCTCATTTATTCATTACATATTTACTGGGAACCCTCTCTATGCCAGTCACTGTGGCAGGCTCTGGTGATAAAAAGGTAAGGTTCATGCTTTCATATAAACCAGTTGTTCTCTAATTTTACTGTACCCGCCAAATAACTAAGGTGCTGTTAGAATGAAGATGCCTACAGTACCCTCCCCTAAAGATTCATATTTGTACATGCAAAGTGGCACCTAGAAAAGTTAACGCTTACCAAATACCTAAGTGACTCCAATAGACCCCACTTAGAGGTACAGTGATATAAACTGACAATAAAACCTAAGAATCATGCATGAAGTAAACATAGGTTATTACGGGAACACACTATACTACTTGAAAGTCATATTAGTAAGGTAAAGAAGATGGGTATGGAGAGATTGCTGAGGGGAGGACCTTCCATGAAGAGGGAACAGCTGTGCAAAGCAAAGTCTCAAAAGGCTGGGAACAATGATGGTGCTGCAAATAGCTCAACGAGGTTGGATCAAAGAGTCCAGTGGGAAGGCATGGGAAATGAGAAACAAGGCTGACTATACAGTACAGACCTGTCTAAAGACAATAGAACTAAAGTAGGGGAATGACATGATTAGATTCATTTCATAAAGATCAATCTGAAGGATGGAGTATGGGAGGGCAAGTCTTGAGCCCAAGAGAACATTTAGAGACAATTGACACCATCTAAACAAAAAATGTAAAGAAACCCAGAATAACAGCTCTGTCAGTTACTCCTTCTGTAACCTCTATTCAGTAACCGTGCTCCCAGAATCACTACCAAGATAGGGCCTCAAACCTCTCCCCACTGCTACACTTAACTGTGCCCCACCTCTCCATTCCCCCTTCAAGGTCCTGGAGAAGGGTGACAGAAGAAAAAAGAAATTATGACAGTACTGGAAGATGCCCACCAACAATTGGAATTGAGAATTTCACACTGTTCACTCCTCAAACAGCTGGTGAAAATCTCCGTTCTATTTTGTGCCCTATTCTGCAGTAGTGATGCTCATGGGTACATGCCTCAGGCCTCTGGCTGCATCTCTGTCTTCAGCTTGACTGTTGGTATTTCAATCACAGGATGTTTTTTCTTGTTCATTGTTCTTTACTTTTATTTTTTCAAATAATATGCACACGTTTTAAAAACTGTTAATAGTACTAAAAGGTTTATAATGAAGAACAGCAGTACTCCCCACTCTCTCCTTCCCTATCCCAGCATCCATCTCCCCACAGACAACCACTTTTAGCTGTTTTTATGGCTTCTTTTGGTACTTTAGTCCATATTTTTAAAACTTTCCCTTTATCGCAGATTTTACACATCTTGATTATGCCTTGGTGTAGTTTATTTTCATGCTTCTTGTGCTTGGGGTTTGTTGCACTTCTTAAATCTGTGGGTTTATAGTTTTCATCCAAATCAGAAAAATTTTATCATTACATCTTCACATATTTTTCTCCCCCAACCCTCAGAGACAACAATTACACCTATATGCGTCTGCTTGAAGTCAACCCATAGCTCACAGATGCTTTCTGTTTTAAGTCTTTTTTCTCTGTGTTTATTTTGGATGGTTTTGATCATTATCTCTTCAGGTTTATTCATCTTTTCTTCAGTGATGTGTAATCTTCTGTTAATCCGTTTGGGTGCATTTTTCATCTCAGATTTAGCAGTTTTCATCTATACCTCAATTTGGGTATATCTTCCATGTCTCTAACATGCTGAATTTTCCTTCTACCTTTTTGAACATGAGCTCTTAATCATTCCCTCTAATCCTTCCTGATGATCCTTTCCCTAACTGTGGTTCATTTTCTCAACATGCAAATACTGATCAGCACCCAGCTGACTTGAGGGAACCTCTGCAGATCTCTGGAGCTCTCATTTGGTGAACTTTTTTCCCTCTGGTACCCTTCCCTGAGAACTCCAGCCACCCTGGTCTCCCTCCCCAGCTCCATTTTCTCAACTCAAGAGTCCACCAGGCTCTACCTGCATTCCTGCTCCCTGCACCATGATCTCAGATTTATCTCAAGGCAGCAATCTGGGGCAAATATAGGGCTCATCTCATTTGATACCTGTATCTCAGACATAATTGTCCCTGTTTGCCTGGGTCTCAATATTTTGAAATATGCTTTTTCACATATGGTGCCCAGGTTATTTTTATTGTTTTAGCAGGAGGATACATGTGATCTCTGTTACTACTTCTTAGCTAGAAGCAGAAGTTCAACAGCACATCTAAATAAAAGGCTTATGCTGACATTTTTTGATTTGTGCATTTTAGGCATTAACAATCATTTTCTTAAAGTGGTCAATGAGAATTTAGCCCTCTTCTACCACTAACACTCCCATTTTCTCTCAACTTATCCTCCCAATATGGTTTCCTCAGAATGTTCAGTTAATCAATCTTCTATGTTTATATATATATATATATATATATTTTTTTTTTTTTTTTTTTTTTTGAGACAGACTCTCGCTCTGTCACCCAGGCTGGAGTGTAGTGGTGTGATCTTAGCTCACTGCAACCTCCGCCTCCCAAGTTCAAGTGATTCTCCTGCCTCAGCCTCCCCAGTAGCTGGGATTACAGGCACCCACCACCATGCCCAGCTAACTTTTGTATTTTTAGTAGAGACAGGGCTTCACCATGTTGGCCAGGCTGGTCTCGAACTCCTGACTTCAGGTGATCCGCCTGCCTTGGCCTCCCAAAGTGCTGGGACTACAGGTGTGAGCCACTGTGCCCAGCCCTACATTTATATTTTTATACCTACTAAGCATTTTTCACTGCTGAGTCTTGTGGTTTACTTTGTTGTTTTGTTATTTTTGTTTTTCCTAGAATTAACATTTGCTTTATTTTTATCTGCTCAGTTTTCCTTGTACTTATTACTAATTTTGCTCAAACCGATCTGTCATTTTTTTTCCAAATGCACAAACATACTCCCAGTTCTATTCCCCACCCCTTGCCTCTACCTAGAGTTCTGCTCTCCAGATTCATTTTGGTTCTCTTGTTCTCTTGGCTTACTTCATAGCTGTCATCCTAGATGTCCCTTACTAAAGAGCCCATTACCTCTCTCTCTTAGGTTTCTCTTTCTTAGTTACTCCCTTGTTTTGCTAAGCAACTGCCTCTAGTACCCTCCTAAGAGGGCTCTTTCAATGTAGAAATTTGTGACTTTCCATCCTATGACATCTTCTGTTATTTATGTAATAATCTCATCTCATTTGTTTTTTCTGTTCTCTATGGAACTTACAGAAGTCCTATGCTTGATATCCTGAATTAAGCCTTCAATTCTATCTTCTCTCTTCTATGTTCCATTTCTTTGTATTTTTGTTCTGCTTTCTAAGAGATCTACTCAATTCTACCTGTCAACCATTCTATATCAATTTTATATATTTTTTTATTTCCAACAGCCTTCTCTTAATAACAGCACTTAATAACTAATAATAGTACTACCAATAATAATAGCACTTATAAGCCAGGCATTGTCTGAGTGCTTTATATATATTACTTCATTTAATCTTCAACAAAGGAAGATACTATTGTTATTCTATTTGGTAAGTGATCCAGAGATGTTAATAACTTGTCCCAGGTCACATAGCTAGTAAGTGTCTTATTCTCTCTCTCTCTCTCTTTTTTTCTTATAATATTGTCTTATCTTTCTGGGGGTATTAAAGTTTAGGGTTGAGGGGTTTTTTGAAGTTGTATTTTGTTTCTTATTCTGATTCTTCTTCCAGGTTCTCATTTGTTTGTTTGTTTGTTTGGTCTCTGTCTTCCCCCCCCTCCCCACCCACTTCTCTCTCTCTCTCTCTCTCTCTCTCTGATGTTGGCCTCTTTTCCCAAACATCTGGTGACTCTTGGTTGTCCATTCATGTTTAAGACTGAAGGACTAAAAAGCTGAGAAGGTGAATGGGGTTTGTCATTCGGTGGGTTTCATTTCATGTTGACCAAGAAGTGAGCTCATCTTTGTGTTGGGAAGTCACCATATATCAGTATTGGAAGGTCTTACTCCTAGAGTTGTTACAGTCTCTCCACAGAAGAGTCTCCATACTCGCCTTGAGGTTAGAAATTGTGGAGAGTGCCATTATAAGCTTAGCTTCAGGTCTTCTGTGAGTAGAATAAACATGAGGACTAAGGACCCCAAAATTCAGTATATAGACTTTTCAATGTATTTAATGCCAGTTTTCAATCCCATACCTCACCCTCCAATGGCATCAGTAACTGCACATCTAGAAACCTACCAAATCATTTTCTCCAGAGAACCCTGGGTCTCATGTTGTGGGGAGAAGAAGCCTGGCTACCTGAATGATGGGAAGAAAAGGGATATGGAGGAGGTCCAATCCCTATGCTCAGCCCCACACTGCCTTCCTTTCTGAGGCTCCTGGTGCCTCAAGGACAGCGTTGCAGAGGTTCTCTAGGACACACTTGTTCACTTTTAATTGATTTTCCCCTCAGTCTATACCTTCTTTTCCATTTACACCCTAACTGGGTGAACTGCAATTCTATTCTGACACACTTAACCTGGAGTAACACCTACCTGGAGTAACATTAGATTCTTAGTGCTCCACACTAAGCTCTACTTCAGGTGCCAGCCACCAATGAAGTCCTTAGACCTCCCACACCTCTGACCAGCTGACTACAAATTGGGGGGTTTCTACAACTTCCCATCAGGTTTGGTAATTCACTAGAATGACTCACAGAACTCACTAAAACCACTACACTTAACAATTATAGGTCTATTATAAAGGACACATATAAGGTAAGGTCTGGGAGGGTCCCAGATATAGTGTCTATGCCATCTCCACTTGGAGTCAGGGCATGTCACACTCCCAGCACAACAATGTGTTTAACAACAGGGAAGCTCCTCCAAACCTCAGTATGCCAAGTTTTTCAGGGTTTCATTAGGTAAGTATGGTTGATTTCATCATTGGCCATGTAGCTAAACTCAATCTCCAGCTCCTCTCCCCTCCCTGGAGGCTGGGCTAGCTGAAAGTTCCAACCCTCTAATTCTGTGCTTGGTCTTTCTGATGATCAGCCTACATCATTAAGCTATCTAGGAACCCATAACGAGCCACCTCATTAACATAACATACCTATCAGGAAAATTCCAAGTACTTTTGAAGCTGTGTGACCGGAGTGGGGACAATGACCAGATTTATTATTTATTACAACATACTTTCTCTACTTATTTTACTTTTCCTTTTTTTCTGTCTCCCAGGCAGAGTATAGTAGTGCAATCACAGCTCATTACAACCTGGAACTCCCCAGCTCAAGTGATCCTCCACCTTCAGCCTCTCAAGTATCTAGTACTACAGGTACCTGCCACCATGCCTGGCTAATTTTTAAAAAATTTCTTGTAGAGACAGGGTTTTGCTATGCTGTCCAGGCTGGTCTCAAACTCCTGGCCTCAAGTGATCCTCCCCCCTCGGCCTCCCAAAGTGCTGGGCTTGTAGGCATGAGCCACTAGATGAAGCACTCTACCTATTTCCTATATTTCCAATGTTTCCCATCTGTTAATATCTCATTCACTGTATTATTTGTCCTTATGCTTAATATCTATCATTTTTTTTCTTAGTTCCCTTGGAACAAGACTGGGGAGAGTAAAAAAAAGGTAGAAGATTGCTCCTCTGTGTTTACTGAAAATCCCCATCACAGCAGGCTCAAGTCGTTGCTTTTCTATTAACTTACTGGATGATCTTGGAAAAGTCACTTTATTGCTCCAGACTTTAGTGTCCACAACCATAAAATAAGAGCATTTAATCAGAACTAAGAAGATCAGATAGATATCACCAGTTCTATGACTCTTCCCATACTACCAGCTGGTCATAGAAGTCTTTTCCCCTAAGCCAGACCCAGCCTCAGAGTTATTCTCCAGAAAGCACTCTAGACAGCCAGTCTTGACCAACAGATCATAGCCAGCAAACAAACTGAACCACATTTGACATCCTAGGACTAGATGCTAAAGTGCCTTCCAGCTCTAAAATTCTAGGTGATCCTGGTTAGATAGAGTGGTCAAAAGATGAAGTAAAAATCACATAAGTTATTATAGCTAATTGGAAACAGTCAGTAAAAGTTTCCTCAATGTCAAAGTGATAACTGGTGATTAAATTAACGTTTAGGAAAAAAAAGCTGTGAGATCACTTCTTTTTTCAACTAATATTAGGAATACTAGAAGTTGTAACTAGGGGTTGAGAAGAGTTAGAGGAAAATATAAAAGATGTAGCTTATAGGATTTTTCACTTTCTACTCAATAATATAGGGAGAGAATGACAAAACCAGGAGTCTCTGTCTAGGATTTTCATCCACAGAAAATACCATAGATTTGCCATCTGACAGAATCCATAGGCTGGGGGTCCACAGAATCTACAGTGAAAACCTATGGTGATTTCAACCTCAGAATTAAACAATGATTACATCATAGATTTTTCTAATCTATAAATGCTCATATATAATGTTCATTTAATTCTTTGCAAAAAGAAAAAAGTAAATCTTCGAAGAATAATTAATTGGAAGAAAGAATCACTAAAAACTTATATTATTTGTTAAAATTAATTTGTCTAAATATGTGGAGAAAAAATCCTGGAGAGTGCCAGTTAAATCAAAAATTTCCATATAAATGAAACTGGTATAACAATAACAACAAGCACAGTGGATCATACAACAAGCAAGAAAAATAAAAGTTCCCAACAATTCTTGCACTGTTGAGACAAAAGTGCTGGCTCTACATACTCCCTCCCTTTCCTGCCTAACTTCCTCAACTCCTCAAGGAGGGTCCTGCTCGTATCACAGGCATCACGGAGCCTCACTTTGCAGGCAGAGGAGGCAACAAATACCTCTCCTTCTGCCCCTTCTGTCTCCTCAGACAGGTATGACATAACTGGTAGATGCTCGAGGAGGAAGCAACTGTGGAGGAGAGACTCTTGGACATCCTTGCTGTTCTCTCTCCTTTCCTAGAGGAAACAGCTGGAGGTCCTTTTATGTGGGGAGCTCATTTGCCTTTGTAAAATCAAATGGAATCAGGAATTCAGTAGTTGTCTCTTTGAGGCTTACTCAAGTCAGGACTTTAAAAGAATGACTGGAAGAGTCCAAGCATGTTTCCCAGCTAAGACTTCAAGGGATCTGCATGTGACGGGGAGTTGGGGTAGCAACTCTCTTCAGGAATAAAGAGTGTACTAGAATACACAGAGTGGCCAGAGGATCCCCAAAGCTGAAACCCTAGGGAGTTCCATCTCTGCATCAGGTTACTGTGTCAAAAGGAAACGCCTCCTCCCCCAACAAAAATTATACAAGCCCCTACAGCTGGAATTCAGGAGGAGAAAGAAGAAAGAGAAATTCTTTGTACACTTTTCACGTGGTCCCAATTCATTTGTATGCCATGTTAAGGATTAAGATGATTCCTGCTCATGCTTGCTGACGTACATCCAAGATTATCCTGCTAAATCTCCAGAAATGCCAACTGGGAAACAAATGACAATTGTTCTCTTAAAAGATCTTTGTTTGACTGTGTGACTGTAATGGCCTGTTGGGCTCCTTCAAGTGCCAGCCTGAAGACAACAATGTAAAAAGGAAGAAAGAAAACCTTTGCAGAGCAGCAATCAAGGGCCACTGCAAGTCCAGCTCCACAAAGCCAGTGGCTGGCCTTTTAGCCAAGTGCTGAAGCAGAATGCCAGAACCAAGAGCAAGACAGACAGGCACCCGCGCATAGAGCCAGAGTAGTGCAAAGCTTCAGCACAGAACTGGGCAAAAGTTTCAGCAGTTGGGGCCAATTGTGCCCAGAGCTGGATTCAAGGCTGCTGAAGGAATCAGAACTCTTGGCACAGGAGAACTAGAGGTAGCCTTGCCAGCAGGTCCTGAAGAAGACCTGTGGTTCGCGCACACACATCCAGCAGTGCATAAGGCTAAGGTCTGACTGTCTACAATGACTCAACACCATCCAAGTTCCCTCTTCTGTCCTGTTCCTGTACAACCTTTCCCTTGCAAGGCTGCCCTCAGAGTTCATTTCACTCCATTTCCTCTGAGAAAAATTTCTCAGGACTTCCTGGGGAGAAGAGGCAAGGGAGAAAAGGAAGGCTTTATCGCACAGTGCAATTTCCTCTGCCTAGCACTTTCCCCTCCTCACCCTTTGCCTTAGGGGTGGTTCCACTTCAGCTCTGGAGAGGGTCTTGCCTCCTCTTCTGAGCTGCCATATGAGGCCCCATCTGCCTCCACAGCAATGTCAGCACACAATAAAGGGACACTCAGAGACCTACCCTTGCTCTCTTCCCATCTCTCATTGCTGTGATCAATGGAAGAAGCCTTAGCATCATGTCTAGGTTCCCAGGAGCCAAGTATAGGACTGTCCACTTGAGGAAACTCCTGTAGGTCCATCCACTTGGAAAGGCTCAGCCTTTAGAGAACAAACTGAAGTATTTGTTAAATGAAATGTATTTTCACTGACATTTGGGCTCTCGATTTCTGTTCTACCAGATTTTTCTTAACCCTCTTATTTTGTAATGGAATAGCTAAGATAACAAGGCAAGAGGAAAATGTACTCTTTATTTTAATAGTAGTTAATAAAGAGTACATTTATTTCATGTTTAACTACATTAAATCTTGCTTTAAAGCATTTGTTTTCATTATTGTACAAAGCCGATGGACAGGAACGCAAAGTTGGGAGCAAAAGCCAAAAGAAGCTTAAAGGTCTTATTTTAAACACACAACCTTTCTCTCAGAGCTGGCTCAAGGACCTGAATGAAGACAGACAAGTGCCACAGGTCCACTGCAGTCCTAGGGTGTCATAAGACAAAGGTCTTAGGAAAACTATGGAGCCAGACAAAGTGTTTTTAATCCATATTCCGAGGACTAGGTCCTGAAGGAATGTGTTTTCCAAGAGCCCTCAAGAATCCTACTAGCATTAGCTTGGTGAAGCTCAGTTATAAGGGGCAGTAATCCTGATGAAGGTCCAAAACAGGAAGGGAGAGGGTTCAGACTCCAGAGTTGGGCTCCAGAATTTAACTACTTCCAGCTGTGAAGTTGAGGGATGATACTGAACTTCTATAAGTTTCTACTGTCCTTGGCATAAAATGGGGATGATAATAATAACTACTACCTACTGAGCACATAGCACATGCCAGGCTGTGTCTGAGATTTTCCTACTTCAACTCAGTTCATCTTTGTTCACAACCCTAAGTTTTTTACTCATACCAACCCATTTGATCCTTACAACAATCCTAGGAAGTAGATTTTATGATTATCCCTATTTTATAGATTGAAAACAGAAACACAGAAAGGTTTAAGTACCTCATGATAAGATTGCCTGGCATATAGTAAGTACTCAATAAATGTTAGCTATTGTTACTTGCAGTAAGGATTTTATAAAGCCTTAAGCAGGTCGGAAGGATACACTGAATGAACAGAGCAAGATCATATGCTATGTAGTGTCTTTCAGACTTCATTTCTTAGTTCCAACTTCTTGCGTAAATTTGTGTAAACCAGCCACCTGCTTTACTGTCTCTTTTATTTCTCACCCAAGCACACACACAGACATATTTTCTCATACACATGTGCTCAGGCTCACCACACATGCCCAGACACATAGAGATGCTCTGGCAATTCTGAACTAGCTTGAAATACAGAGTTGCTTTAATTCACCAAAAACTTTAGATGAACAGTTTAGTTTGATTCTTTTGTGGCCTAGTTGATCTTAATGAGCAAATTCAGGAGATACTTTGACTTTAGAGGCCTTAGAAATACTTCCTGGCTTTTTCTTAACCGGCTAATCTGCAGCAATATTAAGCCTTATAACAACACGAATCACCTAAGTGTCAATACTCTGCTGCAGTAACTGGTCATGTTTCACGACTGCTCCCTACCTGCCCATGATGCTCCTCATCAGGAACTGACCGGACAGGTTCCTGGGCAGACCACAATACTTTAAGACAAGGGAATTGAGACTACCTCAGAGAAAATATCACATACACCACACACATGTGCTATAATGAGCAGGAAGAGAACTTAGCAGATACCCAGTTAAGACCCATCATCATAGAAGTGATACCTTTGGACTCACAGAGCTTGGAGGGGTTTCCCAGAGATTACACTATTGAAAAGGGCCTAGAACTGAAGTCTCCTTATTCAGAGTCTGGCTTTTTTTTCCCATTATACCTTATACTGCCTTCTTCATCTATAAAACAAATGTGCATTTATCCCTTTGGCTACATAGCATTTTCCCAAGAGGAAAAGAGGAGCCTGAGAATGTGAGAGGAACAAGAAAGAGGGCTAGAGGACAGGCCCACAGAATTGTGAAAGAATGCTTGGCATGGGCCTTAAGGAAAATAAATTTTGATTCCAAAATTAAAAAGAAAAATGTCAACTCCCTGAAATCTATTGAGACCCCAACAATTGTCCTTAATGAGGAAGCATAGAAATCACTCAGACAGTGAATGAAATCTTTCCAGAATGTTCTTCATGCTAAATCTCAACTTTTAGAAGTTAAATATTTGTTCTGTGCTTGTGGCTCCTTTAACTGGATTCTTCACAGATGGGCTGCAGAACAGGACATGTGTCTGTACCTTCAGGGATGGGAGCAGCACTTTGCTTCCTGCACCATCTGGTTCACTGTTCCTAGCTGTAGCATAGACCCCCACTACAGCCGAGTAATCAGAAAAAGTCAGAAGAACACCTCAGGGAAAACAATCTAGGATTCAGATTTAACTTCCTCTAAGGAGGATCAAACACTGAAAGACTGTTCCTTTTCAAGTTTTATTAATCCTGGTTCATAATTTCCACCACATCATTAGTCATTTCCTATTTCTGAAGGGCTGGCAGCAGTTGCCGAGGCATCAGGCAGTAAATGGCAAGACAACTGTGCCACCTGTGCACCGTATTGACAGTTACCCACAACAACATCTGGGTGAAAGGCTAATGTGTTTTTTTCTAAAAGGCAAGCCATTTAGAAGTGCAGCCCAGTTTTTGATCTCTTGCTAAATACTTTTATCCACATCATCTCCCCATTTGGGCCTGGAAGTCATCATGTGACCTATGGTACTTTGAAAAGAAAGCAGCAACAGCAACAACAGCAAATCTGCTGTAACCCTGGAGTAGGGTGAGCTCTCGAACTCCTCCCCCGCAAAAAAAGATGGGAATCTGCTTCTCACTGAGACAAACCCAAGAGCTGAAATTTAAAGAATGGAAAGTGACAAGAATGATGTCCCTTTTTAAAAGACCCCTTTTTAAAAACACATAGATGAAATGTAACTTATAAAGCACTTGAAAGCTGCCTAGTAAGACTAATTGCATGAGGGCTTCACCCAGCTCATCAAGGCACGTAGGCAGCCACATCCCACAGGGCATGACATCTCGATTTCCTAAGGTCAGAGAGTCTCCCATGTGACAGATAGAAAGGGTCTTTTAGTTCTGGGAACCAAATGGAGGGCTAAAAATGGGAAAAGGTACATAGCAGCTCTGTTGGCCAAGCCCCTGACTGGTGACTCTGCCTCTGATCCATCCCAAGAGCCATGGCTGGTCCCAGAAACCTCTGAGCTACATTTCCTCCCCTGGCAACTTCCTGTAACAAGGACTTTAAAGGAAACACAAATAAAGCTCATTTGGGGATATTTTAATTTTTAAAAGGCAAAACCCTAATACCTAGCCCTTAAATAGCATTTCCATCTGGATAATCCCAAGCACCCTGCCAACAGTTGGGTAATCACATCCCCACCTAGCAAAGAGGGAAATTCCCAGACTTATTACATCTCTCATGAAGGAATGAAAATTGAAGATAGCAAATTAAGGGGATAGATAGCTTTTCTCTATTACCATTCAAAACATAGAAATTTTCTTCAAGAACTATAACTTTGAGTGCCATGTGGGGTATTAAAACTGAGCCAGGATAAGTGTTCAGATACACAAGATAGCCCCCATCCATCTCCAACTCATCCAGCAATGGTAGCACCAGGAGGTCATAAAAATGCAATTCCACAGGGTGGTAGCATCAGCTACCATAGGAACAGGGGTGGAAAATTTGGAGAAAATAAATCTCTTGTTCTTTTTTTCTAATACTGGTCCCTGCTGTTACCTGCCAGCCTCAAAGTACAAAAAGCATCACAACATTCATCCCATTACATTTTAAGAAGTCTGTTCTGTACATCTGACCTCTTTTGATCTTTCAGAAGCTTCTAGGGAAAGACTAAATGTTCAAATTATAATCATGAATTAGAATTTTTCTTTTGGACTACATATGCATACATACAAACATGCATGCAAACACTATCCCAGCCTTTGACCTTATTTTAAATCCTCCAATTCCACTCTGATATCCCCCCTCTGGATTTTATGTGGTAGTCAACAATCCATTTATTAACTACTTGTCAAAGTATCAGGAAGGAGTAACTACCATTTCTTATTTTTGCCAATTACAATATTCCTCATCTTAGAGTGTTATCCCTGGTTTTACCACGAGGATAGTAAAAGGTTCATACAATAGGACTTGGGCTTTTATAGCAGACCGATTGTCACGATGGGCCCTTAATTTCCTTTCTACAATTTAACTCATTAAATTCTCATTATCTCTGTAATTTCCCTGTTCATATCCTCTCCAGCAAATCAGATATTGATGGCTAACCCTCCTGTCTATTTTAAAGAGAATCTGCCTCATTGATATACCCTTCTGAGGAGCTAAGGGATTCTAGCTCTCCCAATGAGCTTAATCATAATGAAGCCAGCACAAGAAAAGGAACTGTCTCAGAGTTCCTGATATGCTTGGTGTTTAGTCACAAGACCTTTAAATAACTCTGCCAAAGTCACTAGGGCCTTTCGTCCCGATTCCAAACCTCTTCCAAAGGACCCCCTACTATCACTGCAATTGCTGCAGTAGCTGAAACCAGTGTTGATTTTTATCTGCATGGCAACTTCATGCTCCCTCAGGATCCAAACTAATCAAGTGGCCTTCAAAAATGCCACCAATGCTTAAAAAGGCTGAGCTAAGCTCTGTACGATCAAGACAGAAAACGATCCCTTATCATGTCGGAAGTACTACTTGTGGTTATCTAAAGCAATGGTAATCATATCATACACTTTATCTGTGAGTGGCTTTTTCCTTCCAGGGGTAGGAATAGAAACTTCTTCTCCTTCATAATGAGCACTATTGAAACTTCAGCAGGCAGACCTCTAGCTTTGGCGACATGCCATTCCCTAAGGTAAGCATGTAACCATCTCAAAAAATGCAGCATGGCAGAAAACAAATACAAGTATTTTCTGAAAATATTATTTGTAAAGGTCTTATTTTATAATAGGGATTGTTTGTGTTAGGGCCTTGGGGCATGTATGGTTAACAAGAACTTGCAGTTCTGCTGCCAGCTTACTTAATCTCACAGGGTCGGTGTAGGAGTGTAGGGGATGGGTCCAAGAAACAATACAAGCTTTTTCCTTCGCAAGTACTGCTACATCTACATCATGAGAGAAAAGCACTCTGCTATTTAATCTCTCATAGTTCCTTTTGACAGATATTGTGGCTGTCACTGCACCACATCAAAACATATGCTGTACCAGATTCTCAGCACTCAAGAAGTCTTTAAAATAAAATCATCAAACAGTATTATTTGTTGGAAATGACATTCAACCGCAATTTCTTTGTGACTCCTCAGTCATGCAAACACCACAGCATTAGGTGCACACAAGCCAGAGACATTATAGGTCAAGCCCTCTGATGAAGGAACCACCACTGTCTACAAGAACACATTTTTAGGAGAGAAGTAAAATGATAGCTCCTTCTGCAAGAGAAGAAATTTATATTGGAAATCCAGAGCACAGTGCCAGGTACCCTGTGAGCTTGGCAAATATTAGTCCAGAGCGACTAAGGACTATAGATTTTGATTTTCCCCATATATCCCTCCTGGGCATCTGTCCCATTTGCTCCTGCCCAGTCCCGCAGACTTGCCTATCACTGCAGTTTTTGTCCCTGGTCCCAGATGATTATGCAACACTTATGCAAGATGCAAGGAGTAAAATGAACCCATTTGCCTATCGATATAGTTTTATTTCAGTGAATTAATGTCACTAAGAGAGAAACATATTCTAATGCCTAGGACAGTTGTGGTCCTTTTTGTATCTCTGTCATTGGGCTAGTGTCTTTGCCTACCTATAATGTAAATATATTATAGAGCAATATTACATATAATGCAAAGATAATCCAGACTACTTGCTCTGCTTTAGAAATGAACTGTGAGGATCAAATTTGTACAAACATGGGTCAAGCAAAAGCATACAGACTCTAGTGAAACCTAGAAAGTGTTTTTGGAATATTTTTGCTACAGATACTTTTCTATTAGGCTTTTATTAAATTGAAAGTAGTGTTGTTCTTATTTAGGTGTTAATTATTAAATTATGTACAAGTTTAGAAACTAGGCCATTGAAACACATAAAAGGTAGTTATTGAAAGCTAATCATAATAAGCTGTTGTCAACCTCTACTGAATAAAGAAGCAAAACATTTTAAATACATTGGAAATTTATATAAAACGAAGAACTTCCTGACAATGAAGATTGTTAAACATGAGTCCCTGCAACAAATGTCCTAAATAACTATTCCCAGGAAACTCTAAGATTGGGCTGCCTTAGGTGGTTTAAAAATATGGTCAGAGGCATGAGGAACTATTTCTAGATTTCTTATTGAAGTCCCTTTAAATAACATGGGTCTTCAGTCAACACATATGCTTGTACATGGGTGCCTGTTAGGGAATTCAGAGTCATAAGCAAACCTTGGAAAATGGACTTGATAGCTCAAAGCTCAAAGTTGCACATTCATAAACAAAATGTATGTACTTTTCTCTATATGACGAGATGGCTACAATCACCACTCTAAGCTGAAAAGTGGTATAAGAAAGGCTGGTGAGAAGACAAATTAATACCAATAAGATCGCTGATCTGTAGAGAAATAGAAAAGGCAAAGGGGCTCTTGAAAATAAAAGTTATTTGTTCCTAAATCCTGCTTCTTTGCTTGAAGCTATTTCTTAAGAAAGAAGCTGCTTCCTTCCCTAACCGTATAAAATGATCCCTGAAGTTATTTATAGTGTTCATGGCCTGGAGGCATCACTTGGTTCCCCCACCACAAGCCCAACCATGTGTTACTATATTAAAAAATGTGAAAAAGTAATTATGGGGTATGGGAGCCAGTGTCTGCAGACACAACCTGCCAAAGAGGAAGTGACAGGAAACTTATGCTCCTTGTTGCTGCTCAAGCACTGCCCAGGCTCCAGACTCAGAAGAAGGGAATCTGTTCCAAGAAATAGGAGAGAGGCCTGCCCTGGTGAATCAGAAATATCCCTGTTTCTGAATATACAGTAAACTGGTTTCCATTCCTGGGTCCCCTCAGTTGGTCAAACTTTCCAGTCACGTGGAGAGACCACTCACAGCATCCTCCCTCAGCAACTCAGCCAGATGGCTGCCTCAGCTCCCACCAGACCGGGCAGGCTAGAACATGTAAGGTTCTGAACTTGGGCAAGAGTCTAAGGTCACTATAACTGGCCCCTAAGACTCTGACCTGCCACTGTCAGATCTCAAGTTCTGCCACCTTATCCTAAATCTAGCTTTGTTGTTCCTCTTCCCACTTCCATCCCCAGTTCCTTGCCCTCAGGTAGGATGCGATAATCAATCTATTACTGATTTCTACAGCAGTCCTCCACATATTCACAAACCCCTCAGCTTTCCTCTGGAACAATGGACTCCACCAGCATAGGGACACAATTGTTTTCTACCGCTGGAGGCAGAGAGGAAAAGTAGCTCAAACATCTGCCCCCAGAGAGCATAAATTTGTCAGGGAGAGAAGTCCACATTTCTGCAGAAAGGCCAGTGTTCCCAAGAGGCCTTAGCTTAGGAAATGTTTATTGAGAGGAATTACATTTCCTTCTCAGGACCTGCCTCTGCCTCTGGTCTAAGCTACAAAAGAAGTTTTCTTCTGATGTCTCAGGAAAAAAGAAAAAAGCACCAACCCTCACAAAAGAACCCTGGTAGTATGGACAATTCCTACTATCTCAAGAAGATTTCACTTGGAAGTAAATAATCGTTGCCACCTCTGAATTCAATTTGATTACCTAGATAAATCACTACATGAACTTCCAAAGAAGCAAACTTTACCCCAAAAAGTATGTTATAAAAGTTGATTTACAGAAGTCTCTTTCAAATAAATTCTTAAAGAGAATCATAGACAACAAAGAATGCAGAAGCTAATGCAGGTCAAGAAAATGTCCTTACTATCTCTTTAATATAATAAAATAAATCAAATTAACATGTTTCCTTAGTGAATAATATTCTCTAAGCATGAAATGTAATTTTTAATACTTTATATACACCAGGCTTGAGTTCCTATTTTACATGCTATGGTTTTAGAATATGTGTAAATGTTTATTTCTAAAATTACCTAAAAATCTTCTGTTCAAGTTTGTTTTTCAACTCAGGGCAGTAGCATATAAGTAGAATTTAAGCAGATATCAATTGTATCACTGGAAAGACTTTAAAAATCAGAGAAATGTTCTTATAAGGCAAATCCATGGCAGCCTTCCACATTCAGAGACTGGTTTATAGCTTTCTGAGATGCCCTGTTAACCTCTCAAAGATCTGTAGACTAGCTTATATTATCTCATTATCCGAGTTCTCCCCGCTTTCATCTTTGCCTCCTATATCCCAGTTTCTTCACCACTGTAGTATCCACAGTGCCACCTGCTGGTTGTAGAAAGTATTTTTGTGGCTCCAAGGTCTCCCTCCGGGATTTGTTTAATTAAAGTCTACCAATGACTGCTAGAAAAGCCACAGCCATAGTGGACAAATCCATGAAATGAGCAAAATGTCAATTCATGAAGGGTTAACATGACCCAACATATGCTGAGGCAAAGTTTTGGCTATTTTAAAGGCAAACCTAAGTTGCCTGAGTTAAACCTAACACATGCAAATTTGCCTCAGGCAGCTTGGCAATAGGGCTCTGTGTAAGAATACAAAAAAAAAATGATTACCAAGACTAAATGCCTCAGAAAGTTTCCAAAATCCTTTATTTCCTCGTACCTGTCAATCCTAGACTTCCACTTTTTTTTTCTTTTCTTAGACAAGTATTTTCAACTTTCCAAAGGTATGAAATTTGCCATCTTAATTGTTTAGACAGGAATAAAGCATTAACTCAGTCCCTTGACTTTGATTCATAGCAGCTCTTCCTTCACCAAAAGTTACAGTCTCCCTCTCCACCCCAGCCTGAAGTCTGTGGACCAGCACAGAAATGACAGGCACCAGAGCATCTGCAGGCATGTGAAAATGCAGTGCTCCCTTCCCATACTTAACCTTTCAGATGGTTCAACTATTTCCCATGTGTCAACAATCGCCATTCGCATCTTAGGCCTTAACCAGGCAAAAGATAAGAGAGAATAACCTTTAGAACCCACAACTAGCCGGACGCGGTGGCTCATGCCTGTAATCCCAGCACTTTGGGAGGCCGAGGTGGGCGGATCACTTGAGGTCAGGAGTTTGAGATCAGCCTGGCCAACATGGTGAAACCCTGTCTCTACAGAAAAATACAAAAATTAGCCAGGTGTGGTGGTGCGTGATTGTAATCCCAGCTGCTTGGGAGGCTGAGGCAAGAGAATCACTTAAACCCAGGAGACTGAGGTTGCAGTGAGCTGAGATCGTGCCACTGCACTCCAGCCTGGGCAACAGAGCAAGACTCCGAAAAAAAAAATATATATATATATAAAGAAATAACTAACAACTAACGAATAAGAAGTCATTCCTGCAAGCCTCATCATGATGGGGTACAGTAAGGCACAGGGAAAATGTTTTTGCCTTAAGACTCCTGACAAGGATTAATCAACTTTTTTAACAATCCCCTGGGGTGTAGACTGGCACAGGGTCATTACCCCTCTTTAGCAGGTGGGCGAACTAAGATCCACAAAGTTTACCATTTCATCATCAATTCTGTTCAGAATATCATCAATTCGCTGACATTCTGATGCGACAGTGAAAAAAAGGTGCTGCAAGAAGCTTCTCAATAACTAAGCTTAATGCAGAAAATATACCCAAGTCAGGAGGTACAAATACACTGGACAAGTATTGACCCAACTCGTAGTCATTTTATCAGAACAGGTTATTTGAGAAACGTAGTCATTTTATCAGAACAGATTATTTGAGAAACGTAGATTCTCTACCTATGAATCTGCAAGATTTAGATTAGATTATAACTGAGTAATCATTTTTAAGAAATTATTGTGTCTATTGGCATTCAGTTGAGGGGGTTTCCTTTTTCTCTTCACTCTTCACTCACTCCCATTTAAAGGCTAAACATGGAACTGCAGATAGAGGACAGAGATCACAAATGTTCACCTTTAGCTCTATCTGGCACATTCTCCCATTTTAATTGTCTTTGCTTTTGTGTTCCCCTTTCTAAAAGTATAAACTATATCCTGACATTTTCCTGCCTTCTGCCAAATTCGGAAACTGTCACGTTTTCTTTTTTTCTTTTGGTCTATAAACTTCAAAATATTTTCTGTCAAGCTGGCAAAGCTCCAATCTGCCCTTCACCGCTGCAATTAAAGTGATTTTCCATCTGAATATAACCCTGACATGGAGAGGAATTATAAGAGTTCTATATAAATCTATTTTGATAGATTAGTTCCCTCACTGAGCATATTTTTGTACTCATCACAAGCATTTATACATATCCAGATTATTCTAAGAATTGTGAATCAAAATAAGAGCAGGGTTACTACTAAAAGGAAAAGCTGAATTTTGGGTCCCCCTTTAAAAGAAGCAATAACCTAGAAAGCAAAAAACAAAACAAAACCCAAAGAAATATTTTATTTATTTCACACAGATGTAACGAAATAACCTAAAACCATGGTAGAGCCAGATAAAGTCAAACCATACATACAACCTAGAGGAGATGGTGCAGCAGAGAATACTGTTATAAAGCATTATTCTTATGTCATCATGGCTTCCAGAAAATACTCAACGCTCCAATATTTGTCCACTTAATACAGGATTCACTTCTCAGCCGAGGAGGACCTTAGTAACAGTACACTTAGCACTCAGCAGTTATTTGACCTATTTTACTAATGTGTTTGGGAAGGAGGTTAATTAAAAGTGGATGGCTATATCCTTAAGCTTAATTTTTCCAACAGCCCTGCTCATAAAAGGAAAAATTTAGTATGTATTGAAGGAAGCAAGCAATTAAGTTGCACAAATAGTGAGCTCATTGAACTGCGGCTGACTTCTATCATGTCAAAGAACAACTAAACACAGAAGCAATAAAAAGATTGTTGCCACGACCACCACTGAGAACCGACTGGCAATAAAGATGAATAACTTCCTACTTGAAGATTACTGATTAAAGCTTTTTAGAAACCAAATGTTACACATAGGCATAAATGGAGCAAAATATTTTAATGCGTGTTTGGCAGGTTCAGAAACACTTTATAGTCAATTTTAAATGAAGGTTTATACAACAACAGTAAACTCCACTTAAAACAGCCTTTCCAATTGCTGCTGCTGCAAGAAAGCTGCAGTGCTCCTCAGGAAGGCTTGAGTCATAACTGTGGAATAAAAGTCCCATACCTAACAGTAAGGGGAGGGTCGATGGGGAGTGGAATTCCACAGGACCAAGTCCTCTGAAATCAAACCCAAGAGCAGAGCCAGAGAAGTCCATTCAGATGCCTGTGACCCTTGAAGGCAAGTAAACAGACTCCCTATAGCAATAACCAGGAAATCTCTCTCTCCCCGGCAGCCCTCTGCTCCTCTTCCCACCTCTCAAAGCTCCCAAAGGTCAAGTTTTAGCCCAACCTGCCCTTCAAGAAAGTGCACTCACATCTAGGAGTTCAACACAGGTTGGCATCAGAATTGGCTCCCAGGACTATCAGTGTCAGTGAGGTGGGACGGGCATGATTTGACAAGGAAAATGTGTCTGACAGAGGATTTGGCTCTCAACTTACAAGTGTATACGGAGGTGGGTGGAGAATATCAGCTTCTTTGAGGGCTGGACCCTACCACTTACCTGCTGCCTTTGGACGGGATACTATGGAGGGTTAAAAAAAAATAAAAAGACAAAAAGAGGAGGATTTTTGCCTTCAAGGTTGCTTATAACCTAACATTAAATAAATAAGTTGTCCTTTGCATTGCATTGCCCTCAAACTCACTACTGTGGAGAATTAAAACCAGCCTATTGCAAATAAACCAGTTTGCCATCCCATATCTATCCTTCTCCTCCTGCTAGCTCCATCTTAGAATGTCTCTAAAATGGGAGGGGGCTAAAAATACACTTTTCTTCTGACCACTTCCTCCTCAACTTGGGCTTTAAGGGATCAGAGTCCAGCAATGAGATGATGATATGCTTTTCCCTTTCCTGAGCTCCAACCCTTTACTCCTTCACTCAGATATGTCTGCAGTGAGCTCCTATGGGGCTTGTTTCTTCTTTCTGTACCACACAGCACCCATCAATGTGCTGGGTATTCTGTAGTTGTTTAGTATATGCTTTTTAGCTACCATCAGTGGGAAAGGCTTACCATATTTCTGCCCCTTTCAAAGATGTATTTTCTCTTAATCATTGCTGCTGCAATCATCAAAGTAATTGAAACTGGAGAAACGATTTTGTGTCATAACATGAAGGGAAAAAAGTAAAAAGCAAATGTAGTGTTCTCAACTTGCTTGGGTGGGAAATGGGACACAAAATGGTCTGAATAAATTGTTAATGCTCAGATAAAGCACACGGCACCTCAAATTTACACTCTAGTTGGATCGATCCACCCATTACATGCTATTTTCCAGAGATTCAGAGCTGAATTTGCTGTTTGGGATTTGTATTCAATGTGGGGAATTCTAACTGCAAATCAAATTCATACTGCAAACATCAGAATGGCTTTATCAGATGAGGAGTAGATATTTGGAATTTAATAACACTTCCCATCACCTTTCAAGAGGACTTGTCATTGAATATATGGTGTGCAAATCTGGTAAAGAAAAAAGAAGAGTTTGATTATTTGTACAAATTACATTTCATTTGCAGGAGGAAATCACAGTGGCACAAGTCCTTCCTTCCATTTAGGTTTCTCCACCTAGAAGTTGTACAGGGCCTTTCAGCTCCAGGCTCTCCATTAAGACATTCTAACACTATACACTAAAAGTCTGGAGATAGAATGAATTGTACAGCACAGGAAGGGGGGTGGAAGAAGAAAGTAGCAACAGTTCAGAGATGGGAATTGTCTGCTCTCTGGAAACCCCTCCAGCCTTAGATTCACTATTCAAACTCCAAAGGCCAAGACTCTCCAGTTCCCCTGTGTAAGGGAATAAGAAAAATGCCCAGGAAAGCCCACGGTTTCCTTCCTTATGAAGGAGAGGAAGCAGCAGCGGTAGCAGACGCCCAAGTGCAGCCATCACTTCCTCGGGGGCTGGTGTCCATTTCCACCCACGGGGATGGGGTCTGGCAGCTTTGTAACCGGGAGGAGATACATGATCCAAGAATCCACTTTGGCTCCAATTTACCTTTATAAAGGCCAGTTCTGTCTAACTCTGAGAATCCTATAAGCATTAGTGAGGATTTCTAATTGTCTCATCCATAGGAGCATGGCCAGAGAAAGGGGAGTTAGGTCAAAGAGTTCACCTTGAGTAAGGCTCAAGATACTCCTCACAGACACATTGAGATTATGGTAAATAGGAATGCATTCATAAGTAGTAGAGAGCAGATATACCTTTTCTTCCCCTCTGAGGAATCAGAAAGTGTCAGGGTCCTACATTTAAAGGAAAATAGAGTATAATTCTAACAATGGAATCCAAAAAAGAATGGCTGTAACAATCTAGTTCAAAAGAAGAAAGAAATGGTATGTATAATCATAGTGTATTATAAATGTCAATTTACACAATCATTGTTTTCTCCTTCAAACCTTCTTCTCTTAAAGTTCTTTCTCTCAGTTCATGGTTTCTTCTTTTGCTAACCACCTGAACTACAAACTTCAGAGTCATCTGTAAATCACCTCTGAATCCCACCACATCCAGTTCTAGACTCAGAATGTCTCTCATTTCTGCTTTTATTATCACTGTCCTACGTCACTTCACCTATACCTGGATTATTACAATAGCCTGCCAATGGATCCCTGTCTCCACTTGCTTTGTCTCTACCCCAAGTTATCTTTAACATCCTGAACAGTTACCTTTCTAAAGTCAGTTATAATCATGGGCACCTCCTCACTCCAAACACTTTTACCAGCTTTCTGGGTTTTTTTATTAATAAAGTCCAAATTTCTTAGCATAATGTTCAGTGTTCCTCAGGAACTGAAAATACTCTATTCTTTGAAACTCACCTGTCATTTGCTCCTCATACACACCTCGCACACAGCTAATGCTCAAGTAGAAACAGACCTCTCTCCTTTCCTTGATTGTATTATGGGCTTTCACTCTTCTGGAACTTAGCACATTTCCTCCATCTTTGCCTATTCAAAATCTTGTTTCTCCTTTAAGGACTAATTCAAATGTCACCATCTCTAGGAAACCTTACTGGATTCCTAGGCAAAATAAATTGTCCTCTCCTCAGGGAACATATGACACTGTGTTTACCCCTTTTTACCATGTTTATCCCAATCTGACTTACATTCATTATGGCAGAATTTTCCATCTCCTTCTAAAGGACAGAGAGAGTAGTTAATCCCTCCAAAAATGATCCCAAGTACCCAGCATGGTGCCTTAAACAGCACAGGCATTTTATAAACATTTGTTATATTAAACTGACCAGTACACAAATTAGGAATTTTCACTAAAAGTTGACTGGATGGAAGACCAAGCTGAGAATCATAATCAAGGACAACTCACAGGGAAGGAACGAATTTGAGTAAATGCTGCCCAGAGGCCCATGAATAAATATTTTATAAATTAATACAGATGGCCTGATCCATTACTTATCAACATTTTTGTCATGGCACATACTTGTGAAGGGGTTGACTGTGATTGAGAACTGCCACTCTAACTAAATGGAGAAACTACCTCTTTTTCAGCAGTAGGAAGGTAAATGCTGTATTTGAAAGAACTCAATCAGGGACTGACAGATAAACAACACAATAAAAAAACTGTATATACAAAATATAAAGATTATATATACCATATAGTTGCATAAATATATATATATATATATATTTTTTTTTTTGAAACAGGGTCTTGCTCTGTCACCTAGGCTGTAGTGCACCTGTGCAATGATAGCTTATTGCAGCCTCCAACACCTGGGCTCAAGCAATTGTCCCACCTCAGCCTCTCAAGTGTCTGGGACTACAGGTGTGCACTGCCATGTCCAGCTAAGTTTTTTTATTTTTTGTAGTGACAAGGTCTCGTTATGTTGCCCAGGCTGGTCTCAAATTCCTGACCTCAAGTGATCCTCCCACCACAGTCTCCCAAAGTGCTGGGATTACAGGCATGAACTATCACACCTGGCCAGATATTATTATATATCTGAGAAACTATTTCATTTAAACATGTCTACACACAGAGATATAATGATGTCTTAGTAAAATAAATATTTAGTTCACCTTTTTGCCGTAATTCCAAAGGGGGAAAAAAAGCCAAAACCAAAACCACCTCTTTAGCCTTATTAGCATTAAGTAATCAAATTCCACTAACCTGAGCAACATAACGAGACCCTGTGTCTACAAATAATTTTTTAAAAATAGAAGGGCATGGTGGCACTTGTCTGTGGTCCCAGTTACTGGGGAGGCTGAGGTGGGAGAATCTTTTGAGCCCAGGAGGTCAAGGTTGCACTGAGCCATGATCGTAGCACCACACTCCAGTCTGTGCAACAGGGTGAGATCCTGTCTCCAAAAACAATCAACAACAGCTCCCTGTCACTCAGAAATCTGAGACAGACTCATTGCAGTTCTCCTCATTCTTACCTGGAATAAAAAATGAACTCAAACTTCCAGAAGAAAAGCACAATTTTTCAAAATCTCCTCATACAAGTCTTGCCTCTCCCCTAAAACTTTTCTGAGTCAACTCTTCCTGAGATGAATCACATTAAGAAATGAATCTCTTAATTGTACCACATAAGCTAAACAGTAAGCCATGACCTCATCACCCTGGACATAATAAAAGGGCAGAAACACTTGGGCATTTCAACAACATCTTAATTCCTGCACTGTTCTGGTTTATTATAAAGCAGGCCTGTGTGCAGGAAGACATTTTTTAAAAATGCTTTTATCTTCTTTTTGCATGTTAGCAGATCTCATGGTCTCTTTTCTTTGCAGATGGAAGCCTGAAATGTGCAAAAGCCAGGCAGGCAGACCAATGCATTTATTTGAGAAATAAAAAAAAACCCAGTCATGAAAATGACACATGGATTCAAGATGAGCTAGAAGCAGAAGGACCTTAAACTACACAATTACTCCCCACAAGCTCAAGCCAGAATCAAACAAAAACCAGAAATAAACAAAACCTGGAGCTGAACAAATATCTGAATGCCACAGCCAGACTAAAGAAGAAACAAGAAGAAACTGATGTAACTGGGCTTGAGAAGAAACAAGGTAGAAGCACAATGCCACATCCCTTAGGTAGCATATAATTTTCTGAGCCTTGATTTACCATGACATCCTTTGTGTGATGATTACCGGTAACATTCTCATTTTGCTAGAGGTAGCACTAGTAGGTCCAATCTATATGTGGATACTCTACAGAGTGCATCCCATATGGGCACAAATCTTTATCAACTCTATCTGGAATTGATGAGTAAGCATCCCTAACATAATGGTCCAATGAATTATTTGAATAATTTTCTGAAAAAGTTAATCGCTCTGTATGGAAGAGAATGTACTTGTGTTAGTTCTATAAGTAATGCTAAATATAGATATTTAAACAAGAGTTAACACTTTAGCCTGTTAAAATCACAAAATGCATTTAACGTGTTTAGGGGGATGGAAATTGCCTCCAACATATCAGAGAGGCAGCAAAATCAACAATATTAGCTAATTCTATAGGCTCAAACACTGACCCAGAGTGAATATTCTTCCTTTGCATCAGTTCTTAGCCACATAGGTCTCTTCATTCCAAGTGGTTTTAGATGGTGCTATTGCTTGAAAATAGCTGTGAGCATGCTATTTTGCATTCCACTGTTTCTCGCAGTCAGAGAGTCTCAATCAATGGGCCCTTCTGTCCTCAGTGTCCCAGTTAGGACTTCACCTTAAGACTAGGCTCACAGGAGAGAGTGGCAAAATGGAAAACTTACCTGGAAGCACATAGACCTGGGTTCAAAATTCACCCATAATATATTCCATAGAGCTGCATGGATCCCAAAATCTCAGTTTTGCCACCTGTGAAAAGGGAATAACCATTTTTATTAGCGATCTGAGACTGAATAGCTATGAAGCAGTGATTTAGAAATGGAGCTAATTCTACAGGCAGACACTGTGGTAAAGATGAGGCATATTTCTCATGAAAACTCTTCAGAAAGAGTGGACCAGATTGTCAGAAGTGACCAATTCTCAGAAAGATTCTGTTTCATAATCAAAATGAAATCCCTTTCTGTAATTGTCAACGTCAAACTTTAGTTTCATGATTGATGTGGGCTTTAAGTTGCTAATATTTAAAAAGGCACTTCATTGACTGTGGCACACACATTTTCAGCAATCACATTTCTACAAGAAAGATACCACAGGAGGAAAAAAGCCTACTATAAAAATCTTTTGTATATATACCTTGAAGAGCTCATTTCTAGGAATAGTCTGACACCTTTAGAAGATAAACAGTACTGTCTCAATCAATTACAAAGATTTTAAGGAAGACAATACCGCTAAACCCTATGCATTGGTGGAGTTATAATTTATTCATATATCATTTAAGAAAAGCATTGAACCAAATACTTTCCTTCCTTCCATGTATTCAACACTGAAAGGCAGCAAAAGGAAAAGGAGAAAGGAGGTCCAACTTCCCAGGATTCCCTTCCTGAAAAGAAATTTCCACTTTACTAAGTAGGAATGAGGAAAGGCGTGTGCATTTGCATAATTTCCAAGACATTTCTGGACTCCCTAAATAGGAAACAGTATATTTGGAATACTTAAAAAAAAAAAAAAAAACCTTTGTACTTAATTTAACTACAAATTGGTTGGGTTTTCTAGAGAAGTGGAGGGATGCTAATGTGAGAAACAAAGATTAAATATTCAAGGCCATAATAATAATATATGAATTTAATGCTATTCTAGGATTTTTTCCATCCAATTTTAAGTATATAAAAATGATTTTCATATAAGGATTTGGGGACAGAAATATTCTTGTTACTATTTTCACGATTTACACAATATCCTTGAGCAGCCTTATTTTATCTTTGCTGCTGTTTGCTGACTTGTCGGTGTTTAGATCAAGTTTTAATATTTGCATCTTTAGCTCACCACACAAAGGCAGCTGGTCCAGAGAGGTGAGGAACAGGGAGAGAGGAGTTGCAGGGCTTATCAGGTTATCCAAAAGGCCTTGTGCTCATCCTTTGTAAACAACAAGACATGTCAGCATCCCTGGTTGCTGTCATTGCTGACAGTCCTCTGAAGACCAGTAAGTGTTGAATTCTTTAAAGCTGGATTGTGCCCAGTGAGAGAAACGATGGTGTGAGATGAGGAGGACTTCGTGGATATCTGAGTACCTTGGGAAAAGAGAGGAATTGAGGCTTTTCACTCAGCAACCTAATGAAAACTAGACAAATAGTCTTGCATTTAATATATAGTTTTCACCAATTCATGCTTCTTTTGTTAGGAACAATTCTAGCCTGTATAGGAAAAAAGACAGATATAAGGAAATAATTTCTCATTGACAAGGGAGCTTCAGGTAAAGCAATGCTTATGAAAGGACAAGAGACTAAGTTTACATTGGTAAATTTCCATTGTGCAACCATTTCATTACTTTAACTTCATAGACCCCAAAACTTTATGTGCTTGAACAAGTAATCAAATGCAAAGGATAGAACTAAATAATCCATCTGGGATAGCGAGGACTGTATACAAAACACAAAGAATAAAATACAAGTCTTTAAGGAATATGAATAAGAAATCGTGGCACAGAAGGGAAGACTTGAAAATAAGTTCCAAAAGCAGTATCTAGTGCTTTAAAGAATAATGAAATTTACATGCTCTGCTTTAAAATCCAAAAAGGTATATTTTGAACAAAGATACACTTGTATAATAGGTTCAGTAAAAATCCTAATCCATGTGATTCTTCATTATATCTAACCTCAAACTTTTAAAATGTATAAAATGAATATCAAATTCTTTTCATGGAGACTGATAGCATACGTTGAATTAGAATAAATTCCACATTATAGTATGAAACACTCATAACAGCAACGAGTAATATGCTATATTCAAGACTTCCTTTGTTATGACATTTAAGCTATGGATTTTGAGGTTAATAATGATTCAGGGGAGTAAATTCTTTTCCAGTGTTTCCATTTTCTTCTTCTTAGGATAATCTCCTAAAAGTATTTGCTCCATTAAATGATCTAAAATGTTTGAGAGGACAAAATGTCTTAGGCCTACTTGTAAAATATTAGGCTCCAAAACTTTGAAAAGGATCATCCTTCCAATATAAAATCCATCCTTGAAATAAGGATTATGTATCTCTAAAACAAGGCCAGGACTTAGCATTCCATTAATCTAACAATATAGTATTTAACTTGGATTTTTATTTGTTCCTGTATCATAAACACTATTTGATGATACAGAATAGAATCATAGATTAATCTTCCCAAGTTGGCTTTTTCTTTTTTTTTAAGCCTCTTCAATCTTCTTGACTGAAACTACCAGACCATTATCTTACATAGCTATAGGTTAAGCACAGAGCCTGGAAGTCCGTCTGAACCACAGAATGAGAGAACAATTTAGAAAAAAAAATTGCAAAATTCTGGGAACTAAATAAAAAGTCACTCGTTTTCCTAATTTTTCTATGAGCAGAAAAGCAAAAGACCCATTGGCATGGCCCAGGCAGATACTACCGAACAGCTTTCCAAAGAGCAAATGGTAAAAATAAAATAAAATGAAAAAGATTTGCCTGTCATGGGAGTTGGTCAATAAAATGCAACAGTGTTTATTACAACATTTAAAGTCTGTGATTAAGAACACCAAAAGGCCTAAACTAGAAAGGTTTTCAGCCTGTAATTTCCCTGCAGTCCTGGCCTGTACTTCCTTATGAGTTAGCTCAGCGGGGCTTTTTTTCCATGTCCATCATCAGCTTGTAATTATTGCCATTCTCAAAGCTATGCCAGATGGGTCTTTAGAAGCAGGCATGCAGCTTGTTTATGAGAGAAAGAGCTGTAATATTACTCTACACAGAGACCTA
This sequence comes from Homo sapiens, assembly GCF_000001405.40. Taxonomy (NCBI): domain Eukaryota; kingdom Metazoa; phylum Chordata; class Mammalia; order Primates; family Hominidae; genus Homo; species Homo sapiens. Next base: position 54,187,119 of record NC_000014.9, read on the forward strand.
TCTGGTCCTACTCAAAGAGCGCTGCTCCTCCCTCCCCTCCTCCCCCAGATCTCCCCTACTACCATTCTCTCTGCCTTCCCTAGACAACCTCTCATTTTCAGCTCCCTGTCCCAGCTGAATGGCCTGGTGACTGGCTGGGACCATGGGGGCCAAGAGATAGCTATATCTTAAAGCACATGGTCTAATCATCACCTTTCACCATTCACATATGAAAATGAGGCAACACCCAGGGAAAAACAAAATGTGGACTCTTTCTCCTACATAATGTTGTGCAGAGGCTTATTTAAAACACCACAGCTGAGCATCTACCTTTCGGAATACAGATCTGCAGAGATGTCAAAATGATGCATTCCATTTCGCTTTTCTGAAAATTCCTCATTGGCTAGAAGCGAGATTCCCAGCAAGATTCTCCCTTTGCCTGGTAGGAAGGATAAACATTTGTAAGAAGGTTGAGGTCAAGGAGCTGTGCAAAGCAACATAGGGAAAGGCAAGAGCGCCTAAGCCGGGTTCATCTGGTGATAGGCCCTGGGGTGTTAGGTATCCCAGAGGGCCAAGCAGAGCTTCAATCAGCAGTTAATGAGGCAAGACCTGCAACAGATAGCCACTTTTAACTTACAAAAGCTTTTAGATGTCTCTGTTTACTTTGATCCATTTCAGTTAATTTGAGCTTGGTTAGGGTGCATTTTCCTTTTTTTTCCTAGATAAACCCCCTGCTCCCACCCCACCCCCACCCCCAACCTCACCCCCACCTCCACCTCCCAAACAATAGTATCATTTACCAACTTTATACTTAACAAGTTTTGAGGTCTTCTGTGAAGGTCGGCAACAATTATGTAAAAAACAAGGAAAGAAGGACCTGTACCATAGTCTGACTCTAGGACGAAAATTTCAAAATCCCACCAGTGTTAAGATAAATGAAAAGGGTGGCGGGACAGGAAAGGCTGAATTTTGAAGGGAGATTTAAAGTTATTTGTTTCTGATTAGGTGAAGTACATGTTCTTTTATCCCTTGTTATTTTACTCATGTGATGACCAGAGAGCTTTGTTAAAATGTTTCAGAGCGGATAAAACTAATTTACTGGAATGTGAAATAATCCAGAAAGAAACCGTACCTGATGGTCACAGGCGGGGAAGGCACTTTAATAAACTGGCCGGAGTTTCCAGGCCCCGGGGCTGCGGCTGGGATTCCTGATTTGGGAAGCAGGGAAGAATCCTGCGTTAATGGATTTGCACGTGGGTCAGCCTGTTAATGGGGATGGGCTAGTGTAATGAGCTTTTAATTAGGTCAGCTAGATGCTTGACCCCACTATACTGTGTGCCTGCGCCTGGGGGTACCTCCCCAGCCTCAGGAGCGGGATAAACAGTCCTGAGAGCCTTCCCAGCATGCCCCAGACAACCTCGATCCCGGCATGCTCCGGGCAGCTGCCTTCCCAGCATGCCCCGCCGGCCTCTCCTGTGCCCTAGACCCGTTAGCCTCTTGCAGACACCCTTTTCTTAATTCCCTCCCCTCCTTCCCTTGTGTGCCATGTTCTACCAAAGCAGTTTTTCTTTTTAATTTTTTTTTATTTTTTTTTTTTTTGAGACGGAGTCTCGCTCTGTCGCCCAAGCTGGAGTGCAGTGGCGCGATCTCGGCTCACTGCAATCTCTGCCTCCCTGGTTCAAGAGATTCTCCTGCCTCAGCCTCCCAAGTAGCTGGGACTACAGGTGTCCGCCACTATGCCCAGCCGATTTTTGTATTTTCAGTAGAGATGGGGTTTCACCATATTGGCCAGGCTGGTCTAGAACTCCTGACCTAGTGATCCGCCCGCCTCGGCCTCCCAAAGTGCTGGGATTACAGGCGTGAGCCACCGCACCCACCAGTTTTTCTTAGTAAAAAATACATAAATACGTGTGTGTGTGTGTGTGTGTGTGTGTGTGTGTGTGTGTGTGTGTGTATATATATATATGTATTATTTGAGGCAAATTTGTGTATTTATAAAGCCCCCAGGTCTTCTAGCTGGTAAAATTAATTTCACAAATACACATGGACAGGTTTGGTTTGATATATATATTCCTCAAAAATAAACTTTTTTCAAATGAACCATATTCCTATTCTCCACTCCCCACCCCTGCCCTGTCTTCTACATTTCCAGGCAGTATTACGAAGACACGTAAGTTAATAGAAGGAACAGGATGAAATCCTTCTGCACTTCTACTCTTAAATAAATTGGAACTAGTTTAAAGTGTTCTCTTTGAAATCCTGTCTACTAAGACCCTGGGGATTCATCAAGGAACTAAAGTTAGGAAACCTAATTTCTGTTTTGGGTTCTTTTTCTTGGGAAAGGGAAAAACTAAGTACCCAACCTTCCAGGAAGGGTTCCAGACACTAAACATGCCTTATCTGTAGCCCTCACATTAGGGTCTCTGTAGCAACAGTTTACATTTATTTTGCTCTTTACCAAGTCTTGAAAATGAAAGTAAAGTTGGTTTACCACTGAAGAATACTAAGTTCTTTGGTTAAAGGGCATTAAATTCAGAGAAAAGTCCAGATGTCTTCAACTATAACAATAGTAGTAACAGTTAATATTATAATAACAGTAACCGCTAATAACAATAATAGTAACAGCTAATATTTATTCAATGCTTATTAAGGGACAACTGCGCTAAATACTTTAGGATTCTGCATAATTTGTAGAGTGTTTAATATACAAGCTTACTAAATTTTTCAGTTAATGATGGTGGCATTTGCTAAGCTGTAGGCCAAGTTATTCCTTTCATTCACAGTCTAGGGAGAGATGACACGGGCATGCTGAGTCACTCAAAACATGCTCAAACCACCCTAAGGAGTTTGCCTGATGAAAGGTTTTCCTTTCCTTCAAAGCCACTTCCTGTGTCACGTGACCTATATCACTCCAAAGATAATAACACTTCATGTTTCCAGAATACTTTTATCCAAAGATCTCAAAGCATTTTCAAATGTTAATTAAACCTTCACCATCCTGGAAGACAGCAATGCCAATCTCACTGTTTAAATACTGTATTCCAGAACACAGGTTGTTCTAATCATTGAGAGGGAAATGGAGGCCTCTCTAAGTAAATCCATTATGCAAGCCACTACCCAAACACTTATGGCACCCAAAATTCTCTTGAGTTTCCTAGGAAACCACCGCAGCATCTTGATTCTAAATTGTCCCCTACTCCCATTGATTGTTTCTGCTGAAAGAAATGCAAGAAAAAAGGGGGTTGGGCAGGAGGGAAGCAGAAAAAGACTTTCGAAAAGTTCCCACTTTATTCAGGGGTAGAAATGTAGGTAGAACGATATGCAATATATTTCTGCAAATATATTAGTTCTCTCATCAAACAACTAAGCACCTTTGCTATATGCTTTTTCATGCATTGTGGTGACCACATGGGGAAAAAAATAGCCAGTTTTTCCCAAGATTTAGATGTGACTGTTCAGACTGCAGTTTACCTGTCCTCCTATTTAACAGGCATCAAGAACTTACTCTGATATAGAGAGCAGTCAGATTTTAGTCAGTTTGTGTATCCTTTTAGTCTGGATAAAGGAAGACCATGTGGCAACAAAAGCCCTGGAAGATCTTTTCCTGCCTTCTTTCCAGCTTCATCTTTCTCCACTATGACACACTGGCTTTTTCTCTGTCCTTTTAATGGGCCAAGCATTTTTTCTACCCCATGGTCTATGCACAGGGTTTTCCCTCTGCATGGAGTGCTTTATCCCTATTCTTTTTTTTTTTTTTTTTTTTTTTTTTTTGAGACGGAGTCTCGCTCTGTCGCCCAGGCTGGAGTGCAGTGGCGGGATCTCGGCTCACTGCAAGCTCCGCCTCCCGGGTTCACGCCATTCTCCTGCCTCAGCCTCCCAAGTAGCTGGGACTACAGGCGCCCACCACTAAGCCCGGCTAATTTTTTGTATTTTTAGTAGAGACGGGGTTTCACCGTTTTAGCCGGGATGGTCTCGATCTCCTGACCTCGTGATCCGCCCGCCTCGGCCTCCCAAAGTGCTGGGGTTACAGGCGTGAGCCACCGCGCCCGGCCATCCCTATTCTTAATGAAACTCCTACTCTTAGTTCTCAGATCAAAGGTCACTTCTTCAGAGAGGCCTTACCTGATTCCCAGATCAAAATTAGCTTCTTTCTATTATTTTCTCTCATGGCAGACTGTTTTGGTTCGTATAATTTATGAGATTTTCTTTTAACATCTCCCTTCTAGACTATAAGCTCCAGGAGAACAAGGATGGTGTCTATTCTGTATACACTGTATAACCTATATCTGGCACTTCGGATGCCTCAAAACCAATTCGTTGAATAAAGTAATGAGTGAATGAATCTTTTAACCTGGTTTCAAATCACATTTTTTTTGAAGTGATATTACAGGGTGAAGACGACAAAAGAGAAATTGACCTCAGAAGTTTAGTTGTAATCATTTAAGGTCTTAACTTATTTCTATGAATACTGAGAATAACAAACAGTCCTTGAATGATTTCAGTAAATATGATTTTTGCTAAATATTAAGCCTGTGAACTAAGTGTTTTATCTACATTATCTCACTTATCCCTCACAACAACCTGAATAGGTAGACACCACTACTATCCATTGTGTGATCATGAGGACTAAGTAATTTGCCCATGTTTCTGAGACTCCTCCTTTGTTTATTCATTTATTAAGCCCTCACTGTTTGTCAGGCACTACAGTGGGTAAAGCAATGGAAAAGACAGGCATGGCATTCTTCTTGGAGCTTTTGTCTTGAATCCTCCATAGCAATAGCACAGTGCATTCTGGCAAGTAGTTAGTGCTCAACAAATACTTAAAACAGTATAAACCAAGTTAAAAAAAAAAAAAAAAAGACTGAAGCACTGTGATTGAATCCCTTCAGAGTTTGACTTTTCACAATACTGCTGCAATACTTGTGTTTATTACATGACTTGCCTGGGGGCGTTGCAGTTTGCCATACATTCTATAAAGGTATGACATGCAGAAGGAATCATGAGACACTCCAATATTCTAATAAAAAATACAGTGATCATGATAACAAGAGTTTTCATTAATGGCACCACAGAGCAGCCAAAATGATCCTTCTAAAGCACAAATCAGATCATGTTTCTTCCATGATGTACAACCTTTAAGCGTTTCCCATTGGTCTTACTTTAAAGTCCAAATTCCCCATCTCCATAACATGGATTACAAGAACTTGATCCTCTTTCTGGAATCACGTCCCTCCTCCACTGACTTCAATTACACATTCCAGACTTCGTAAAAATCCTTTCTCTCCCGCCCCGCAACACCTCTAGGCCTTGAACAAGCCATTTCATCTTTTAGTAACATACTCCCTGCATCCTCACCATAATTACCATTCTTTTCCTATGTTGAGGAGAGGGCTTATTTGTGTGCAGGATTTTTGTTGAGCAGTACTCTTGAGAACAACATCTGTAAAGAAGAAGGGAAGCAGGATTAGGCAGAGGGAAAAGTTAAACTGCCATGGAGGTGCAACTGAGGCCTCAGCCGAACATGTGAGGAGCTTTGGAACTAGGATGGCCCTTCAGAATTGTCCTAATTGAGGCAAGGAGGTGGCCCTTTTACCCCGCCTGTCCCTGGAGATGAGATAACCTTGAGCAAGGCAGCCTCCTTCAGCAGAAGGCAATTCCTGGATAGGACTTCAGCTAAGAGCCATCAAAGGCAAGACTACTGCCACCTGGGGGATAAGTGGCCCAGTCCTTAAAGAGGTATATGGTGGTACACCACAACATCCACTACAGTCTAGTTACCTTTAGTCATCTTTCAGGTCTCAACTTACAGGTCCCTTCCTCTAGGAAGTTTCCCTTGATTCCCTAAGCCTAGGAGAGGAGCTCCTCCTAAGTGCTCCCAAGCACCCACTGCTTCCCCATCATGGCATTCTCCATTTTATATAGTAATCATCTGTTTGAATTCCCTGAGGAAATTATAAACTACATGATTAGCATTCTATCTATTAATACATAAATGTGAACAACTTAAAGAATGACCGAAAAATTAACAATTCTATTTTGATTTTTTTTAATTATTCACAAAAAACAAAAAAGTCTGGATGATCATTCACCAAAATATTGTTAATTCTTATCTCTTGGTAACAGGATTATGTTTGATTTTTATTTTCTTCATTATACCTTTTGGTGTATCTAAATTTTTGTAGCACATTTGATTTTTGTAATTTAAAGAATGTATACAGTAATCATTTTGAAGAAAAAACATAACTCTTACTATAATAATAACTAACATCAGTAGTTATGGTGTAGTCACCCATATTATGGTATAGTCACCATATTGTTATTATTTTGTACTGTAATTTATAGTTTATCATGCAGTTCATCAAAAACAATTTGACATAAATTATTTTGTTTAATCTTGACAAAATTTCAACAAGGAAGGCAGGTATGGTATTCTAATTCCTACTGGATTGCAAAATAAAGGCAATCCTCTCAATCAGAGTGAGTTAGTATATCCCCACAGCCTAGAAATTCAGAGTCTAACATGAGTACTTCTCCAACATGTTCATTTTTAATGAGGTCTTTCCAGACTTTAAAGAAAATAGTGACATAGGAAGAAAGTAGAGATGCTGTCCCACTCTATCTACCTAGTGCTTGCTGGCTACACTCCCTGTTCTCACTTTTCTCAATCTCCCCATTCTTATTAATAAAATAGAGTATAATGCCTCTCCCTGTCTTTATTTTCATCATTTGTTTGCACAAGCCTAATCTACAAGGCCTGCTAGATTTGAAAGCCCTGTTTTCCCCTCACATCTCATGTCACCCCTTCTTTCCTATGATAACATTTCACGTATGTATAGCACTTTCCAGAAGGCTTCCCCATATATCACCTCACTGCATCCTCCCAACAAAGCTTTGAGGTCTGCACATCAGATAGCATTACTCCCATTTTAGAGATAAGGAAACAAAAACACAGAGAGTGTACGTGACTTGCCAAAAATCACAGTTAGTTACTGATAAAGACAGGACTAGAAACCGGGGCCTTACAGAAAAGCTCAGAACCCTCTGTGTTTTTACTTTGATCTTACAGTCTAGCATGTAGCCCACTGATAGGGTCCTACAGGACCTAAAACTGATTACAAAAAAAACTGATGAAAGCAAGATTGTGGGTTCAATCTCTGGGTAGGCCTGCTATGATCTTTGCATTGGAGTGGGTGAATGTATGCAGTAGACCTACAGATGCAAGGTCTAAGTTACAGAGGGACTAGTTGAGAGTGTGTAGATGATTCAGCTCAATTCCATCACCACAATAAGTTAAATAATTTGGTTACTATTCTTTTAAGGCTATATAAATACATACACATAAATATATAAAATAACAATTTCTCTAAATACACTGCAAGAATCTATATTTCTATAATTGTCAGTTTCTGTATCTTTCTCTCAAGTTTTCCCAGGATAGTTTCAATTTATGCCTATTGTCCTGGCACAACTATTAATGGCATTTCCTTTCACTCTCAAAAATGTCCCAGTGTGGAAGATAATTTATATGATCATCCTTATATACAGCTTAGAGAGAACAAATGAGCAATTTCAGTAGACACTGAACAGTATCGACTTTCAAAGTGGCATGCCCCAAATGTTGTAAGAAGGGTTACTGTTATTGAAATACACTGTTGGAAAGATTCCCAGTGTTAAATGGCCTTTACTAAAGACATAGTAAGACACATATTCCTTTGTGTTATATTGGGCTTACGTTTTAAAATGTAGTGAAATTCTGGCTAGCTTCAATCCATTTACTAAATGGTTTTGGTTTTTCTGCATTTCATCCCCTCACCTGATATTATATTTTGTCTCATTGCTTATCAGAAGTGTTCCTTTCCACATTCATTTTTTTTAATGAGAAGGAACAAATTAGAATTCACATTGTTTTGGCTTAAAATTATAGTGCCTGCTACATTTCCCAAAGGAATCCTGCCAAGACAATGGCCTCAAACAATAGCTATATGCCAAGGTTTTCATGGTAATTCCAGCTCGCACATTTTGAGCTTGTGCAAGTCTTTTTTCCCCCGTCTGTAATATGGGGCGAATATCTGCTCATGAGTTGCTAAAAAAAAAAAAAAAAAAAAGAAAAACCATAGATGATGTTGTAACTTACCCAATTAAAGAACTATTACATTTTGCACTCCTTAGAAGTCCCAGTACTGCTTCAACATAAAAGTCTTGTCCTTGTGGGAAACTTACAACCTTGTTACTAAAGAAGAGAGTAGTATATGTACTAGTAGTCAGAGTGGGTCAATATTAATACTTTCCCCAGGGAAATCCCCCAAACTACCTCAAGAAAAGTCTTTGACAGGGCTGGGCACGGTGGCTCACACCTATAATCCCAGCACTGTGGCAGGCCAAGGCGGGCGGATCACAAAGTCAGGAGATCGAGACCATCCTGGCTAACACGGTGAAACCCCATCTCTACTAAAAAATACAAAAAATTAGCCGAGCGTGGTGGCAGGGGCCTGTAGTCCCAGCTACTCAGGAGGCTGAGGCAGGAGAATGGCGTCAACCCAGGAGGCGGAGCTTGCAGTGAGCAGAGATCGCACCACTGCACTTCAGCCTGGGGGACAAGCAAGACTCCAACTCAAAAAGAAAAGTAAAGTTTTTGACAGGTGTACAGTAATGTGTCTAAGATCCCCAGCAATTCCTAATTGGTGTTCAGCCAAATTTTTTCAGATTTCGATGCAGACCCTAAGTGACTGTCAGGCATTTTATGGAAGACCCCCAATCCAATTCATTCATCTGAGCAAGGAAAATGGAAAAATCCATATTCTGTTGAGAGATTCTTTGATCCTTTTTACAAAGATCTGTCTTATCCTATTATTGTAATAAAACCAGACTGCTGTTTTTCTGAAGAGTGTGTATGCATGTAGGTATATGTGTATGTATAACAATAATGTCTAGAAGACATAAGTAAATATATCTCCAACCCATATCCCAGTAGAAAACAGATAAAAAGAGACAGTAACCTCAGGTTCTTTGAAGCAAGAATTTAGTTATTCAGTGACAATGCATCTCCTTTATGATCATTAATTATCCAGTATTTACTGAACACTGACTAGCTTCCTAGACTGAGCACTCTGATGAAGATCTTTGCTCTGCAGTACCTGAATTGGGAAAGTGACTGTGATAGGGCATCTCTACATAAGGACAGAAGAGACCCAACACTTGCCGAAGACCCATTCTAGCCAGACACGGCAATAGGATGTTTATACATGCTAGTTCTTGGATGATCTCCCCAGTAAGCCCCGTTTTACAGATGAAGAAACAAAAGCTCAGAAAAAAATATTATGCCAAAGTTTGCAAAGTGGTAAAGCAGGATTCAAAGCAGGGTTTCAAGATTTCAAAGCCTCTGCTTTTTTTTTTTTTTTTTTTAACCATCCCACTTCTCCTTTGCTCTCATTCTGAGTATGCTGCTAGTTGGCACTGCTGAACAACGGTATCTGATATCTGGATGTTTTTCCACCAGGATCCTCGCAGCAGAAGATGTCTTAACTTCAGTGCAACAAAACCCCAAGTGATAACATCAGATTTTGCCGGAATGGAGTTACATCCTGGCTGTCATGCAGATACCCAGGCCTCCAACAACAGTGAGTACACTATCACGTCACATTCCCTCAATAGCTCCAAGACAATGGAGGAAAACAGTGACAATAATGATTTGAAATAATAGAGGATTTTTAAAAAAAGAAAATCTTTGTATCTGGCCTTTGAATTATGTAATTATTTGAGTCCCAAACCACATTTTTCAAACATTCAGTTACAGTTTTTCTGCAGTTTCTGGGACAATGTTAGCTCGGTATTAGAGCAAGTCAGCCAAAGAAACTCTGGACAGCTGAGCAGCTTAATTCAAGGCCTCACTTCCATGATGCCAGCGTGCTGGTGGCTTTAGACAGTCCACTCACTTATCTGGTCCTCAGCTTCCTCAAAAATAAAATGATGGATTTGAACCATAAGATTTATTTATTTATTCAATAGATTTTTATTATTAGGTATCAATACACAGGCCTGCCCTCGTAATATTTATAGTCTGGTGGAGGAGACAGAAAACACAAACAACAATTTCAATGAAGTGTGATCAGTGCTATAAAATAGTAAATAGGAGATGCCATAGCAGTCCCTAGTAGGAGCTTCTGATCCATTCTGAGGGACACAGGAGGAGGGTATACGGTAGCGGAAGTGACATCTAATGCACAGCCATAAAGAACCTATAGGAGTTAGCATTCTCGGAGGGTAGTGTGGGGACAAAGAACAGCACCCAAGGTGATTGCACAGCCCAGGCAGAGGCCTGGAAGGTCGCTGTCACAGCCTCTTGTGAAAACACAAGTAGTTTAGTACATCTGGTTTCTGAAAAGGGAGTGGGGATAGAGGAAATGGAAAGGGAGATAGGGGCAAGACCCATCATCAGGGGCCTTAGATATCAGCAAAAGGACTTTGGACTTTGTTCATTCCCTCAGGAACTATTTGTTGACCTTACTAGGTGCCAGGCATTTTTGTAGGCTCTGGAGTTACCAGAATAGTAAACAAGATAAATAGGCTTCTGCTTTACAAAGCAAAATAAGAATCTATTCAAGGGTTTAAAGGAGGGAAATGATATGATTGGATTTGAGTTTAGAAAGACCACATTGGCTACAGTGTTGGAATGGCTAGGACAAGAATAAGTCTCTTTCAGCCATAAAACTGACTCTATGATTTAAAACTCAGGATATACCAGATTATAAAAGCCCCATGTTGACATTATTCACAATAAATAAATACATAACTGTATTCTTTTTCATATATATAATATCTTTGGTTTACATGATGTTGCGGGAAGTCAGGGACCCCAAACGGAGGGACCGACTGAAGCCATGGCAGAAGAACATAAACTGTGAAGATTTCATGGACATTTATTAGTTCCCCAAATTAATACTTTTATAATTTCTTACACCTATCTTTACTGCAATCTCTGAACATAAATTGTGAAGATTTCATGGACATTTATCCCTTCCCTAATCAATACTTTTGTGATTTCCTATGCCTGTCTTTACTTTAATCTCTTAATCCTGTCATCTTCATAAGCTGAGGATGTATGTCACCTCAGGACCCTGTGATGATTGCATTAACTGCACAAATTGTTCATAAAGCATGTGTGTTGAAACAATATGAAATCTGGGCACCTTGAAAAAAGAACAGGAAAACACCGACGTTCAGGAACAAGGGAGATAACCATTAGGTCTGACAGCCTGAGAGCTGGGTGGAACAGAGCCATATTTCTCTTCTTACAAAAGCGAATAGGAGAAATATCACTGAATTCTTTTTCTCAGCAAGGAACAGCCCTAAGAAAGAGATGCATTCCTAAGGGGATGTCTCTAAAATGGCCACTCTGCAAACATCTGTCTTATATGGTTGCAGATAAGGGATGAAATAAGCCCTGGTCTCCCGTAGCACTCCCAGGCCTATTAGGATGAGGAAATTCCTGCCTAGTAAATTTTAGTTAGACTGGTTGTCTGCTCTCAAACCCTGTCTCCTGATAAGATGTTATCAATGACAATGAGTGCCCGAAACTTCATTAACGATTTTAATTTTGCCCCGGTCCTGTGATCTCACTCTGCCCCCATTTGCCTTGTGATATTTTATTGCCTTGTGAAGCATGTGATCTCTGTGACCCACACCCTATTCATAAACTCCCTCCCCTTTGAAAATCACTAATAAAAACTTGCTGGTTTTGCGGCTTGGGGGGCATCACAGAACCTGCCGACATGTGATGTCTCCCCCAGAACCCCAGCTTTAAAATTTCTCTCTTTTGTACTCTTTTCCTTTATTTCTCAGACAGGCCAACACTTAGGGAAACAGAAAAGAACCTACGTGAAATATTGGGGGTGGTTTCCCCAATAACATATTTCTTTGCAAATATTCTATAAATCAAGAGGGTCCTTTCAATTGTCACACATTGTATGTTCAGACACCAGAACATTATTTGATGGAGAAGGAAGGACAGTCAATATGTGCTGAACACAGTATGTACTGGGGGGCAGGGGAAGTATTAGAAATGAATAATATCCCATTTACAGATAAGGAATACTAAGCTCCAAATTCATTAACTCTGAATGCCACTCAATGAGAACAGAGTAAAGCCAAGATTCAGATCTGATTTGATGGTTTGTGTATTTATTTGCTGTACCTCAAAGCCCATACTGTTTAATGTCTACAAAATATAATTATTACATAATCTCCATTTTTCTGAGCTCTTAGAAGACTAGTAAAAAAATGCACAAGTAGAGGATTACAATATAATGTTAAATGCTTACTAGGTGTCAGCTAGTTGACTCAGACTAGTTCTTTCTCATGTGAATGTGTCGTATCTTCAATAAATTGCAAAACTCCTGATGTTACGAGACCACATCAATCTCAAAATCCTGCTGAGAGTTTATAGAATATAGAACTCAAAACTTTGTTCACCAAATACATAGAGCAAGAGTTTCAGGTAAGGAGGAGGTAGTGTTTCCCTTGGAGTGGAAATGCACAGGCAGTGAGGAGAGAGTCAAAACTTGAAAAATACTTCATACTTCTTAGAAAGTTGTTTTCTGGTACAAAAAAAAAAATGTCCTTTTCAAGTCACAGAAACTCCCTGAGCTTCCTGAAAATAAACCAAAAATATATAATCAAAACCACCTTAGGTCTCAGAGCCCATTCCTGCTCCACTCACTTATGTGTTTCCTCTCCTCCCAGCAGGTTGACTTCCATCTCTTCCTTGAGGAATCCCAGCTCAAACTCAGTGAAGGTCAGGGTTTATAAGACTTCCAGGAGGCTGGCAGCCTCCACATACTTCCTGGTCCCTATCTGGACCTGGAAGAACCACCCCCAGTCCTTCCAGAGTTCCCCAGAACTAAGCTCCCTTACAGGACACACAGGAGGTGGGGCATTTTCTTCCAAAGCCCCTGAAGGTGAAAGATGTCAATTCTTCTGTTTCTCTGCAAGTCAAGACACCTGCTGTACTTAGCTGTAGTTGTTGAGTGCAGGAAAGACTGAACATCTTATTCATTTATTTGTTTTTGCTGGAAGCACAAGGATTCAGCCATAGCTGGTCATGCACAGGTGTAGTCAACTTTGTTGATTATCTACCCAAAATTTCTTCCTTTTTTAAAATACTCTTAACTTTTATTTTAGATTCAGGGGGTACACGTGCAGATTTGTTACATGAGTACATTTTGTGATGCTGAGGTTTGGGGGGATCCTATCACCCAGGCAGTGAGCATAGTATCCAATAGTTAGTTTTTCAACCCTTGCTCCCCTCCCTCCCCACTCTAGTAATCCCCAGTTTCTATTCTTGTCATCTTTATGTCCATGTGCATCCAATGTTTAGCTCCCACTTATAAGTGAGAACATGCGGTATTTGGTTTTCTGTTCCTGCATTAATTTATTATACTTAGCATAACAGCTTCCAGTTGCATCTATGTTACTTCAAAGGACATGATTTCATTCCTTTTTATGGCCGCATAGTATTCTATAATGTATATATAACACATTTTATTTATCCAGTCCTCTGTTGATGGGCACCTAGATTGATTCCATGTCTTTGCTATTGTGAGTAATGCTGTGAGGAACATACAAGCACATGTGTCTTCTTAGTAAAACAATTTATTTTCTTGTGAATATATACCCAGTCATGGGATTGCTGAGTCAAACGGTAGTTCTGTTTTAAGTTCTCTGAGAAATCTCCAAACCGCTTTCCACAGTCTACCCAGAATTTCTAACCCTGGATTTTCTCTGGGCAATCCATACACTATATATAGCCTGTGCTTCATTAAACTAGTCATGCTAATTCCATTCTCCTTGCTAGGAACTGGTTTTGCAATGAGTATTAGATGCAACTCTGACCAATGAGATGAGAAAAGTCTGCTGGGGGTTGGAGGAGTAGTGAAAGTCTGAGAAAGGTTTCCTTGCTCATAGAGACATCTAGGAGGAAGCAGCCTCTTCTTTCTCTATGTCAGACAACAGTAAACATCACAATGCTCTTGCAACCTCAAAGGGAATTAGTCTGAGGATAGAATTAAAAAGCTGAAGGTGGCAGAGAGAAAAAAATGGGAAGAACCAGGGTCTGTGACTTACCAACTCTGGAGCTGCCCGACTACAGGGCCTCCTCTAATGGGAAATGAGAAGATCTCTCACTGTTTAAGTTCTTTTGAGTTGGGCTTTCCTTGTCCTTGAAAATCTCCAAGTATACTGGAGAACCAATGAGTAGGACAACAAGTGGAACAGCTCTCTTGTTAATGCGAAATATCAAGAAGCCAAGCATAAAAAGATTTAACAAAATAGAAAGCTTTAGTTGGCAAGGCAGTAGCAATTCTGGGTGCAATATAATGTCTGTCACTTGAGTTTGTCTTCTGGTTGAGCCACCTATTGGATTTGGGGACCATGATTAAATATTGAAAGAACAATTCATTCTTTAAATTCAATAAGCAGCATCCCAACCCTTAAGGACTCCCTCTGACAGAGTGAATTGTACAGGAGGACTCTTCCTTAGTCTAAAATCAAACATTGTGCAGCTTCGGCAGTTCTAGAGCTCCATTGCTTCTTCTACAATGAGATACTGGTGCTCAGCAGATAACCCATCAGAGGGTGCTGAGGATGAGAGCAGCGGTGGAGTCCATGGAGCCTGCAGCACCTGGTGGAGCACTACAAGTTCTCCACCCCCATCCTGTGGCAGACACGGCATCCAGCAGTGCAGTACTACTACCTGCCAGGGACCACAGTGCTCAGAGTCTCACAGCACCACCTGTCAAAGTGGATGGGGCTGGACTGCAACCACGTGTGAGGCCTTCCCTAGGGATACCCAGAGATACTTAGGGGAATATCGCTAGGAGATGGGAGCAAGACCCCTGCACCAACAGGTGGGAGCAAAAGCAAAGGAAATGTGAGTGATTGCTGTTTCTGTCACCTCATCCATCTCAAAGGTGGCTAAAAGAAAGTAACTGTGAAGAAATCAAGCCTTGGTAGCCCATTAGGAAGGGAGCTAGCATAATACAGTCATGCATCATTTGATGACAGGGATATGTTCTGAGATATGCATCACTATGCTATTTTGTCATTGTGTGAACATCATAGAGTGTACTTACACAAACCTAGATGGTGTAGCCTACTACACACCTAAGCCACATTATGTGGTCTTGCTCCTAGGCTACAGACCTGTGCAGCATGTTACTGTACTGAATACCGTAAGCAATTATAACACAATGGTAAGTATTTGTATATCTAAACGCATCCAAACATAGAAAAGATACAGTAAAAATATGGAATAAAAAATTAAAAAATGGCGCTTCTGCATAGGGCACTTACCATGAGAGCTTGTAGGACTGGATGTTGCTCTAGATGAGTCAGTAAGTGAGTGGTGAGAGAATGTGAAGGCCTAGGACATTACTGTACACTACCATAGACTATAAACACTGTGGACTTAGGCTACACGAAATTTATTTAAAATTTTTCTCTTTTCCTCTCCCTCTCCCTCTCCCTCTCCCCACGGTCTCCCTCTCCCTCTCTTTCCACAGTCTCCCTCTGATGCCAAGCCGAAGCTGGACTGTACTGCTGCCATCTCGGCTCACTGCAACCTCCCTGCCTGATTCTCCTGCCTCGGCCTGCCCAGTGCCTGCGATTGCAGGCGCGCGCCGCCACGCCTGACTGGTTTTCGTATTTTTTTGGTGGAGACGGGGTTTCGCTGTGTTGGCCGGGCTGGTCTCCAGCTCCTAACCGCGAGTGATCTGCCAGCCTCGGCCTCCCGAGGTGCCGGGGTTACAGACGGAGTCTGGTTCACTCAGTGCTCAATGGTGCCCAGGCTGGAGTGCAGAGGCGTGATCTCGGCTCACTACAACCTCCACCTCCCAGCCGCCTGCCTTGGCCTCCCAAAATGCCGAGATTGCAGCCTCTGCCCAGCCGCCACCCCGTCTGGGAAGTGAGGAGCGTCTCTGCCTGGCCGCCCATCGTCTGGGACGTGAGGAGCCCCTCTGCCTGGCTGCCCAGTCTGGAAAGTGAGGAGCATCTCTGCCCGGCCGCCATCCCATCTAGGAAGTGAGGAGCGCCTCTGCCCGGCAGCCACCCCGTCTGGGAAGTGAGGAGCGTCTCCGCCCGGCAGCCACCCCGTCCGGGAGGGAGGTGGGGGTCAGCCCCCCCAGGCCAGCCGCCCCGTCCGGGAGGGAGGTGGGGGGGTCAGCCCCCTGCCAGGCCAGCCGCCCCATCCGGGAGGGAGGTGGGGGGCTCAGCCCCCCGCCCGGCCAGCCGCCCCGTCCAGGAGGTGAGGGGCACCTCTGCCCGGCCGCCCCTACTGGGAAGTGAGGAGCCCCTCTGCCCGGCCAGCTGCTCCGTCCGGGAGGGAGGTGGGGGGGTCAGCCCCCCGCCCGGCCAGCCACCCCGTCCGGGAGGGAGGTGGGGGGGTCAGCCCCCCGCCCGGCCAGCCACCCCGTCCGGGAGGGAGGTGGGGGGGTCAGCCCCCTGCCCGGCCAGCCGCCCCATCCAGGAGGGAGGTGGGGGGGTCAGCACCCCCGCCCGGCCAGCTGCCCCATCCGGGAGGTGAGGGGCGCCTCTGCCCGGCCACCCCTACTGGGAAGTGAGGAGCCCCTCTCCCGGCCAGCCGCCCCGTCTGGGAGGGAGGTGGGGGGGTCAGCCCCCCGCCCGGCCAGCCACCCCGTCCGGGAGGGAGGTGGGGGGGTCAGCCCCCCGCCCGGCCAGCCGCCCCATCCGGGAGGTGAGGGGCGCCTCTGCCCGGCCGCCCCTACTGGGAAGTGAGGAGCCCCTCTGCCCAGCCAGCCGCCCCGTCCGGGAAGGAGGTGGGGGGGGTCAGCCCCCCGCCCGGCCAGCCGCCCCGTCCGGGAGGGAGGAGGGGGGATCAGCCCCCCGCCCGGCCAGCCGCCCCATCCGGGAGGGAGGTGGGGGGGTCAGCCCCCCACCCGGCCAGCCGCCCCGTCCGGGAGGTGAGGGGCGCCTCTGCCCGGCCGCCCCTACTGGGAAGTGAGGAGCCCCTCTGCCCGGCCAGCCGCCCCGTCCGGGAGGGAGGTGGGGGGTTCAGCCCCCCGCCCGGCCAGCCGCCCCGTCCGGGAGGTGAGGGGCGCCTCTGCCCGACCGCCCCTACTGGGAAGTGAGGAGCCCCTCTGCCTGACCAGCCGCCCCGTCCGGGAGGGAGGTGGGGGGGTCAGCCCCCCGCCCGGCCAGCCGCCCTGCCCGGGAGGTGAGGGGCGCCTCTGCCCGGTCGCCCCTACTGGGAAGTGAGGAGCCCCTCTGCCCGGCCACCACCCCGTCTGGGAGGTGTGCCCAGCAGCTCACTGAGAACGGGCCATGATGACAATGGCGGTTTTGTGGAGTAGAAAGGGGGGAAAGGTGGGGAAAGGATTGAGAAATCGGATGGTTGCCATGTCTGTGCGGAGAGAGGTAGACATGGGAGACTTTTCGTTTTGCTCTGTACTAAGAAAAATTATTATCCTGTTGATCGGTGACCTTGCCCCCAACCCTGTGCTCTCTGAAACATGTGCTGTGTCCACTCAGGGTTAAATGGATTAAGGGTGGTGCAAGATGTGCTTTGTTAAACAGATACTTGAAGGCAGCATGCTCCTTAAGAGTCATCACCACTCCCTAATCTCAAGTACCCAGGGACACAAACACTGCGGAAGGCCGCAGGGTCCTCTGCCTAGGAAAACCAGAGACCTTTGTTCACTTGTTTATCTGCTGACCTTCCCTCCACTATTGTCCTATGACCCTGCCAAATCCCCCTCTGCGAGAAACACCCAAGAATGAACAATAAAAATAAAAATAAACAAACAAACAAACAAACAAAATTTTTCTCTTTTCGATAATAAACTAGCTCACTGTAACTTTTTTAATTTATAAACTTTTAAATTTAACTTTTTGACTCTTGTAGTAACACTTAGCTTAAAACATTATAAAGTTGTATAAAAATAATTTCTTTCTTTATATCCCTATTCTGTAAGCTTTTTTCTATTAAATTTTTTTTATTACTTTTAAAATTTGCTTGTTAAAAACTAAGACACAAACACATACATTAGGTTAGGCCTATACAAGGCCAGGATTGTCAGGATATCACTATGCAATAGGAATTTTTCAGCTTGATTCTGATCTTTGGGACCGCCATCATAGGCGCGGTCTGTCATTGACAGAAACGTCATTTTGTGGCATATGACTGTATTTTAATGGAAGTTCCTGCAAAGGAATAGGTCAGTAGTTTAGACAGAGTATGCAATTGCCCTCTTAGAGTCATTTTGCTTTGAGTCTATCCAAGGCAGGATCGTAAGTAACCAGGGAAACAGATGAGGATAACTTGTTGGGAGGACAAGAGTCTATTAACCAGATCAGCCTTCAAATAATTCTGGTGATAGAAACCATCACCTGAAACTGTACTTAACATTTTAAATCAGATAAACTAAATAGGCAGGAATTACTAAGATTCAATCATAGAGGATTTGAAGTAGTAGAAATTTAGGACAATTGACCTGGGACTATAAAAGTGGCAGAATGAAGCCTCCCCAGATTCACGTGGAATCCGTGCTGAAACAATATCCTGAGTGACTGTGTTCCCAAATCTGCTGTCATTGTTGGTTCTAACCCAGGTAAAGTAGGGTGCGTGTGTGTGTGTGTGTGTGTGTGTGTGTGTGTGGTCAAAGACCCAAGGTCATGGTAAGGAGCACACCAGCTCTCTTACTTGGCCTTCATGGACCAAAAGAGAAACTGGGAGATCCAAACCCATATGCCTAAACCTGTAACACAGAGGGCTATTTTTACCCAGGCAAGAATCTAATGATCAGAGCAAAGAGGAAGCAATGTGAAGCCATCAAGATGAGACTTCAAGATGATCTGAGATGACAAAAAAATCAGTGGCAGAATTAGGGGAACTGGCCAGACCTGACTTCCCCCAACTGGGAATCTGAGACGGGCGGATTACTTGAGGTCAGGATTTCAAGACCAGCCTGGCCAACATGGTGAAACCACATCTCTACTAAGAATACAAAATTACCTGGGCATGGTGGTGTGTGCCTGTAATCCCAGCTACTCGGGAGGAGGGAGGGTCACTTGAACCCAGGAGGTGGAGGTTAACAGTGAGCTAATAATGATGCCGCTGCACTCCAACCTGGGTGACAGAGCAAGATTCTGTCTCAAAAAAAAAAAAAAACCAGGGAAACTTTTACCCTCTTAAATCTCAAAAATAAATAAATAAATATAGCACTTTGGGGCAGTCAGTAAAGGGTTGAAGTAAATGGGAAATGGTTCCTTTCGCCATAATAGAATGTTCATTCTGAAAAGTGGAGTATGGAGGCACTAATTATGACATGGTCTAGAGCAAGGTTCTATATATATGTATACATGAGTTTTAAAAGGGGGTGGAGGTTCCTTTAAATACATACAGTTATCTCCAAAGGAATGTTCTAGTTCCTGGGATTGGCTTGGGGAGGGGGTGAGGCTTACAGCAGGGTTAGGTTCCAGAAGCTTAACAGGCAGGACATTAGAGTCCAGGGGGGCAAGAAGCAGAGACTGAGTGAAAATACAGAACCACATTCAAGAGAGCATGTGGGGATCAACCCGGAGAATCCAGTCCAACCCAAGATCAAGGGGCTGGCTCCAAGCCAAGAACAGGAAAAGCAGCCAGGAGAGTGAAAGAAGGAAAGGAGGAAAGACTGGCCCAAAGTCAGAGAGTTAGAGAGCTTATTGTATACAAGATCAGGTGCCTGAAGGGCTCTCATATTGGGCTCCAGCCACACAGGTTTGAATAGTCAACCTGGCTTAAAGGAACACATAAGAGTGAAATTGAATGATCCAAGGAAAAATAAATGCCAGAAAAACTCTGTCTCCACTCTCAGCTATCTCAACTATCAATCTCATTTCTCACACACTCGTAAACAAATTTGTTTATGAGATGCCTGTCCACATTTGGGAATCATTTGGGAATACTTTTTTTTTTTTTTAAAGAGCTAGCTCACTGCAGCCTCAAACTCAGAGACAGCTCACTGCAGCCTCAAGCTCCTGGGCTCAAGGGATCCTTCCACCTCAGCCCCCCAAGTAGCTGGGCCTACAGGCACACGCCACCATGTCTGACTAATTTTAAAATTTTTTGTAGAGACAGAGTCTCACTATGTTGCCCAGGCAGGTCTGGAACTCCTGGGCTCCAGCAATCCTTCACCTCAGTCTCCCAATGTGCTGGGATTGCAGGCATGAATCATCATGCCTGACCACAGATAACTTTTTTAAAAATATAATTTCTGACAGAGTTTCAAAGAAGTTGTAGGGGAGATCCAATAGAAGAAAAAAAACGATCACTTTCAGTAAGGAAGAGAAAGGAAGAAAATATGCCAATATTTTTGGTGATCCACTATGTGCCACTCATGGATTCTCACCACAGCCCTGAATATTTTTATCCCCAGTCTTTATAAGAAGAAACCAAGACTCAGAAAAGTCCATCCCTAGGTAATACAGCAGAGACAGATACAGGCCCAGATATGACTCCAAAGCTTCCTCTTGGGAGAATTAGGGAAGTTTCAAGGCAGAAATGGCATGTGGTCTGAAGATGCAAGATAGCTAGGAGAAGCTAAAAGGGAGTTGCCAAAAGTGAGCAAATGAAGAAAGACGGAAAATGCAATCATTGTTTAAGAATGCATAGTACTGAATTAATTGGAAAAGGTTGGGGAGAAGTGCATCAAGAAGAGCCACAGAGAAGTGGAAGGGTAAGTTGTGATCAGAGCCTGGAAATGAGCCCATGTGTCACCCTTGTGCTACCTATGTGTCCTACAGCTACTATAGTGTCCCCTTAGGTAAATCATGGCAAGTCAAATTAAAGTTTATATCTAATTTTCAGTATAGGAATCAAGGCTCCTTAACTTGCACCAGATCATATACAGGGACTCTTTTAGAGTCAGAAGAAGACTGGAAACAAAGCCTGAACCTGGCAAACATCCAGTGGAGACCTCATTCCTGGGCTTTTATGGCATGTTTTGTTTTCAAAGAACGTTTCAGCTTCTGGAATATCACACTTATTTAAAATTCTATGATCTATAGTGATGAAACTCCTCAGTTCATCCCTGGGGCTCCCAGGCTGTCACATAAACTAGTGTTTTACTTCTAGCTTATACCTTAGAGAGTCTGGAGACTACTGGAGCTTTTCCATGTGTCCCTGTGAGGATCACAGCATTGCCATCCCTCCGCAGGCTTCCTCTGCAGTCTGTGCCTCTGACCTCTGTGCTCATCTGTTTCCCATGATTCCTACTGGGCCCCAGGGTGGAGCAGTATAACATAGTACCGCATAATTCACTTTCCTAGAGCATCCTTCATGCAAGCTATCACAGGGAGCTAATCAAACGCTGACGAGAAAGGGTCTGTCTCAGGATAAGATTTAAAGGGAGGAACTGATTTAATGGCTCAGGAGGCAGAAAAGAAATTTCAGATGGATGAGTTAGAAGAAGTGAAAGAACAACCCCCACTGTCATAAACCATGGGTGGAGAGAAGTCACTACATCTGGGGAAAAAGAACATGAAGGGGTAGAGGAGTAGCTGGCACCCTGAGACACTACCCATACTCTCCCAACCAAAGCTGATTGGATTTCATTCAGGAGAGCAAGGGGAACATTACAAAGCCTTCAGGTTCGAGGAGGAGAAAACCCAACCAAGACAATTTGAACAATAAGGAAATATTATTATCTCACATAGCAAGAAGTCCTAAGAGAGAGTGGTTTGATTGATTTAGTGGCCCAAAAATGTCATAAAAGTCCCAGACTCTTGCTATCTTTCTACTCCGAAGCCCTCAGTGAGTAGATTTCTCCTCAGATGTGCTATTCCCAGGGTCATAGGATGTCTGGCTCAGTTCCAAGCATCGCACTCAGAAACAGGAACATGTAAGACACAACAATAGGCATCAACAGAAGAAAGAGAGGCTTTTTCTACTGTGGGTTTCTCCACTCCCCTTTTAAGGGTGAGAAAATATTTCCCAGAAGCTCCCAGAAGACTTAGCCCTTATATCTCTTTCACCAGGATTGGAACCCAGTCCCTTTCTAAACCATACTCTAGCAAGATGAATAGGATAACCATGATTGGTTCAGACGAATCAAGATTCACTTCTGAGTCCTGTAGAAGTGTGGGCCACCCCCACAAAGTCGGGGCTTTGCCCGAAAGGAAGAAGGAAACAGTACTGACTGAAATGCCAGTTCACCATGTCTGCTACAAAGGGATGCGAAATGGGCATCTTCCATGTTGAACCGCTGGAGAAATAGGATACATCCAATACATAATTACCTACACAATTTAGATTATTAATTTAGAATTTAGGAAGACCACGGGCTGGGGGAGCTCCTATAGTGAGAAGGAAAAGTAGAATTTCTAGGTAGAAGGGCATATTAGGAAGGGAGTTTGGGGACTGGAGGCTGAATTTTGGCCACCTTCTAAAGTGAAATTAAACATGTTAAAAGATGGGAGGAAAGTATGTTTAGGATCAAGGATTTTTGCCCTTGGCAGATGAGGCAGGGAAAAAGGAAATTTTACTTCTGAGTTGAAGAATGTAGTGGTAGAGTCAGTCTTTTGAGAGCAAGAATCTCTCGTTTCTGGAGAGGGTGGAGCAGCTGTGAAAGGGAGATATGCAAGGATGCATAGCCAAATATTAATCCAGGGACCTGCATATGCAAACTTCTGAAAAATCCAAGGCAAAGGGTTGTATGAAACCCACAGGAATAGGAGGAAGACACATTTTTGGTAAGTGTGGAATCAACCTGAACTTTACGGGTTCTGAGCTTCCCACTGAACCTGAACCTTTTGGGATTTGAATTTATTTACTCTGGGCAAAATTCACCTTCCCAGTGCTAAAAAAAAAAAAAAAAAAAGGCTCCAAAGATTACTGAACACCAACTAGCTCTTGAGAAACCACACAGGGATGAGTTAAGTGTAAATGAATCACAAACATTCAGATTAAATTTCTCCTCAACTGCACCAGAGTTTAAAGGCCAAGAGAAAAATGTATTTGAGGCGAAATACATTTTGGCTTTTGCAGAACCTAAAACATTTTTAATGAGCTTGAAGTCCTTCAAATAACTTAAAATTCAATGGAATTCTTTCTCTCAAATTCAGCATTCAGCGTGGTGACATACATACAGCTGCCTTTCTAGATCTGTTTCACCTTAGAGAAGAAATTGCTTTTGTTTTTTACTAGTAACTTCTTGATCCAATGTGATCAAGCACAGCTGAGACAAATGCCAGGACAATGTTTAAATTATTATTCTAGGGGCCTATGATGCAAACTGTAGAACTCAAAATTCTATACTCAATGTTGGACAGAAGATTAACAACCCTAAGAGGTAAGACATGAAAATAAAGCAATCTGTTTTTGAAACTTTGTATTTCAAATACTAGGGGGTCTATAGCAGGAATTTGTGTGTCATTCAGTCACTTGTGGAAGGTTATTGAGTGTGTACTAGGTAGCAGGTACTATTTATGATGTAAAATTATGTTTCTTTATCAGTTTGCTTCTTACTCTGAACAAACATATTACGCCACTAAGACCGCTATTATCGCCTCCTCTTTCCTCCTCTTTAAAGTAGCTGACTATGCCCTTTAAGTCTGTTTTCTTTTGTCTTTTATTTCTCACCTTTTAGCAACTCCCATATCAGCCTGCCTGTCTCAGATATACTATACTTGCAGTCTTCCTCATAATAGATGAACATTGAGAAGTTGAAATAGCATTAATTCCTTTACTTCACCAAAACTCCTCTATTTTTTGCCTGGCTACCTCTAACAAACTTCTTTCTGCCCTCTTTTCGATCTGTTGAGAATAGTATCTAACTAATCTTGGTTTAGTACTCCCTGATGGTCTGACTTGATCTAAGTGTAAAATTTACAATATTTTAATGAAAGTAGAGATTCTACATCTTTCAGGCAATCATCCATGAATATGATTTCTTGAAACTGAACCTGAGGCAAGTTTTGCATTCAAAGTTACACTCCCTTAGGGCAGACAGTGCAGAGTCAGTGCTAAATTATGGTTATGTGATGGCCCTCCCAATAAAGCTCACATAATAATTATAATATAGATCTGTATATATCTAACTCTGGCTGAACACATTTGGTGTCACAGCCACTGTGTGCTACATCTCACAAGGACCCAATAAGATAGACACTATTACTATGTCTATTTTACAAAAAAAGAGTCTGAATTTCAGAGAAATTAAGGAACCTAAGATGCACCACTAAGAAGTAGCAGAGGCAGTTTCAAGAGGTCTGTAGGGGCTCAGGCCTGACCTGTTCACTAGCACTTCTCACTGGATGTAGTAAAGCAAAGAGGAAGGTATTGAAGTTCTTTGGCTGGGGCAAGAATACAAGAGCTAACAGTTTTGTTTTGTTAGCCTTAATTCAGTTATGGGGAAGGAATGATACTTCAGGGGAAAAAACCAAAGTTGTTTTTGTTTTTCCAATTAAATTATATTTTATAAGAATTCCTGATGAAACCAGAGGAAAAAAAATCTTGCTTCTCCTCTCTCCTTCAAACAAATACTGAAAACATTCCTCCTAGTTCCTGACTTGGGGAGGTGGCTTATGTCATTACTATGAGAGTGGCCTGTAAAAAAACTCAGTGACAAATATAGTGGGCTCCTCCTGCTTCAGAACAGACTTCCCTACAGTAGGAGAGACTTACCGCATCCAGTGAAAAAGATCACAGATCTTGGATTTTAATCTGGACTTGTGTTTGGAGAAAGAAACCGGAAAAGGGTATGTGACTGACAAAGGAGAATACAATCGGTGACCCTATTTTCATTGCACAAGTCCTGCGAAATTTTCTCTGGGAGCCAAAATCAAGCATTCCTCTCTTCTATTCTTTTTACGGAAGACTCAAAATATTTCATGAATTTCCTCTTCTTTCCTTTAAACTTCTTCCTTTCTTCTTCCTCTGTCCACCCCTCTATCCCTACCTCACAAAATAGAAGTTTTTTCTCCCCTCAGCCAACAAATTTTCTGGTCACCACAACAACAAGCACATTCACAAAGCAAATGAGTAATTTGGAATGTGGCAAGTATCTCATCTGACTCACAGGAAGAAAAAAGAAAAGTTGGCTGCTGCCAAAATGGAAACACTTTCTGGAAAATTCTTGAAGATATTCCTAAAATCTCAAATGGGCAAGTGAATGTACCCTGAGAAAAAACTTGGAATTTCCCAAAATATAAACAAGGTGAATTTTTTAAAAAGTGTTAAGATGATGGAAATAAATATGCTAATGACACTATATAAAGGAACATTTTTTTTCCTCTTCTAATTTCATTTGCTTTTAATACCTGAGCTTTTGCTTAAGGAGTCCCTGCCAAGCAGGGGGCAGTGGTGGTCCCAGAATTTCTATATAGAAGGTGCTTATGGCAGACTATCTGGATATTAGGAGAGACTGGAGACTTGAAGACTACATTAGTCAGGGTTCTCCAGAGAAAACAGAACCAATAGAATGGGTAAATATATTGATTAAGAAACTGGCTCACACAGTTATGGAGGCTGGCAAGTCCAAAATCTGCAGAGACAACATCCCAGATCAAAGGCAGTCAGGCAGAGAGAATTCCCTCTTGCTCAGGGGAGGGTCAGCCTTTTGTTTTATTCATGCCCTCAACTGATTGGATGAAGTCCACCCACATTAGAGAGGGGAATCTGCATTATGAAATCTACTGATTTAAATGTTCATCTCATCCAAAAACACCCTATAGAATCACCCAGAATAAAGTTTAACCACTGGGCACCCTGTAGCCCAGTCAAATTCCACAGAAAGTTAAGCATCACAAAGATTATCTAGAAGCCCACAGATTTTACTTAGTACACTTATTAGCAGTGCAGGGTCTTACAGAGTGATCTAATGAAGATTATGGTAAAAGAAATAACCCCCAGACACATGCCAGGCCACGGTAGTGAACACTGCTAGTTGTCCACCCACCATCTATTCCTTTTTCCTTTCTTCCTGACAGACCCTGATTTTGATTAGTTAGCCACTAATCCTCTGCACAGCCATGTTACTTCTGGGAACACGGTACGGGACTAGGCCCAACCAGTCTAAGATAATACTGTCAGCCTTTTCAGGGATGTTTCAGGACAAGCACACAACCAAACTCTGGCTAATAAGATGTGAGGAAAAGTCTGCTTTTTAGGAAATTCTAGAAAGTATTTCTTCACTCCTAAGAAAGTCCCATTTACCTTGAACACTGACCTCAGTAGATGGGACTCCTGGAACTGCTGCAGCTGTCTTGCTACCAGCCTGAAGTGGCAGCCAGCCCATGGGGGGCTGAAGATAGAGATGAAAACAACCTGGGTTCTTCATGACATCATTGAGCCCCTGAAGGAGCACACCCAAGAGACCACCCCACCTCTGGGCTTTCCATAATGTGAAGCAATAAATCTCCATAGGGTTTAAGCCAGTTGACTCAAGGCTACCTGCTGCCTGAGGCCAAAAATAACGCAAATGATACATCCCCTCTCTTTTGACATATACACTGGTTTAGAGGCCAGAGTAGCTTCAAGATGTCCATCCACAATTCAGAGATAGGAGCCAAAGAGCCATACCTTATGTAAGCCCTAAGACCTGCTCATTCATAGAAGACTATTTATGGAATGTTACCCTGCATTTGCATGGAATGCCCATTTTGGTTAAATTTGCTAGAAATGCTCTCCTGCTGACACTGCATCAAAATGTCAAGAACAAAATATACAATCTTGTTATAGAAACAGGGGCTTACTTTCTCCATCAGTTCCAAGCTAAAATGTTTCCTCATCTTTCTGAGATGTTGATTATTCATAAGCCTCAGCTCTATTTAGGAAAATGCAAAAGGCAAGTTAGAGTCAGTGAAAGAGTTGGCTCCTGCACTAAAAGAAAATTAATGCAATGGAGGTGACTGGAGTAATGCTTTTGAAAATACCGAGTGATTTTTAAATTTTTTATTTCCACAAAGATGACTTCCCCTTAGTCAGCCTAAGGCATTCTCTTGCTACTGTAGTAAAGTACAATTGTTTTGTCAGAAAAGTAAGAAGAAATAAAGAATTCAGGCCAGGCGCGGTGGCTCACGCCTGTAATCCCAGCACTTTGGAAGACTGAGGTGAGCAAATCGCCTGAGGTCAGGAGTTCGAAACCAGCCTGGCCAATATGGTGAAACCCCGTCTCTACTAAAATTACAAAAATTAGCCGGGCGGGGTGGCATGTGCCTGTAATCCCAGCTACTCGGGAGACTGAGGCAGAAGAATAGCTTGCAGCTGGGAGGCGGTGGTTGCAGTGAGCCAAGATCACACCACTACACTCCAGCCTGGGCGAGACTCTGTCTCAAAAAAAAAAAGAGAATTAATACTCAACTTTTAGTTTTCAGAATAGAATTCCAAAACAAGGCAATAGGTTTGTAAGTCAGGTTTCATTAAGAGAGGCTTTTTAAAATTAATGCTTTATTATAAAATATTTATAACACACAGAAGACATAATGATATCATAAATATCTTTATATCTATCCTCCAAAATAAAAAATTATTAATTTTTTCCAGGGCTTCTTTGGACGCTTTTAAATAAAATGTAATAGCTACCTCCCCAAGCCCATTCCTCTCTGCTCTGGTCAGTGACCCTTCCCCTGAATGTTTGTATTATTTTACTAAATATGTATATAGGCACAACAATATATGTTACTATTTGTGTGTCTTTAAATATTACATAAATTGTATCATACTGTATATCTTTAAGTTGCTTTAATTCACTAATCATTATCTCTGAGACTAATACAATAGATGACTTAATAGATTAATTGACAGGTGTAGCTATTGTTCATTCATTTTGTCAGTATTATAACATATTCTATTCATTCTCCTAACTACAGGCAGATTGTGTTTGGTTTTTAATTATTCAAACAATGCTGCAATAAATATTTTTGCCTCTTTGTACATATGTGAGGCCAAACTCTAAGGAATTATATCCAGAACTCTAGATCCAAGTAAAATGTTTAAAGAATTCCACAAGGATCAAAGTTTGTGCATTGTGTTTATTGGGGAAATATTTGTGACTAGAGGGTGGTCAGGGAATTTCCAATAATTAAAAATGAACTGCAAGCATCCAGATATCATATTTGATAAACATGTTTTGGCACTTTAACATCCTTTGATATTTAGACTGAATCATATGAAATTGCCCAAATTCAACAATTTTGACCTACAAAATGACAAATTCCTATGGCATAACTTACCATCTATCTAAAATGAAAATACCAGTTAATAGGTTATAAACATCTTCAACCCAAATGCCTAAAGCCAAATTTTAAGAGATGGTTTTCTAAAATCCTTTTGTGTATCAATACGCAAGTCCCGAAAAATCGGTTCAACAGCCAAGTCTGAAATATTTGCTTTACAGCCACAAAATGGCTCAATTCCATAGAGTAGAGAAAATATGTCTTCTATCTATGAAAGGGAAGAAATAGGGCACAAGAAAGAACCTGGAAGTTCCCATGCAGCTGTGTCATCTACTAAACCAAGCAGATAATGGCTATTTCATTTTAAACCCCCAAGTTTTCACTATTCCCCCAGGCTAAGACATCGTAGATGACTAAAAAAAATTTGGTACACTAGTCTACTGTCCAGTGATATTTGAGCTTTTGTCTTTAATTTCTCGTTTAGAAAAAAAGAAGTGCAGCTCACTCATTGAATTTTACATAAACATGCTCTTTGAGGCTGAACGAAATCTGACTGATTTTCAATGTGAGAATAAAATATAAAAACTGTTCTTGGAGTTATTTCTAAACAGAACATCAGAATCGTCTAATTAAGAAAAAATCAAATTCATCAAATGAATCTTCTGCCTATACCTGTTCAAGAACGGTGTTCAACATCACACGTAGGAATGCTATGTTTTCTAGGATTTGACATTTTCAGCGTTCAAGAATTACAATATTTTGTAAATGGAAATACCACTACTAAAAACAAAGTGCTATAAATAGAATGATGTCCTTTGTTTCCAAAGTCAATATACTAGAGTGAGGCAAAAATAATAATTAAAGATATCTCGTGGCAAAGTTACCTCGGGGTAAACACTGCAGCCACAAGCCCCACTGGCAGGTATTCTTGGGGTAAACAGTAAAAGGGTTAAGAAGCAGCCCAAGGGGATAAATGGAACTACAAATTATTCCGAGGTAAAATAGTAATCGCTTACTTGTAGCCCAATCAGAAAAGATGGGCTGGAGTCAGAGAAAGGCAAAAGAAATATGCAGAGATTCCTGCATCAGTTCACTTCTGAACCCAAGGAACTAAAGTCAAGTCTGAACACAGAAAAAGATGGAATGATGTTGCTATGTTGCTTTCTCCAAGTTTTTATGCTATTTCTATAGATAACTTGATAATTATACTCAGGTCATCTCCACTGGAAATCATCATGTAACTTGTACTCCTATAATAAATACACACCACCTGTCTTGTAAACTCTATTGCCAGTCCTTGCTGCTTACCACATTAAAGTGCCAAGACTTGTTTATCAAATATGATATCTGCATGATTGCAGTTCATTTTTAATGACTGGAAATTCCCAGACCACCCTCTAGTCACAAATATTTCCCCAATAAACATAATGCACAGACTTTGATCCTTGTGGAATTCTTTAACCACTATACTTGGATCTGGAGTTCTGGATATAATTCCTTAGATATTCTTTTTCTGGATGAATTTGGGAATTTGAGGATTTTCTTCATGGCCTCACTAACTGAAGTTTTATCTGCCTGTATAGATACATTATAAAAGTATATCCAGTGTATCTGTATTTTGCTATAGTAACAACCAACCTCAAGACATCAATGACTTACAACAGATGTATTTATCTTGCTCATATTCATGAGGGCTGTGGGTTGGCTACAGTTCTACTGGTTTTTGCTCGTTCCACACCGATTCATTCCCATTGGCCAGAACACATCACATGGTCAAGCTCAAAGTCAGCAAATCAGTAAAGTACACTGCTGTATACTGGAGGCAGGGGAAGTCACAGGCCACAGGAAGAGGAATGCAGAAGGTAAATCGTGGTGAACAATAACCCAATACAACCACAAAGTTTCTCAAAGTTTTTTTTTTTTTTGGTGGGGAGGCAATGATAGAAAAGAAAAAAATACAGTGGAAATTGGTGCTTATTAACAAAAGGTTGTACTTTGAAGTCACATCAACTCTGATACATTCAGTGTAGTAAATACTAGAAGGCCCTAAGAGGGAAATCAGAGGTTACTGAAAGTTTTTATTTCAATTCTTCCATTTGATTCACTATTTGCTTTTTCATTAACTAAAAGGTATGAACAAAATATAATAAACATAGTTTTTGATAGCACAAAGAATGTGGTGCTTCCCTTGCTCAAAACATTTATACTTGTTCACTTCTGGACTTGCCTTCAAAGGTGAGGTCTCTTTCTCATGAGTGGTCTCACTGAAAAAAGCCATGTTCATTCTTGGAGGGTGGATTCAGATATTTGAAGAGCTCATTTGAAATGAAGTCTTCTGAATCAGTTAAATAAATGATCAAGGTGGATAACAGAGTTGGAAATGGATAAAAGCAAAGTGCCATCATAAAGCAAATTAACTAATTTATTGAGTAGCTTTAGTTTGAGTAGCAAACTGGGTCTGAGGGTAATTTCAGATGAGCATTTCCAAGAATGTTTTCAACAATGGCAGCATGATTGGTATAAATGCATAATCCCTTAAGGTGATACTTTAAAAAGTAAAACTCACTTGATGCAAGTTCTGAGTTTTGCTTTTACTCTTTTGTCTTATCTTTTAAATTTCCCTTCTCTCTAGTCTTCCCCATATGTACTTCACAGTGGTTTGTAGTAAACACATTTAGTATTTTGTTTCTATTTTCCTCAGCAAGTCAATACTTGCTATTCAAATTACCAATAAAAATTCTGAGAGCCTGCAATGATCACAGCATTATGCTAATTTCTATAGGAAAGAGTTAGTCCTGACTCGACCAATTTTCATAAATTTGCATGTTAGACATCATAGTACCACCAGTGAGTCCACACAGGTACTTTAAGCTGATAGCCTCTTCAACACCAAGCAATAAGCAACTGATAATTTCTATGTATGTCCTAGTGGAAATTCAAATAAAATCAAGTAAGAGATGGCCAATGAAATTTCCCCTAATGATAACAAATCATTGTTATCAAAAAGATACAGGATGCAAATGTGGGCCTCTGATACAACAAACACTGAGGCCAGGCACAGTGACTCACATCTGTAATCCCAGCAATTTGGGAGGCCAAGGCAGGCAGATGCTTGAGCCCAGGAGTTGGACACTACCCTGGGAAATGTGGTCAGACCCCGTTGCTACAAAAAATAGAAAAATTTCCCAGGCGTGGTGGCACGTGCCTGTAGTGCCAGCTACTTGGGAGGCTGAGGCGGGAGGACTCCTTGAACCTGGGGTGTGGAGGTTGCAGTGAGCCGAGATCATACCACCGCACTTCAGCCTGGGTGATGACAGAAAAAGACCTAATCTCAAAAGAAAAACAAAAAACAACAACAACAAAATACTGCTCAATTGCAGGATATATAATTATGATCCTTTCTCTCCAAAGTCATACCCAATTCTTGGAGATACCAAGTCAAAATAAACTTAGGAGAGAGAATTCCTGAAGCTCATAGCAGTGTATGAGCCCACTGATCTCCATTCTGCGGCTTTGAAATCTCCTTGTGTGAAAGGATATTCAGGAACCTGATAAGGGCAATGGCTGCAGTCCCTGGATTATGGTGCTGGGGGCTCTTAATAGGTGAGACTCATTGTGAAATCTGCGCCCTAAAGTGCAGCTAGAACTAAAGCCCTCCTCCACCTAACCTGAACTTTACACTGTCTAGCTGATACTTCAGCTTTACTTCCAATTTCTTCCCCACTACACCCCCTCTTTTCATGGGGATAGGTGAAGTGATAAAAATGGAAGAGAAGAGGAGCTCATGGGGGAACCGCTTGGCAGGGGCACTTACGCCAGTGTAAACCTCAGACCAGTCTGGGCAACAGAATCCCCTCAAAGTCACTCTGCATTCTTCCTGTACAGCCTTTAAAAGTAGTATCGCTGGCACCATCTGCCCCCCGTTAGGCAGTCCTGCTGTTGAAATTTCTGAGCTGCAGGAATGTTATCCATTTCAGTATGTTCACATTAAAATCAGTGCAGAAAGGAAAAATCTTCACTAGCTGCTTCAGCAGAACTCAGAAAGAGCAGCACAGCAGCGTTCCTTTCTCCTGAGCCCTGAAATTCGTGGTAAAGCACCGTCTTGTGGGTTCCCAAAGAGATTTGCTTACAAAGATCGGTGTAGGCGAGGCTGATTGGGTCTCCGGAGATCTCATCCTCTGACAGCTCGCTGCACCCCGCGGAATCTCGCTTTAGGTGTGTAACTGCCTGCCTGACACCTGACCCTTGCTCTCCGCAGCCTGACTCCAGGCTCTTGCAACTGTCCCCCAAGGCGCGGCCGACTCGCAAATGGGGCCGGCCTGGGCAGGGAGCGGCCCCCCGGCTGCCGCCGGACAGCCACATTTTAAGGCCTTGTAGTCACTTTCTCGCTAGTTCGAGGAAAGTTTTTGTACATTTTCATAAAAGGAGACCAGAAGAGAACACCCTCCTCTCACTTCCTAATATATTATGTCCTCCCCTGCCGAGTCCGGGGACTTAGTCTGGATTTGGTAACTGAAGTAATATAAATGTTAGCTAAGAAGTATTCCCGCAATGTGGTTCCAATTTAAGCTTGTTTTGAAGTCTAAAGGCCCAATATGTCTCATAGATTCTTCGCTGGACATTAGCACTAATGTAATTTGCCGAGGAGCGCAGGCCTCTATCTAGAAGGCGGCCGGGGCCCTCTGCGGATCAGGGCGCTTTCCCAGTGCCAGGGGGACTCCTGCCTTCGCCGGGAGCTCCCCCCACGGCTTTTGATGTTGGAGGCTTTGCTCAGGAAATTGCCTTATACTTGCCAGAGTTGCAGATAAATGGAACAAGGTAAGTGCTGTACCCTGTCACCACCCTCACTCCTCTCCCGAATCGGGAAGGACGCAGCCCAGGCTAAATGTATCCTTTCTCTGCAAGCTGTTTGCACTTTACTTCAATAACATCTCTCTCCCAACACTGACTTGATTTGCGAAGACACGCATGCCTTTTCCGAGTTGGACTGACGCACGCCCTCCCGGAGCCCGCCCCCCATCCGCAGCCCAGTTCGGCGCTCACACTCCTCCGGAGCCCCCGGCTGCATTCCCGTAATGAGCATCCCCCTGGAACTGCCTGCCCTTTATCTTGCTGGGGGGACCCGCACCTTTTGAACTGCCATCTGTAGATTGTGTTGGTGCACTGACTTGTTAACTGTGCCACGCTGTGAAGGAAATGGCATGATTTAGATCAAGTGCTCACGACGGCTGTTCATAAGAAACACTTGAGCCAAGCTGTTGCTGCTCAGAATGTGCCCTGGGGAGAGGGGTTCCGTTTCGGGTCACGGTCCTGCCTTGTATGAGGGCAGGCGCAAAGCGCTGCAATCCCGGGGCTTCGCTGGGGCTGGAGGGAGGGGGTGGGGAGAAACATTATGAAACCATAGAAGCGAGGCTGCCAAATTAACTTCTCACCCTTTCAATCACACTCCAGAGGATAAAAGCCTAACGTTTCTGCCTCAGAAACAGGCTCGGTTTACACCAAACAAGTTATTTCTCTGATTTATCAGCCCAGCCAGCTATCCTTCTAATTACTGAAAATCTCCGCTGTTTATGAAACTACTTTTGTAGGTGTTCAATGAACAAGGAGCTAGGAAATGGGTGTTGGAAAGTTTTTGTGGACAGAACTTTCCCCACGACTGCTTATCAAAGTAAATAAAAAGCAAAAGGTTTCTGGCTTCAGTTGTTTCGTTTCCATGAAAATGTTTCTGCTTGTTCCAATGGGCAAAAATAAAGTTGCAGAACCATAAATTCAGGTAAGCACAGATCATTCAATCTTCACTCCTAAATTGCATGTATCTGTAAGGAAGATTTATTTGGGAAGGCAAAAGTAAAACTGAGAAAGAGTGAGGGAACAGGGGAACCCTTTAGCTTAATTCATCAACTCCCAGGCTTGTTCCAAGGACACTGATTTGTCCATTATATGGAAATAGATGATTAGGGTCATTCTCTAAGACAAATTTACTTTTCTGCACACTCTAAATCTGTTTAGTCACTTTAAAGGTGTCAATTATTGGAACAGGCTAAGACTATGAATTTCTTAGTAATAGCTTTAATAACATTTTGAAATGAAAAGCAGATACCTTGAAGTCAGCCTACTTTGAAAGGACATATGAGCAGCTCTGGTTTTAATTTGTGTAGCATTCTACATCTGGAATCCCTTATAATTAAAACTAAAAACTGAACTACTACTTCCACCTGTCAAATGATGAAAAGATGAATGCACTAATAAGTTACTAAATAGCCCAACATGATAGAGTTTACATTCTCATTCTATACAGTAAAACAGAATTTTGGACAGGAGGCTAAAGGTCTTTGGTCATTACTAATAACACTCTTTCAGTATTAACCTGTATGTCCTGCTGCAACTACTGACGGGGTCTTTTTTACATTAAGAGCTAATTTTGGCTAAGTCTTTGTTTTAAAAGCAAATATAGATTTTGGAAAGAATATGTAAAGCACATAAACTGAGACGTACTTTTCATCCCACACTTTGTTTTCATCGTTTTCAAAACCCTTCTAATGGCTTCCAATAACAATTGCATAGAGTTGTTAAGTGCAGTATTTACAAATATTTACCAAGCACCCACAGTATGCAAGCATGTGTTTAGCACTGCGGATACAGTTCTGATCACGATAAATCTTTGTAGGTAATTTAAAGTTGGGAAAATTTGTAATTTTTTCCCATTCCTTCAGAATAACAAAAATCACATTTTTGCCTAGATTCTGATAAGAAAAAAGAGTTTTCTAAAGCTTTTGCTTTCACTCCAATTAAAACAACAATGGTCATTAAAATGCTCTCAGACTGTCACTGGTGATCAGAAGGTTAATTATTTTAAAATGTAAATCCTGAGTTGTAATCCCTATTGAAGCTGTTTGGAACAACTCCCCCTGCCGAGGCTGAGCTGTGTGGGCGGCCCCGAAAGGCTCATTTTTCTTACTGCGCAGACCTGCCTCTCTGTTGTGAAATAAAAATGGAAATATCACATTTTGAAAAAAGCATTGATTCTCCTAGAAAAAAAGTAGTGAAGAGTTTTGCCAGCAGTTGAAGGGTCTTTCCAGGAGTGGACTCTGGCTTGTCTTAATTGTTCCATTCAGCATAGTGACTCCCATTGGCACAACAGAAAGCAAGCAAGGCCTGGAGGCAGCCATGATCACAATGCACCAAATTCTCCCTCTGTGAAAAAGTATACCCAGGAAGAGAATGCCAGTCTGGTTTCACTCTTTTGGACCACTGGGGACTCCATTAAATTGTTGCTTTAGTATCCCTCTCTATACATGGCTACTTTCCTTTAGAGGAAAAGTATGATCTGGCTACCACACACTTGTCCTCAGACACAGCTTACAAAGTGGCCACCCAAGACCTCAATCCAGCCTGAAGACATGCTTCCCAAGGCCAACGTGTTTTAAAACCCAGGAGATTCCTAGCAGCATTGTTCACAATAGCCAAAAGGTAGAAGCAACCTAAGTGTCCATCAATGAGTGAATGGATAAAATAAAATGTGGTATATACATACAACCGAATTTTATTCAGCCTTAAAAAGAAAGGAAACTCTGACGCATGCTACAACGTGGATGAACCTTGAAGACATTATGCGAAGTGAAATAAGTTGCTCACGAAAGGTCAAATCTTATGTGATTCTACATGCATGAGCTACCTAGAGTAGTCGAATTCATAAACAGAAAGTAGAATGATGTTGTCAGGGGCTGTGGATTGGGGGTAGTTATTATTTAATGGGTACAGAGTTTCAATTTGGAGAGATGAAAAAAATTCTGGAGATGGTTTCACAACAATGTGCATGTATTTAATATCACTCAATGGTACATTTAAAACAGCTAAAATGGCAAATTGTATGATATATATATAACCAGAATAGATCAAAATACTTGACATTAAAATGGAGATTTACAATTTATCTGAAAACAAAGAAACCTAAGTAACTTATTAATATTAGCCAGCAAACTTGAATAACAAAAATTGAAGCTGAGTAGCCCTTGCACCCTTAAATGTGCACTTCAGCTCACCATGACCCTGACTCCGCCCTCTCGTCTTCCATCCATCCTTCACTCACTTAGCCTGCCAGGTCCCTGCAGCCATCTTCTGCTGCAAGGGACCCTGGAGCTAGCTCTCACATGTACATACAACTTTCACAGACTTGCTAGAATCAGATTTTAACCTGTAATACCCCCAATTAACCCAGGCCCAGGTGAAGTGAGGTGACAGGCATAAGGTGGCATCCAAGATAGAAACATGATTGAAAAGCCCCTCTCCTGCAAAACGAACCCTTGACAGTCCCCTCCACATACCCTCCTAGGGCACTGGATATCACACTCCAGGGACCTATGAAGCCACGCTTCCCTACTCAACAGATGCAAACACGGCCATAGGTGGACGCATACAAAAAAGCTAGAAGCACTTTTCAGGATCGGGAGAGTTTTGTATTATTCATGTTTCTGATTCTGACTTCATATAAATTTATGATAGATTTTGTAGCTCAAAGAGCAATGAATTTAAGAATCTTTGCTGAAGCCTGGACTATTCCCAAACTGTGAACTTTTCTTCTAAGCCATTGACTGTCTAAGGGTTTTTTCCTCTTAAATGCTACTGCCAAATGAGCATTTTAAAACATTTATCAAAAACCAATGGCTGGCTACAAACGTCAATCTGTACATTCCATACAGAGTGAACCGCAGTCTAGTACTGATGCATAAATGATGTGTTGGTTTAATCTATTTTTCACAGGGGGTGTCTAAGAGTAGGAAAATTAAAAACAGGTAGAACGGACTACTATTACTGTCCCATAGTGTGCTTTTTTACATGAGGTATGGATTAAGATAACATCTGGTCTATATTTCTTGAACTATTTCCCTTTTATCACAAGAAAAATCGGCAACCCATCTCACAACTGCTCTTAATTTAGATCTAAATATCACTGATGAAACATTGTACAACATGCTGTTATCTATTAAAATGATTTCCCTGAAGGAACAGTTGATACTTTTATATATTCCAGCAAAGCTAATCGTGCCAGGCCTCCTTAGTAGGACTTACCTTATAATCATATGCTTAAATGTTCCATCTAAATCACTGCTTTGGTACCAAATGAGTCTTATTCTGAGATTGATTTCACTACATTGTTAGATACAGTGCCCAGGTCTGGGAGTCACAGAAGCATCGAGAATTTTGTAGGAGTACAAAATTTTACTCTGGAGCCAACAAGCCATTGTTCCCCTGTGCTGCCTGTAGTGTGGGCTTTCCAGAGCCCCCTGCAAAGTGAAGGCAGTAAGCTGTTTTCAGCACTTTTCAGAGTTCAAGTCCTATACAATGTGGTATATTGATTTCACAGAATAAAACTTCTGGGTTTTTTGAATTTTTAGAGTTGTATAACTCATTTCCACAGATAATAAATCAGGAAAGTAATTTTTTCTAAAATTATTTTGTGTATCTATGGTGCATACTCACTTTGTTAATTTTAAACTATGGTAAGCCTCAGAATGACAGAAGGTAAATCCATACATTAACCAGTTATATGGGAAATTACTTTCTCCAACTCCACCTTTAATTTAGCTATATCACATGTTCCTGGTTTTTAAAATAGCACAAAAACCAAAACACACAAAAATTATGGGGGTTTAAAAAAGCAACTAGAAGTAACTCTTGGACAATTGTGAAAATACAAAAAAAAATGTTAACTGTGGTAGAAAATAAAAGTAGAAATGCATTACACATAAAATGTAGAAAAATTGGAAACAATAAAAATGCTTAATAATGACCAATTTAATGAATTACATTACATGCTGAATATGGAGTATCTTACAGACAATAAAATAAGGACGAAGAATATTTGTATGTACTAAGAAAAGATCTTCATGATATATTAAGAACACAACGTGAATAGCTTGGCATCAGTTTTTGTTATTAAAAAGAAAAATAGACATATATGTTTATGTGTATGTAGAAAGGTCTGGAAAAATTCACACCAAACTGTTTGCAGTGAAAACCATTAGGTATAAAGAAGGAAGAGAACATTTTACTTTATACACTGTTGTGTGTTTTCTAGCTTTTAACACATACATATTACTTTCTAAATTTTTTAAAGAAAGAAAAAAGCAAACAGAGCAGAGATTAATTAGCCATCCCCTTACAGGAATAAATCATAAGAAGGGAGGGGGCTTCCGGGGGCGGGTGGGTGCCTGCAGAACAGAGCAAGAGGAATGCAATTGACAGGCATCCTGTCATCTTGTATTTTTTGGAGGGAATTCTGAGAATAAAAAGCCTTTGGAAGTTATCAGCGGTCAGGCTGGAGCCATTCATTTTTCACCTGCCTGTGTTTGTTGTCTGGCAGCCAGTCAAGGGTGCTATTAGCAGAATTAAGATCCAGAAGAAAAGATTATCCCGTAGAAGGCAAGATAAGGGGCTGGAAAGTGTGGCTGGTTATCAATATCACAATACCAAACAGGTCAGAAAGGATTTCGTATAGGTTTCACTTGAAGCAGGTAATCTCTGCAAAAATAATGGAGTGCCTGTTCTTCCGAAACACTTCAGTACTGCAACATACTGCAGTTCATTTAAGATAAAGCGGCAGTTTTGCCAAGAGTCCCACAACTGCATTAGGCTGGAGAGTGGATAATAAAATGCTGCAACAACGTTCTTTTATTTCCTCTTATTCAGTTAACCCTGGGTAATGAAACAATCCTCCATCTCTCCCCCAGATCATTTTTAATATTTTGAATGGTATAGTTTCATTCACTTTTCTTTCCTTTTCACTGAGGAAATATCTAAATGAAATTCCATAGTACAATTCAATATAAGAAACAGGAGGAATGATTGTAACATCGTTTAAGTATTTAATTGTTAGATGTTTAAAATCATGAATAGTAGTGTAGATTCAGAGCAGCAACTTTTGCCTAGGGAAGTTTTGCCACTCTGGTATTGAAACATGTGTTTTCAAACAATGAATTGGAATGATGAAGGTTTTGAGTTCATGTCAGCACTGCAATTTACAAGAGTTCACATGCAGCATGAACTTACATAGCATTTCACCATGTTGTCTATGAATCATTCAATTTTAAGCTCTGCAGCATATGGACAATTGCAAAATGCAGAGAAGAAAACACATTTGGAATTTCCATTTTATACACCTCATATCGGAAATAAATGGTTTTGTTTCCCCAAATATTTTTCATGTAAGTGACATGGGCTCTTTTTTTCCTTTTTTATCTTCTCCTTCTTAGAAAATTCAAGGAAATAGATAACTTGTTCTGCTAAATAATTTTTCAATGTACAGACATTTATATAATATGTACAATTATGGAGCAATCAACAATTAGCAGGTTATTTACTTTCAATTGTCATTCCAGTAGCAGTGATGGATTTATCCATCTATTACTTGATCGATAAAACACATTCCAAAGACATCTACACTTAAGAGAAGTCTCTGACCATTGACAGAATAAAAAGAATCAAGATTATAACATTGCATCATCAATCAAGGTGACCAAACACACACTTAATGACCAAGAGCTATCGATTTATTAATGAAAAAACAAAACCAATATACATTTAAAATAAAATGGGCTTTGATTTTCTTTAGAATTATAAACTTGAGTCTGTCACAGCAATAATGAAATACTTCCATTTCATCAATGACTTTGAAAGACTATCAATGCCATAAGATATAAATGAGTCTATGCTGTGTCCCAAAGAAGTAAATATCTTTTTTTTTTTTTTTTTTTTTTTTTGAGAGACGGAGTCTCACTCTGTCACCCAGGCTGGAGTGCAGTCGTGCGATCTCAGCTCACTGCAACCTCCGCCTCCCAGGTTCAAGTGATTCTCCTGCCTCAGCCTCCCCAGTAGCTGGGACTACAGGCACACGCCACCATGCCTGGTTAATTTTTGTATTTTTTAGTACAGACGGGGTTTCACCACATTGGCCAGGCTGGTCTCAAACTCCTGACCTCAAGTGAATCGCCCGCCTCGGCCTCCCAAAGTGCTGGGATTACAGGCATGAGCCATCATACTACCCGGCCAGAAGTAAATATCTTCCAAAGCATTTTTATTCTTTCTCCTTACTTTATGGTCTACATCCTGAAAAGGACAATACAAGAAAACTTTTTAAATGGTAACGGAACATTAAAACTCAGTTTTAAACAGTTTGAAATTAAACAATAAATGAAAACATTTTCACTATTTTTTAAATAACAACAATACAAAAGTATATAGAATAAAAGCAAAAACCTCCTTTAAACACCCCCAATCTCCTCCTTGAAAATATACACACATCACACCTTCCTCCTCAGTCATAAGTGTGCAATTTTCAGAGCATTTTACAGACCTTTTTATATGCATCTGCAAACATATACATACATATAAACATGTAATAGGGAAAGTATTTTGTTTCAATAAAAATATTATACTATATGTATTGTTCTATGAGTAGCTAGTCTTCACTTAACAATTTGTCTCAGGCATCATTCCAAGTCAGTATATTTAGACTAGAAGTTGTAAACTAGTAGGCCACATTCACAAATCCTTTTTTAAATTTTTTGAATTTGTTTTCAACATATAAAAGTCCACATTCTCCATTTCTTTAAAAAATGAAAAGATCCAGCCACATTATACCCAATTCTCATACGGGGCCAATCAGAAACAGGAGCTTTGTGGTAGCTCCAGGGCACCACAAGCTCACACATCCCCCACCCCTACATCCAGCCTGGCCAGTTAGACCTCTGAATTTGCTATCCTGATGTGATATGTTTACACTGTTCTTTTTAAAGGCTGCATAATATTCCATAATACAGATGCACCGTAATTTATTTAGCCATTCCCCTATTTATACATGCTTTTAAAGTTCAAGCTTTCATGCTATGTTCAGTAAGGCAGAATCAAATCCTATATTCAGAAATGAACTCCCCTAGGCTTGTATCTGTAATCCAGCACTCTGGGAGGCCAAGGCAGGAGGATCATTTGAGGACAAGAATTCAAGACCAGCCTGGGAAAAATAGTGAGACTCCAGTCTCTACAAAAAAAAAAAAATTAATTAGTCAAGAGAGATGGCATGCACCTATAGCTATTTAGGAGGCTGAGGCTGGAGGATCCCTTGAGCCCAGAAGTTTGAGGCTGCAGTGAGCTGTGATCATGCCACTGCACTCCCGCCTGGGCAACACAGTGCAACCCTGTCTCAAAAAAAGAAGAAAGGAAAGGAAAGAAAAGAAAAGAAAAAAGAAAAGAAGGAGAAAGAAAGAAAGAAAGAAAGAAAGAAAGAAAGAGAAGAAAGAAAGAAAGAAAGAAAGAGAAAGAAAGAAAGAAAGAAAGAAAGAAAGAAAGAAAGAAAGAAAGAAAGAAAGAGAAAGAAAGAAAGAAAGAAAGAAAGAAAGAAAGAAGGAAAGAAAGAAGGAAAGAAGGAAGGAAGGAAGGAAGGAAGATGAACTCCCCCCTTCTAAAAAATTTACCAGTTTATTTTCCCCCAGTTTGTGAACAGCCTACACCCATAACTGATGATGCCTTACAAAACTTTACAAAAATATAAAGGATTGTTTTATATTTTCACCTTTGAAAAATGATATTTTAATTGAGAGACCAGAGGCCAAGGGATGGGGAATAGGGAGGGGGATCCTAAAAGATAAAGAAAACTCAATCAGAAATTAATAGGGTGGATTCCATATGTTGTTTAGTAAAATTGGGATTTTTCTCTTTTTAAAAAATATGTATCTCTGGCTTAAAAGTGACCAAAACCTGCTGATTAATTATGGTATTCTCTGGTATCTTTTATCACCTCTATCTGTTCTTATTCTCCTTCTTCTCTGTTGTATATTCTCCTTGCTCAAAAAAAATTTCTAAGAGCATATAAAGTTCCCATTGCAGGGCTTTGCAACAAAAATGGAATGGCAATCTGAAAAGTTCAACAATTATTCCTCCAAAGTCATGCTGTTCATATGAATACAGCTGACAGACTTCTAACAAGAAGGGCAAAATCACAGTTACAATTTAGTAGCTGTAGTATAAACTTGAGCCAAAAATCAAAGTACATGTGAAAGTGATAAGAAACTAGAATTTTTTTAAATGGTCTATCAGCCAAAATAAGAAATACACATGGAGTGATGCAATTGCTAGGCTCAGAGGAACAAAATTTTTGCCTGTGTAATTTGATGTGAAGTAAGAGTTTTCCTGCTCCAAATAAAAAGTAGACACTGAGACAAAATGTGCCTACCTCCCATGGTTTTTTCTTCCTATTCGAATGATCAGAAAATCCCCAAACTTGCCAATTTTTTTTCTAGTGGGCTACAGAAAACACAAAAGTAGAGAACATTTTACATATAGTTAGTTTTCATGGGGGTCTTATTTATCTGGTGCATATTTATTAATCAGAAATCAACCAAAGTTTATCTGTCTTTCTCACCTAAATTGAACTTTAATGATCCTTTACCTGTAGGTGTGACACTTTGAAATAAATATATGCATCTATTGAATCTCTTCCATGTGCTGAGGTGTAAAGAATATTCTTCTTTGACTATTTCAATAGAAAATGGCCATTATCTGAAAACCTTATGAATTCAGCAAATAAAGTATTGTTAGAACAAGCTAATTCAAAAGAACATTGCTTATCCTTGTTAAAAAAAAAAAAAAAACCCATGCACTTTTTTTAGTCTTTACTGCTTATTTGAGCTATTAAAGATATTTCCCAGATAAACTAAAATAAAACTTTAAGTTTTACACAAAAGGCATCTTACACTCCTAACAGAAACCGAGAACATTGTACTTTCTGATTAGATCACTCAGATTCCCCAGCTGATTTAAAAGGTACCCTGTGTAGGGCTGCTCTGGGGTGTATAGAATACAACAGTCCCTTTAAAACAATAACAGAAATGCTTGCAATTCCTTGCAATAGTCCCTTCCCCATCCTTTGAGGTTACAGATAAACTAAATCATCACTGCATGTTATCTTTAACCAGATTCTCATAATATCTGCTCCTTTCCCATTATTATTGTCAAACCCATCTTAATAGAAATTTTGTTTAAAATTACAACCCCTATGGTATTTCAGTAGCAGCAAATTTGAGAAAACTGACTGCAAAAAATAAAAGTCCCAGAGGGTGATGTAGGATTTGGGTCTACAATGAAATACAGCAGATTCCCTAAACTATGCAGGCCTAGCAAAGTCTGTGCCTCCCAGATGCTCTAATCTGCCTTTCTGGTCAACATTCAGAGTAGCCGAAGGCAGATAATCTTATCACTGAACAATCATCACTGAACCATAATGCATAGATTGGTGCCTATATGTGCCAAGTACTATGTTAGGTACTTGAGGTATAAAAATGGGTAAGACACAAGGCCTGCTGTAAGGAAGTTCACAGTGTGGGGTATCTGGGCAGACCAGACTGGTGAAAATACAACTACAAGGCATGCATTGTAG
The DNA here is from genome assembly GCF_000001405.40 of Homo sapiens. NCBI lineage: Eukaryota > Metazoa > Chordata > Mammalia > Primates > Hominidae > Homo > Homo sapiens. The sequence continues at coordinate 54,230,689 of NC_000014.9, forward strand.
CTGATGCCAAAATAGAAACATGCACAAGAGAACACAGAAAAGGGATTAACTCTGCTTTTGGTGGAGAAGTGGAGAATGATCAAGGAAAGCAAGCAGACCTATTATGATAAGGGCAAGAATAGTTCCCTTTTCATCCAGTTCTGGTGTTTGCTGATCCAGGAGCCATCTATTGATTGCTGGCAGAGGTTTGCAGGTTGATATCCCAAAGTTCTAACAAAGACATAGATCTCCTAGCTTTTAAAGAATATGTTTGCATTTTCTAGCTAACTTACAGTGATTTCACTACTTGACAAAACTGAATAATGATTTCTTTTCCCATCCTTCAGGCCGCAGTAAAAACAGTCAGGGATGGAAAGCTGATCTCAAGATCTCTCTGCTTGTGTATTGTCCAGAATTGTGTATATTTTTACTTCAGCCTTAAAAAGCATGTGCACATATGCAAGTGCCAAAGGCTTATGATGAAAGTAGAAACACAGAAATATGTTCAGACAGGTTTTATGTTCCTTTCGAACGCTGCTATCTGATATCTGGATTCAGCCAAGTTTAACATATCCTTGAACTCACAGATATATCTCAGGTGGCAGCCCAATAAATCCCTGCATAATTTTCCATTGAGCTTATCTGATTAGATAAGCTGTACATTTCTAAGATCTTCCTTAAGAAATAATATTAGATAAAGTGGTCCATTTTATATTACCAAAGAAGCAGCCTGTATTTATTACAGGAAAATCTCAACAGTCGGACATCCATAGATCTGTGAATTCTCTCCTCAATCTTAGCTTTAAATTTCCACACACAACTTTTAGTGTATGAAAAACACTACATTGTCTGTTCCCATTAAAACAAGTTAAGTAGGAGGAACTAAGAGTTTCTAGGAATCATAACATAGAAGATGATATTAATCACACCTCAAAAATGCAAATCTAAAAACAAGACACTTTCTTTGTTGCCTGTTAAATTACTAGAGATTTAAAATGTAGCAGTAACCAGTATATACAAGCATAGAGAGAAACCAATACATATATACTACTAGTAAGAGTTTTCATTTGCTTCACTCTTTTAGAGGCAATTTGGCAATGTATGTGAAAATGTATATACTATTTGACCTACCAACTCCATTTCTAGGAACTTATCCCTATAACAGAATCAGAGATGCACTTTCAATATACTTCAAAAACAACTAAATGTCCAACATTTAGAGATTGACTAAATAAGGTCTGGTACATGCTTATACTAGAGCATTATCATGTTTTTAAAAGAATATTTAATAAAACAGAAAATACTTGCAATATTGTTATAGTAGAAAAACGCAAATTACAAAACACCAAGCATAGCATGATTACATTTTCAATACATATACATACACTCATGTAAGTACAAATATCCAAACAAAAATAGATTGAACATGAACATACTAAAATATTAATATTATGTGTATTACATGATATGGCATACAGTTGTCCCTCTGTATCTGCAGGGGATTGGTTCCAGGACCCCCCTCAGATACCAAAATTTATGGATTCTCAAGTCCCTGACATACAATGGTGTAATATTTGCAGGTGACCTACACACATTCTCCTGTATTCTTTAAATCATCTCTAGATTTCTTATAATATCTAATACAATGTAAGAGCCATGAAAATAGCTGTTACACTGCATTGTTTAGAAAATAATGACAAGGAAAAAAGTCTGTAGATGTTCAGTACAGATGAAATGTTTCTGAATAATTTTGATCCATGGTTGGTTGAATACATAGATATGGAACCCACAGACACAGAGGGTGGACTGTATATCACATCATTTGCAATAATAATATATGTACACGTTAGTTTAAAAATCAGATTTTACTGGAGAGCACAAAGCAATATCCCGGTAGAAAGTGGCAAAGTTGAAATTTTTTATACTTACACACATCATTTCAAGCACTTTGGGGTATAAACAGTCTGATTTCTTAAAAGAAGCTTATTCTATAATGTAAGATAGAATACAAGTGTCAACACACAATTTATCCTTGAAATAAAAAGGATATTTTCACTTTTCCTTTCCCACCCTACTAAGAGAACACACTTATACAAAATAAAGATAAATAGTGTGTTGGCACAACAGCTGCCTTTATGCTTCTAGAACCCTGGTGGATGAAATTAATATCTTTTGTTCATACCCACCATAAATATCAGCAGCCTACTAAGTTAAGCAGAGTATGGTTTCTATGACAACCACTGATCAGGAGTGAAACTCAAAGAAATGACTAATTAACAAAAACCTAATTCAGATATGCCAAGAAAGAAATATTATACATTACTATTTATTTCCATTGCACTTCTTATATAAGCACAGTCATATACAATTTCCCATTACACTTCCCTTGTAGTGTAATTACAAAATTGTAGTTACACTGCCAGATTTAAAATGAGAGGAGAAATGGCTCAGCCAGATATTCAGTGATTATTGTGCGATTGAAGCACTGAAAAATGGGAGAGGTCCTGGAAATACATACCTGGTGACTATCTGCCCAAAATTTGGTAACAAAAGATAGATAATAGTGGTTGCTTAGCAGCTGTTGTTTTAAGAACAAAAACCCTGTTTCTCGCCATATCATCCTTAATTCTTGACAAAGAGAAGTGCCACAAAACTTTGACTCTGCTGGGGGTGAGATTTAAGTGAAGGGTCAATGTTATCTTTTAAATGTTTCGTTTCCAGATAAGCCAGATCCTTAAGAGCATCCTAACGTGTGATTGCAAGGCAATTAGTTCACCTTTTTCCCTTGGGAAAAATAATCTTCACAAAACACCTTCATGTGTGTTAGCGCTATTTGGTGAAATTTCCCATAATTAACACAAATTTGAGCCCAAAAAAATAATAAAGATGGTTATCTTAAAACTTCAGTATATGGGCCAGGCACAGTGGCTCATGCCTGTAATCCCAGCACTTTGGGAGGCCAAGGTGGGCGGATCACAAGGTCAAGAGATCAAGACCATCCTGGCCAATGTGGTGAAATTCCTTCTCTACTAAAAATACAAAAATTAGGTGGGTGTGGTGGTGTGCATCTGTAGTCCCAGCTACTCGGGAGGCTGAGGCAGGAGAATCGCTTGAACCTGGGAGGCAGAGTTCACACTAAGCCAAGATTGTGCCACTGCACTCCAGCCTGGCAACAAAGTGAGACTCTGTGTCAAAAAATAAATAAAAGGAGGGGCTGGAGCCAAGATGGCCGAATAGAAACAGCTCCGGTCTACAGCTCCCAGCGTGAGCGACGCAGAAGACTGGTGATTTCTGCATTTCCATCTGAGGTACTGAGTTCATCTCACTAGGGAGTGCCAGACAGTGGGCTCAGGACAGTGGGTGCAGCACACCGTGCACGAGCCAAAGCAGGGCGAGGCATTGCCTCACTCGGGAAGTGCAAGGGGTCAGGGAGTTCTCTTTCCTAGTCAAAGAAAGGGGTGACAGACAGCACCTGGAAAATCGGGTCACTCCCACCCCAATACTGCGCTTTTCCGACAGGCTTAAAAAACGGCGCACCAGGAGATTATATCCTGCACCTGGCTCAGAGGGTCCTACACCCACAGAGTCTCGCTGATTGCTAGCACAGCAGTCTGAGATCAAACTACAAGGCGGCAGCGAGGCTGGAGGAGGGGCGCCCGCCATTGCCCAGGTTTGCTTAGGTAAACAAAGCAGCCGGGAAGCTCGAACTGGGTGGAGCCCACCACAGCTCAAGGAGGCCTGCCTGCCTCTGTAGGCTCCACCTCTGGGGGCAGGGCACAGACAAACAAAAAGACAACAGTAACCTCTGCAGACTTAAATGTCCCTGTCTGACAGCTTTGAAGAAAGCAGTGGTTCTCCCAGCACACAGCTGGAGATCTGAGAACGAGCAGACTGCCTCCTCAAGTGGGTCCCTGACCCCTGACCCCTGAGCAGCCTAACTGGGAGGCACCCCCAAGTAGGGGCAGACTGACACCTCACACGACCAGGTACTCCTCTGAGACAAAACTTCCAGAGGAACGATCAGACAGCAGCATTCGTGGTTCACGAAAATCCACTGTTCTGCAGCCACTGCTGCTGGTACCCAGGCAAACAGGGTCTGGAGTGGACCTCTAGCAAACTCCAACAGACCTGCAGCTGAGGGTCCTGTCTGTTAGAAGGAAAACTAACAAACAGAAAGGACATCCACACCAAAAACCCATCTGTACATCACCATCATCAAAGACCAAAAGTAGATAAAACCACAAAGATGGGGAAAAAACAGAGCAGAAAAACTCTAAAAAGCAGAGTGCCTCTCCTCCTCCAAAGGAACGCAGTTCCTCACCAGCAACGGAACAAAGCTGGATGGAGAATGACTTTGACGAGTTGAGAGAAGAAGGCTTCAGACAATCAAACTACTCCAAGCTAAAGGAGGAAATTCAAACCAAAGGCAAAGAAGTTAAAAACTTTGAAAAAAATTTAGAAGAATGTGTAACTAGAATAACCAATACAGAGAAGTGCTTAAAGGAGCTGATAGAGCTGAAAGCCAAGTCTCGAGAACTACGTGAAGAATGCAGAAGCCTCAGGAGCCAATGCGATAAACTGGAAGAAAGGGTATCAGTGATGGAAGATGAAATGAATGAAATGAAGCGAGAAGGGAAGTTTAGAGAAAAAAAATAAAAAGAAACGAACAAAGCCTCCAAGAAATACGGGACTATGTGAAAAGACCAAATCTACGTCTGACTGGTGTACCTGAAAGTGACAGGGAGAAAAGAACCAAGTTGGAAAACAGTCTGCAGGATATTATCCAGGAGAACTTCCCCAATCTAGCAAGGCAGGCCAACATTCAGATTCAGGAAATACAGAGAACGCCACAAAGATACTCCTCGAGAAGAGCAACTCCAAGACACATAAGTGTCAGATTCACCAAAGTTGAAATGAAAGAAAAAATGTTAAGGGCAGCCAGAGAGAAAGGTCGGGTTACCCACAAAGGGAAGCCCGTCAGACTAACAGCGGATCTCTCGGCAGAAACTCTACAACCCAGAAGAGAGTGGGGGCCAATATTCAACTTTCTTAAAGAGAAGAATTTTCAACCCAGAATTTCATATCCAGCCAAACTAAGCTTCATAAGTGAAGGAGAAATAAAATACTTTACAGACAAGCAAATGCTGAGAGATTTTGTCACCACCAGGCCTGCGCTAAAAGAGCTCCTGAAGGAAGCACTAAACATGGAAAGGAACAACTGGTACCAGCCACTGCAAAATCATGCCAAATTGTAAAGACCATCAAGGCTAGGAAGAAACTGCATCAACTAACGAGCAAAATAACCAGCTAACATCATAATGACAGGATCAAATTCACACATAACAATATTAACTTTAAATGTAAATGGACTAAATGCTCCAATTAAAAGACACAGACTGGCAAATTGGATAAAGAGTCAAGACCCATCAGTGTGCTGTATTCAGGAAACCCATCTCACGTGCAGAGACACACATAGACTCAAAATAAAAGGATGGAGGAAGATCTACCAAGCAAATGAAAAACAAAAAAAGGCAGGGGTTGCAATCCTAGTCTCGGATAAAACAGACATTAAACCAACAAAGATCAAAAGAGACAAAGAAGGCCATTACATAATGGTAAAGGGATCAATTCAACAAGAAGAGCTAACTATCCTAAATATATATGCACCCAATACAGGAGCACCCAGATTCATAAAGCAAGTCCTGAGTGACCTACAAAGAGACTTAGACTCCCACACAATAATAATGGGAGACTTTAACACCCCACTGTCAACATTAGACAGATCAACCAGACAGAAAGTTAACAAGGATACCCAGGAATTGAACTCAGCTCTGCACCAAGCAGACCTAATAGACATCTACAGAACTCTCCACCCTAAATCAACAGAATATACATTTTTTTCAGCACCACACCACACCTATTCCAAAATTGACCACATAGTTGGAAGTAAAGCTCTCCTCAGCAAATGTAAAAGATCAGAAATTATAACAAACTGTCTCTCAGACCACAGTGCAATCAAACTAGAACTCAGGATTAAGAAACTCACTTAAAACCGCTCAACTACATGGAAACTGAACAACCTGCTCCTGAATGACTACTGGGTACATAACGAAATGAAGGCAGAAATAAAGATGTTCTTTGAAACCAAAGAGAACAAAGACACAACATACCAGAATCTCTGGGACACATTCAAAGCAGTGTGTAGAGGGAAATTTATAGCACTAAATGCCCACAAGAGAAAGCAGGAAAGACCCAAAATTGACACCCTAACATCACAATTAAAAGAACTAGAAAAGCAAGAGCAAACACATTCAAAAGCTAGCAGAAGGCAAGAAATAACTAAAATCAGAGCAGACCTGAAGGAAATAGAGACACAAAAAACCCTTCAAAAAATTAATGAATCCAGGAGCTGCTTTTTTGAAACAATCAACAAAATTGATAGACCGCTAGCAAGACTAATAAAGAAGAAAAGAGAGAAGAATCAAATACACACAATAAAAAATGATAAAGGGGATATCACCACCGATCCCACAGAAATACAAACTACCATCAGAGAATACTACAAACACCTCTACGCAAATAAACTAGAAAATCTAGAAGAAATGGATAAATTCCTCGGCACATACACGCTCCCAAGACTAAACCAGGAAGAAGTTGACTCTCTGAATGACCAATAACAGGCTCTGAAATTGTGGCAATAATCAACAGCTTACCAACCAAAAAGAGTCCAGGACCAGATGGATTCACAGCCGAATTCTACCAGAGGTAGAAGGAGGAACTGGTACCATTCCTTCTGAAACTATTCCAATCAATAGAAAAAGAGGGAATCCTCCCTAACTCATTTTATGAGGCCAGCATCATCCTGATACCAAAGCCAGGCAGAGACACAGCCAAAAAAGAGAATTTTAGACCAATATCCTTGAGGAACATTGATGCAAAAATCCTCAATAAAATACTGGCAAACCGAATCCAGCAGCACATCAAAAAGCTTATCCACCAGGATCAAGTGGGCTTCATCCCTGGGATGCAAGGCTGGTTCAATATACGCAAATCAATCAATGTAATCCAGCATACAAACAGAACCAAAGACAAAAACCACATGATTATCTCAATAGATGCAGAAAAGGCCTTTGGCAAAATTCAACAACGCTTCATGCTAAAAACTCTCAATAAATTAGGTATTGATGGGACGTATCTCAAAATAATAAGAGCTATCTATGACAAACCCACAGCCAATATCATACTGAATGGGCAAAAACTGGAAGCAATCCCTTTGAAAACTGGCACAAGACAGGGATGCCCTCTCTCACCACTCCTATTCAACGTAGTGTTGGAAGTTCTGGCCAGGGCAATTAGGCAGGAGAAGGAAATAAAGGGTATTCAATTAGGAAAAGAGGAAGTCAAACTGTCCCCTTTTGCAGATGACATGATTGTATATCTAGAAAACCCCATTGTCTCAGCCCAAAATCTCCTTAAGCTGATAAGCAACTTCAGCAAAGTCTCAGGATACAAAATCAATGTGCAAAAATCACAAGCATTCTTACACACCAATAACAGACAAAAAGAGAGCCAAATCATGAGTGAATTCCCACTCACAATTGCTTCAAAGAGAATAAAATACCTAGGAATACAACTTACAAGGGACGTGAAGGACCTCTTCAAGGAGAACTACAAACCACTGCTCAATGAAATAAAAGAGGATACAAACAAATGGAAGAACATTCCATGCTCGTGGGTAGGAAGAATCAATATCGTGAAAATGGCCCTACTGCCCAAGGTAATTTATAGATTCAATGCCATCCCCATCAAGCTACCAACGACTTTCTTCACAGAATTGGAAAAAACTACTTTCAAGTTCATATGGAACCAAAAAAGAGCCCACATCGCCAAGTCAATCCTAAGCCAAAAGAACAAAGCTGGAGGCATCACGCTACCTGACTTCAAACTATACTACAAGGCTACAGTAACCAAAACAGCATGGTACTGGTACCAAAACAGAGATATAGATCAATGGAACAGAACAGAGCCCTCAGAAATAACGCCGCATACCTACAACTATCTGATCTTTGACAAACCTGACAAAAACAAGCAATGGGGAAAGGATTCCCTATTTAATAAATGATGCTGGGAAAACTGGCTAGCCATATGTAGAAAGCTGAAAATGGATCCCTTCCTTACACCTTATACAAAAATTAATTCAAGATGGATTAAAGACTTAAACGTTAGACCTAAAACCATAAAAACCCTAGAAAAAAACCTAGGCATTACCATTCAGGACATAGGCATGGGCAAGGACTTCATGTCTAAAACACCAAAAGCATTGGCAACAAAAGCCAAAATTGACAAATGGGATCTAATTAAACTAAAGAGCTTCTGCACAGCAAAAGAAACTACCATCAGAGTGAACAGGCAACCTACAAAATGGGAGAAAATTTTCACAACCTACTCATCTGACAAAGGGCTAATATCCAGAATCTACAATGAACTCAAACAAATTTACAAGAAAAAAACAACCCCATCAAAAAGTGGGTGAAGGATATGAACAGACACTTCTCAAAAGAAGACATTTATGCAGCCAAAAAACACATGAAAAAATGCTCACCATCACTGGCCATCAGAGAAATGCAAATCAAAACCACAATGAGATACCATCTCACACCAGTTAGAATGGCAATCATGAAAAAGTCAGGAAACAACAGGTGCTGGAGAGGATGTGGAGAATTAGGAACACTTTTACACTGTTGGTGGGACTGTAAACTAGTTCAGCCATTGTGGAAGTCAGTGTGGCAATTCCTCAGGGATCTAAAACTAGAAATACCATTTGACCCAGCCATCCCATTACTGGGTATATACCCAAAGGATTATAAATCATGCTGCTATAAAGACACATGCACACGTATGTTTATTGCGGCACTATTCACAATAGCAAAGACTTGGAACCAACCCAAATGTCCAACAATGATAGACTGGATTAAGAAAATGTGGCACATATACACCATGGAATACTATGCAGCCATAAAAAATGATGAGTTCATGTCCTTTGTAAGGACATGGATGAAATTGGAAATCATCATTCTCAGTAAACTATTGCAAGGACAAAAAACCATACTCCGCATATTCTCACTCGTAGGTGGGAATTGAACAATGAGAACACATGGACACAGGAAGGGGAACATCACACTCTGGGGACTGTTGTGGGGTGGGGGGAGGGGGGAGGGATAGCTTTAGGAGATATACCTAATGCTAAATGACGAGTTAATGGGTGCAGCACACCAGCATGGCACATGTATACATATGTAACTAACCTGCACATTGTGCACATGCACCCTAATACTTAAAGTATAATAATAATACAATAAAATAAAATAAAAATATCAAAACAGAAATAAATAAAGAAAAGAAAAAAAAACCCTCCAGCATATGGACATTTCACTTGGAGGAGGTCATGGGTGTTATGCTTTAAGAGGGACTGCAGCAGAAGTGGGTGACCCCTCCAGGGAAGTCTCCCTTTTGGCCTCAGAGAGAGGAGAGGTGGGGATGTGACCATTCAGTCTCCTTCCTTGCTACTCATTGGCCTCTTTCTGCCTCTTTTTGAGTAGAATTCCAAATCTATTTAGTATAGATTTAATAAAGCATTTGTATTCACAACCTCTTCTTCAAGGATGTGCACCAAGAAACCAATGGATGCTCAAGCAGAACTGCAAAATTGTTAAGAAAAATAAGGGAAAATTTGACCCAACATATAAATCTCCTATTATATATCATTTCTGTGATAAATCTGATACTCAGGTATACAACTTTATTCTTTGAGGTTTTCTAGGCCCTAAAGAATAGGCTGCAAGCAAAGATCTGATATCCTTGAATTAAACACCATAAAACAGAAAACTAAATTAGACCAATTTCTAAATAACCCTTTATAAGTAGTAAAATATATTTAAAACATTAAACAAAAATGGTAAGTTAAGCAACTGCTCCTGGGCCTCTCTGAGGCCCACAGTTTAATATCTCTCAAAGGATGCAGCAATTTACAGGTATATTCTCCACCAAAAAAAAAAAAAAATGTTGGCTTTAACTCAAAAGTTAACCTCAGGTCTCATATATTCCAAATTTCCTTCTGACAAGCAGAAATGAAGAAAGCTTGTCCACTTAATTACAGAGAAGGAAAAACTAATACAAACTTAATCATATATCTTCAGTAAGAGGTCCCAAAACAATTAAAGTGAAGAAGGGACATAATAACATTCACAGTGCTCCCATTGTTTGCAATGTCACAGCAGAAAAAAAAAATGCCCCAACACCAAACCCCTAGATAGTTTTCAAAGGATGAAGATCAATGCTGAAAATTCAACAAGTATATCAGGATCACCTCCCCGCCACCACTGCCACACACACAGATATCACCAGTTTCACAATTTCCCTCCATTTATGAATTTAGCAAGCATTTGTTGAGTGTGTGCCAGGCATTGCAATTAAACTGTGTATCAGCGAAGATTTTAGGTTACAAACAACAGAATCCACTCTGGCAAGGCAAAAAGAATTTATTAAACAGTATTAAATGGATCAAGACTCTCCGGAAGGGCAAGAAAGCCAAACCCTGAAGCTACACCACCAGGGATGATGCTCAACCATAGCCCTGAAGGAAAACATTGATTACACCAATACTCAGTACCTATGACCCTTAGGACTGGAGGCAAGGAACTCTGCCACTGTCCCCTCCTGCATTAGGTTATTCTTGCATTGCTATAAGAAATACCTAAGACTGAGTACTTTATAAAGAAAAGAGGTTTAATTGGCTTACAGTTCTGCACGCTGTACAAGCATAGTACCAACATTGCTCAGCTCCTGGGGAGGCCTCAGGGAGATTTTACTCATGTAAAGCTCTGTTACGGCTCTGCCTCTGTGGCAGGCTCTTTCTTGGACACCCAGACTTCCTTAAACATCCTCTGAAACGTAGGTGGAGGCTACCAAGAGTCAGCTCTTGCACTCTGCACCCACAGGCTTAACACCACGTGGAAGCCATCAAAGCTCACAGCTCACATTCTCCAAAGTGGCAGCTCAAGCTGTACTTGGGCCCCTTTGAGCTCTGGCTGGAGCTAGAGTGGCCTGGATGTAGAAACAGTGTCCCAAGGCTGCTTAGGGCAGTGAGGCCCTGGGGTCTAGCACCTGAAACCATTCAATTCTCCTAGGCCTCTGGGCCTGTGATGGGAGGAATAGCCTGGAAATTTTCTGGAATGCTTTCAAGGTCTCTTCCACATTGTCTTGGATATTAGCACTTAGTTCCCTTTTATTTATGCAAATATCTCTAGGAAGTGGTTGCTCTGCAGTCTGCTTGAATTCTTCTCCTGTAAAAGCTTTTTCTTTCTTTGCCACATGACCAGGCTGTAAAATTTTCCAAACTTTTACACTTTGCTTCCTGTTTAAATATAAATTCTAACTTAAAGTAATTTCTTTGCTTCTGCATCTGAGTGTAGAGTATTAGAAGCAGCCAGGCTACATTTTGAACATTTTGCTACTTAGATATTTCTTCTTCCAGATACCCTAAATCAGTGGTCCCCAACCTTTTTTGTACTAGAGGCCAGTTTTGTGGAAGACAATTTTTCCACAGACTGGCAGGGGCTAAGGGGGATGGTTTGGGGATGAAAATTCCACCTCAGATCATCAGGTATTAGATTCTTATAAGGAGTGTGCAACCTAGATCTCTCAAATGTGCAGTTCACAATAGGGTTCACTCTCCTATGAGAATCTAATACCACGGTTGATCTAACAGGAGGTGGAGCTCAGGCAGTAATGCTCACTCACCTACTGCTCACCTCTTGCTGTGTGGCTCAGTTCCTAACAGGACACAAACTGGTACTGGTCTGCGACTTAGGGGTTGGAGACCCTTGCCCTAAATCATTGCTCTTAAGCTCAAACTTCCACAGATCCCTAGGTCATGAACAGAATGCAGCCAAGTTTTTTGCTAAGGCATACTAAGAGTGACCTTTGCTCAAGTTCTTAATAAGTTCTTCATTTCCATCTGAAACCTCATCAGCCTGGACTTCACTGTCCGTATTACTATCAGCATTTTGGTCACAACCATTTCACCAGTCTCTAAAACATTCCAAACTTTCCCTCATCTTCCCGTCTTCTTTTGAGCCCTCCATACTCTTCCAGCCTCTGCCCATTATCCAGTTCCAAAGCTGCTTCCACATTTTCAGGTATCTTTATAGCAATGCCCACTCCTTGGTACCAATTTTTTTTTATTAGGCCATTGTTGTGTTACTATAAAGAAATACCCACAACTGGATAATTTATAAAGAAAAGAGGTTTAATTGGCTCACAGTTCTGGAGGCTGTACAAGCATGGCACCAACACTGCTCAGCTTGTAGGGAGGCCTCAGGGAGCTTTTACTCATGGTGGAAGGCAAAGCAGGAGCAGACATCTCATATGGTGAAAGCAAGAGCAAGAAAGAGAGTAAAGCGGGAAGTACCACACACTTTTGAACAATCAAATCCTGTGTGAATTCAGAGCAAGAGCTCACTTACCACCAAAGAGATGGCCCACACCGTTCATGATGAATTTGCTCTCATGACCCAAACATATCCCACCAGGCCCCACCTCCAACACTAGGGATTACAATTCAACATGAGATTTGGCAGGGATATACATTTAAACTGTATCACCTCCCTTGTTTAACTCCACTATCAACCTTAGTGGAAAACTGATTCCCTTTCATACAGCCATCTCTTTGCCTGGCTCACTCCAAACTCACCTTTCATGGGCCATGTAGTCATGCAGCCAAAGTCACAGCCCTGCCCCCTAGCCCCAAAGGAATCTGACATATGCATTTTCTGGCTTCTATCTTGAAAAGGCATGTCTCATAATATGGTAAATAACCAAAAGGTTGGCTGAGCACAACTGTTCACTCTAAAGAATGACATAGTCTGCCAATATCGAGCACTCAATGCAGTATAATAGCATATGAACAAAAGCCAAAACCAAAAGACTCTATGCAGTGATTATCAGGCATCATGCAGACCTTTCTGAATAGTGATATAATTAAAAATATTTATGTTAAACAATATATAAGGTTTATGTGATTTGAGATTTTTCTTCCCTAGAGAGTCATCTTCTCTACCTATTTTCAGTTTCATACTTGACATAAATCAGCCCAGTTTTTGGCTATGGACTAATTATGTCAAAAAAGAAAAAAAAGAAAGAAAGAAAGCCATTATATTTTAAAATATTTCTTAGATAGATACTTTTGTGCTAGTTCCTGGGACTCTGTGTGTAGCCTCACTGCAGAGAAAATGGACTTCGAAGCCAAACATACCTGGATTCAAATCCCACCTCTACCATTACTAGCTGCGTGTTCTTGGGCAGGCTATTCACTTCCTTAAGCCTTAGTTTCTGCTTCTGTTGTACCTAGTATGTATATTTGTTTAGAAAAATCAAAAAGAAACAAGGCACAAATATTTAGCACTGTTGGATATTACTGATGCCATTATTTCATCCTTACAATGGCACTATGAACAGTGTTATTCCCATTTGAATTGATAAAGAAGAATCTGAAGCTCAGAAAGCTGAAGTCACTTGCCCAAGGTAATACCAGAGCGGTGTTGGGGTTTGAACCTAGGTTTTCTAATGTCAAGTTAGGCCTTTTTCCACTATGTCACTTGCTAAGTCTTAAAAGCCATTACAAATAAGAACACAATGACTACTGTCAACTTTCAGAAACTCTTCACTCTACCTATTCTGCAAAATTGTCATTTTTTTCCATTTGCTAGTAGGAAAAGAAAAAAGTATAAATAAATAAATAAATAAATAAGTGAATGCTTTTTCCCCAGTCTTTAGGGCCCCAAATATTTAGGACTAGAAGGAAATTTAGAAGCCAGCCTTTCTAGCTTCCTGAAACCTATTTCACCCTAGGGCCATTTTATCTTTGTTTGGATTTTCCCTGGTTTCTTTTGTTTCTTTTTGTCTTCTGTCATTATAGGCAGGACCTGGAGACAAAAGTAAGGCAACCACAAAACCCTGAGTGTCATCCAAGCAAAATGTAAGAAGAGAGAGAATGTGCCTCTTGCTCAATTGGTGGCACTTATAGCTATTGGCATTTCCAACATTGGCATTTCCCAAAGAGTATTCCCTGGAACACCTACTTTCTCAGGATGCTAGTAGATATTCCATAAAGAAAGTATTCTTTGGTCAAGTAAGCTTGGAAAATGTGGGAGTAAACAAAGTTAAACAGGTTTGCTCAAAACTTTTAATGTGCTAATGAACATGATGAATACACAAAATGAAGTTACTGTACGGAGCGTTAAATTTTTCAGCCACAGAACCTTTTTTTCCCCAAAGAATCTAACAGGACTAGAGAACTATAGGACATACGTGAGAAACACTGGGAGAGGAAAGGAATTTGCCATCAGAATACATAGAAAAAAATGAGCTAAGCTTCCAGCACCAGACAGGGAAGAAGGAGTTCTGATCCTCTGGCTCAAATATCTAGCCTGCTTGGCATGAATTCTGATGCTGTGGGTGGATGCATCAAGTTATATGGCTTGATGCGCTTGGTATTAATATTGACAAGCTCACTCTCCATGCTCATTATGCAACCTTTTGATTATATTTTAGCTTCCTCCATAGCCTTCCTACAGAGAGAAATGCTAGGCAAGCTGGTATAAATGTCTGGTGCACTTAAGAGTTATATTTATTGTTGGAAAGCAATACAAATATTTCATCCAGCCAACAAAAGTGTGTAGCCAATTTAACAGATAATTTCTCAGTATAAGCCAAACTGTTATCACTTTGATTTACACAACCTTTTCTGAGTTTTGTGGGCATGAGATAGTTAGTCTTCAAGGGTTCCTAGGTACTGAAAAAAATTGTTTCCAAATCTGCAATTTTAAGACTAGATAGAACCTGGGCCCTATTGTCTTTGAGGTAATGCGACCTTGACACTTTGCCTGGGAAGCATCCCCTTGAGGGTTTGTAGTGCCCCTTTAAGATTAGACATTAAGGTCCCTTATGTTTTATAGCTATGACTTGCTATCCCCTATACCTCAGATTCTTAAAGAAATAGCTTCAAAATGAAATAAAAATCCAGTTTTCCTGATTTGTCTTACGCACTGTCTCAGTCCATTTTCTGTTGCTTATTATAGAATACCTGAAACTGGGTAATTTGTAAAGAAAAGGAATTTATTTCTTACAGTTATGGAGGCTAGGAAGTCCAAGGTCGAGGCGGCACATCTGGTGAGAGCTTTCTTGCTGGTGGAGATTTTCTGAAGAGTCCTAAGGTGGTGCAGAGCATCACATGGTGAGGAGGAGCTCAGTGTGCTAACGTGCTAACTCAGGTCTCTCTCCCTCTGCTTATAAAGCCACCAGTTCCCCTCCCATGATAACCCATTCATCCATTAACCCATTAATCTCTGAATGGATCCATCCATTCATGAGGCCAGAGCCCTCATGACCCAATCACCTCTTATGGCCCCACCTTTCAATACTACCACACTGGGGATTAAATTTCCATAAGAATTTTGGAGGGGACAAATATTCAAACTCACCAATGAGCAGTTCTAGGGTTCAAGTTTTGAAGGTATGTGCCCAGGCAAGCATAGTCCATTTACTCTAACTGGCAAAATCTCCACAATGAAAACCAGAGGAACTCCTGCATACTACATAGAAAAAGCATACATCCCATCCTGCAGACAGGGTCAATCTTCCCCTGAATGTGCCAAGCTTCAAGTTGGAAAATCCATGCAAGGAGCCAGCTCTGTACCAGTCAGCTCTGCCCACAGGGATGCCTGGATTGTGAATCTCTCTTGGAGAGGGGCTTACATTCCTCCTTTGAACAGGCACACCTGTTTTCTCTACTAACTTCACTGCTTCAGTCACTCATGCCCTGGGGAAAGCAGTTGTAAGAAATAGCAGATGCAGAATTTACACAGCGAAGAGCATTCCATCCCTTCAGTTTACAAATTCTGCAGAAAATGACCGAAGTGGTGCAGGACTATTTTATGAACTATGACCTCAAGCCGCTCATTGAAAATGCAGTTGCCATCAAATTGTTCTTTGCAGGTTTCAATTTTAAATGATGAACACATTTTGGGTAAGTTACACTTAAACCAGCCACACTTGCATTACACAGTTCTTTGCAAAATAGTTCATATTTTGTATGGTTACATTATTACTTCCATTTTACAGATGAAAGGGAAACTGAGACACAAGCACCTTGCCCAAAAGTTTTGCAAAATGACACAGAACAAATAAGACTGTTGTCTATTTCAAATAGAAAAATCTAAAGAGGAATTGCCATAAAGCAGACTGATCAGAGGCGTGGAGTTTGCAGTGTTTTTCCCTGTTGGTCAAAGTCTCCCTTCAAATGGATTTGCCTGGTAAGACATGCATGAAATTGACCTCTGAGGATAGAGTCTGGCTCTCTGGTGCCATCAATGTTATTAAAAATAGAAAATTATCCCCTGGCTATTTCTAGCTAGAAGGCTCAGGAATGAAGAGAGTAAGATTATTTAATAAGTATCAAAGGGTAGATAATCCAGCAAGAGTAAAAAATAAACATCAAAAATCACTTTACTTCTGAGTAGTCTGGCAGAAAAGCTTCAAATGGGAAGGATCCCCACAGACATCAGAGCTGGATCCCGGCTTGGGCAGGTGAGCACAAAGAAAGGTCCCAGACAAACAAGGACAAATGAAGGAAGGGAAAGGAGTGGAAGAGAACAAGGGATAACTCGGGTCTGCAAGCAAATGTATGAATAAGAGACAAGACTCTTTAAACCAGGATAAGCAAGTGCAATTGTTTCATTATTTTTAAGAATACTCCTGCATTTCATAAACTATTAGTGTCTGTGAGATTAACAGAATGTATTTTAATTTCTCCAAGTTTATTTCACAACAGAAAATTCAATAAATTCTCTGTTGTGAAGTTCAAGAAATTTTTTTTCTTTTTTTGAGACGGAGTTTCTCTCTTGTTGCCCAGGCTGGAGTGCAGTGGCGCGATCTCAGCTCACTGCAACCTCTGCCTCCCAGGTTCAAGTGATTCTCCTGCCTCAGCCTCCCACGCTGCTGGGATTACAGGTGCCCACCACCACGCCCAGCTTGCTTGCTTATTTATTTACTTATTTATTTATTTATTTAATTTGTATTTTTAGTAGAGATGGGGTTTCACCATGTTGGCCAGACTGGTCTTGAACTCCTGACCTCAGGTGATCCACCCACCTTGGTCTCCCAAAGTTCTGGGATTACAGGCGTGAGCTACCGCATGTGGCTGAGAAATGTTTTTAATACAAAACCTGTGCTTCCCCCATATTAGTGGGTCCTTCAATCTGGATGCACCTCAGAATCACTGGGGGACCTTGCAAAAAATCAATTCAGGGATCATCTCTGCTAATTCCAAATCTTCAGGGGAGCTGCAAAAATCAAAGCTTTTTTTTTTCAAACGTTACTCAAGGTTTTGTGGTCCACAGATGACATTTGGGGACTTCTCCCCCAGGTATGCCAGTTTCAGGGTTACCTGAAGAAACACGTGTAGCTGTGGGATCTGGCACATCCAGTCCACAGCACCTTCTTCCATTGCTCAAGGATCTTCTCAATGTCTCACCAGGACTCTGTCTACTATTTCAGCCCTCATCTGGGCTGTCACGTATAATCCATTCTCCTCCTTGTGATCGTGCACTCCCCACCCGGCCTGCTGGGGATGTCCCTGGCTAAAGCTGTGCTCCTACCACTCTCTGCCTGATGCAGTCACCCAGGGTAGAGTGACCCAAGCCACTCTTTTGCCATCGCTGGAGGTTGTTCTACGTTAAGGAGAGGGCCCTCCACCCACAAGGTTTAACATTTTTCATTAAGTCACAAAAAAACAGTAATCCATGCATTTAAACAGGGTTTCCAAAATTCCTTTTTAGGAATTTGGTATCAGTTTTCTTGAGATCGGGGTTGGTGGGGGATTGGTCCAAAGATAATAGAGCATTTGAGTCATGTCACCCCATGAGACCCTGGAAACCATCCCTCAGTTACTCAGTTACCACTCTTGCCTGCTCAGAGGTAGCCCTGCCCTCTCAGGAGTGACGGGGCTACACTTCTTGGTCTCCCTTGTTAGGAAGGAGAGCCAGGGCTCTCTCAGGGGACCCCCAGAGCTCATGCACACACACGCTTGGCAGCCTGGTCCAGCACACCCAGTTCCCCCAAGGGGCACACAGAATAATAAGATCCCCCTTATCAAAGGAAATGTTCCCCAATGCTTGACTTTGTCTGTTGCTCTTCTTCCCAGCTGCGCCTTAAAGTGCCTGCACATATTCCCTCAAGGACATGGGCACCCTCCCAGGTGCTATGAGGCATCTCCCCTCCGCATTTCTCCCTCTTTGCTTTTGAAAGGTTAGGGGAGAGGGAGGGAGAGGGAGAGAGAAGGAGAGAGAGACAGAGAGAGAGAGAGAGAGACAGAGAAAGAGAGAGAGAAAGTGAGTGCCACAGGTAACTACAGTTTCACAAAATGTTAATAATTGCTTTGTACAGAAGGTTCCATAGTGGAAACTATTAGCAAAACACTGGATTAAAAACAACTTACTTCCTGTAGGACTTTCAGAGCCTCTAACAGGCTAACATGCACTTTAAGTATCTAAGTAAAGAACCCAGTATATAGCTTTTTCTACCCTTATTTGGCCATGGTTTTATTTTTGTTTTTGTTTTCTCAGAACACCTCAAGAAACCGATGCTCCATAGAATTCATTTTAAGTAGAGAAATTCATATTATGTAGAATAAAAACTGCCATTTGTTAAACAAATTCATGAATATTTCAACACCAGGACATTCTTACTTATTTTGACCCACATAGAACTTAAAACAATTCCCAATATACATTTGTGTGTACATTCATATCACTTATATTTGTGGATCTTAGTAAATAATTAATCTCATGATTTGTGTCCAAATTGCAGCAAAGTGCCACATCAACCAACTCAATAAAAAATGAAAATATGTTAAAATATATACTATATAGATACCCAAATATAAGGCACCTGTTTTTAAAACCCAAAGTTAACTGTTAAGGATGTAATCTTATATTTCCATCTTTATGTATACTTTATATTATGGGATATACTCTCAATTACATTATTTAATCAAAAATTAAATAATTAGACTAAAAGAACACAATCAAACTAATTTAGAATACTTATAGAAGTCACCTGATAGAACTGGTCTTTTTAAAAAGTTGGAGAGACAAAGAAATTTCACCCAGATTAATTGCAAATATTATGTGTCATTTCAAAGGAACTTTTAAAAAAACATTTTAAGAAGTCGTAGAGTAAAGGTTACATTTGTGCAGATCACAACTATACATGTAGAAAATAAATGAAAAACAAAATAATTCCCCAATGTTATATAAATGGCAAACTGTGGCTTGGCATACACAGATTCAAACACTCTATCTCTGAAACAGACAGAGGTGAGGACCATGTGTTCTGATAAATTGTGTTACAGGGCTAGAAAGAAGGCCTATATGTCACAGATAGGGGTGAAGAGTTTTAATAAAATATCTAGTTTCTTAAACTATGAGAGTGAACAATGCAGTATTTCTAAATTAAAAACATTTTATATTGAAGACAATTTTGAATATTTGCAACTACATTGATAAACTCAGTATATAATTAGTCAAGTGACTAATCCATATCCCTAAAAGTTAACATAACCACTTTATTTTTTAAAAGGTATTTTTATTAAGAAGGTAAAAGATTCCTGTATATTCAGGGTCTCTCTAAGCCCCAGTAATATTATAGACACTCCACTGTATTATGAGCAACCATCAAGGCCTGCTTTGAAAGAGTTTTTTCTAATCCACAAGATTTCTAGAACTTTCAAGGAGGCTACACCTCTCTCGGTACTTGTCAGAGTCCGCTCCCCAAATGAGTAGCCTACTTTCCTTAATTTAATGAGCTCTGTGCAGGAAGAAAGCTGTTTAAAAAAAATGTACTTACACATGTAAGAAAATGGTGGATGATACAGAGCCATACATTGTTCTTTTTTCCAGTGTCCACAGCTTGTGAGTGAGATCTTGTCCCTCAGTTAATGGTTCAGTATTCAGAATATTCTTTTTCTTGAGTTTTGGATACCACTCTGTGAGCTAGGAGCCATTTATCATATAATATTCTCTTTACTCTACAGGACTCTTCCCTGTCTATCAGCCCCCTCCACCATACCCCTTCTCTTGGCTCCATGCTTGGGGAGCCGAGAGAGGCCAGTTATCAGCACGACGTAATTGCCAACTGCTGAGTCCATTAGGAAGGGCAGGCGAGAAATCTCTCATTAACTAAAGCATAAACTTTCTTCTTATCTACAGGATTCTTATCTAAGTTCAGGCTATTGTGCCACAAATAGAACCCACAGGCCAGATATAAATATTAATGTTTGTGTTAAAAGTCCTTCAAATATGGCTGGTACTATCTCTAAAGACCTACACATATGATATAATTTACTTCCTCATCAAACAAAATTCTTGGCTGTGACTTCATCAGGAATGGAAGAAAAACAAAGGGAGGCCTGGGCAGCCCCCTCTGCCTTATACCAGCTCATTTTGGGTACAGTATCTTCCAAAATGGATTTGGATTTGGAGATCCAATTATACTGAGCATTTTTTTTCCTTCTTATTACAGACATAGACAACTGAAATTCACATAAGTGATGCTGGCTGGCAGAAGAAAGTTCAGAATCCCTCATCCCTTTCTTCTCTCTGCCAGGCTCACACACCCCGTCAAAGGAGAAAGCACAATTTTGCTGACCCTTTCAGGGACAAGTTGCCCTGGAACAAGTGAGCAAGCCAACTCTTGAGAATACTCTGGAAAAGCAAACAGTGGATTATCTTGGATGTGTCAGTCCCGTAGGCAGGTTTTCCCACTTAACGCTGGCACTCTTTTCTGCTTTGGGATTGCCAGACATGACTCCACCAGCAGGCACCCCACTCCCAGTCCCAGCTGTGTCCATTCCTCGTTCCAGAAGACACATACACATCTCAACTAGACAGTTATTTTAAATAGTCTACTCATAACTATGATTTTCAAGAATGTTGCAGCTGGAAAGTGAGGGGAAAAGGGCTTACAGATTATCCAGTCCAGAGGCTACAAATTCAAATTCTTAATGGGGTCAGAGAGGTACTGGAAAGGAGTGAAGCAAGCCATATATGAGACAATATGGAAAGGTGAGGACTGTGGCAAACCACCTAAAAATGGTCCCTCTGATTAGAATCAAACATTCCCATTTCAACAAAGAAACTAAGTCCCAAAGAAGTAAAGTAATCTGTCAGGATGAAAATTCAGTTTAGCTCATTTTCCACTAAACAGGTTATGCCTAGGCAAGAAGGGGAGAGTACAACGTTCTCCAAATCTGGTCTGGGGGTACATAAACCTTTGTTTTAGACTATTAAAAATGCCATCCTCCCAGGTATGTACCCTCCCAGTTTTACTCCACCCCATGGGCTGTGGTCAAGACCACATTCATTCTCAGGAATGTTCTGTCTGGGGAGAATTGCCGGGATATGATCTGTGGTCAGTGAGAAAGCCCTTTTGATCCCAGCCACAAGAATGCAGCTGAGCTCTGAATCCCTCTCTCCATAAATCAGAGTCCTCTTAGGAATGGCTGGGTGTGGCTCCCCACACAGGTGCTTGGTCACTTCAGCAATCCTAAGGGGGCACTCCTTCACTTTGAAAGTCTTCTAGGAGCTGCTGGAATCAAAATGGTAAATCCAGAAGACTCTGTGTTCACAGACAAATTCTTCCCGACTTTCTGGGCATCTGTTTTGTTCATTCCTAGCACCCAGGTGTGAGTGCCTGTCTGCCTTGCTTCTGTTTGCTATTTTGTGTCTCACCTTCAACCCAGAATCTGACTCAGCTTGGGAACACTAGCCAAAGAGTCTTATGTGTACACTGCTTTTAATGTGTCCAAGGATGCAGAAGGAAGCAGCTATTCAAATAGTTTAAGAAGTCTGAATACTGCTGTAGCCTCAGATCCTGGGTCCAAAGAGCTGACTGAAGACTGGCTGGAAAATTTGGAATCTTCTCTCCAGGGGATGCCCATGTGCCTCTGGGAGGGGAGCTCTTCCCTTAGCCAGCAATGAACTTCCTGAACAGACCAGCCATGAGATCAGCATGATACACCTGCCAGGAGGACTTAAGGCCAGGTCCACTTATGAAGACTCAGATGTTCATGGTAGCTATGATGTTTTGCAATGGGCCAGTCATGCCCTGGGAGTCTCAAGAGTGCATCTTAATTTCTACATTCATGAAGATATAATAATAGGAACATTTACTAAATACTCAATGGGTTCTAGGTACCCTGATAAGTACTTTACAGAGACTACCTCATTTAATTCTCACATCAGCCCTATGAAGTTAGTTACCACTATTGCAATCTCTGTTATATGGTTGTAGAAATTGAGGTTTCAAAACATTAAGTTAATTTGCCCTAATTCACCAAACTAACAAATAGTGAAGCCAATGTTAAAATATACCTATTCGGATTCCAGGGAACCATTAACTGGAAAAACATATTTCTAGTAAGAAATCTCACCAGGTAGGTAATGTCTTTGTAATATGCCTGAGCAGTAGTCAGATACTGAGGCAAAGACTCTATCAGAAACTGGGGATGTGAGAGGGCCTCCAGATCACAAACAAAGAGTGGGATCAGGGATAGGTCACAAGTTCCACCATGACTCAAGCCTCAGATCTATGCATACCTCATAGGTAAGTAAGGAGATTTAGGCAGCCTCCCTGTGCTGGCTACAGAGTATATGGGTGCTGCAGGTGAAGGCCACCCCCACCTGGGACCAGCCTCAAAGGGGATCAAGCCTGGCAGTCTTGGAAAGTTGGTCTTGGGAAGGCTACAGGGCAACCTGCAATACACACTGAACACCCTTTTGCACTGGTAGAAAAATCTGTCTACTCCTTCCTGGTAGATGGGAAGACCGCCTTCCAGGGGTTTCCTCGAGGCCAGAGGAGATCTGAGCACATGTCACAGGTCACAGCAGGCAAGAACAACAGTGAGGCTGCTGCTCACCCAGCCTCATTGCTCCCTTCTCTGTCATTCTCCTTCTCAACCCTAGAAATGACTCAGAAGAGCAGCTAAGGTGACTCAGAGAGAAGCCCTTTCAAGTTCCTAAGAAAACATGCATGCAGCCAACAGTGAGGTGCATTTGCTCACGGCTGTGTTATTTTAAAGGCAAATGTGGCTCCAAAATGGAGCCACCATCCTAGCACGGGGCCAAATCACACTGTGGGCCATTTTTAGTGGAGAGAGACTGTTTACAATAAATCCAGGCAGGCTTTAAATGTTGATTTATTCTTCTTAAAAGCCGAACCACACCATGTGGATTGGCTGAATCCAATAAGGGATTCTGGGATTCATTATTTTAAGTGGGACACAGTTTGGGGGGATGTTGGCTGACAAGGCTGTGGGGAAAGGCCTGTGTGGCTGTTCT
Source organism: Homo sapiens (assembly GCF_000001405.40). Lineage (NCBI taxonomy): Eukaryota > Metazoa > Chordata > Mammalia > Primates > Hominidae > Homo > Homo sapiens. The sequence goes on from NC_000014.9 coordinate 54,254,121, forward strand.
TAGGGCCAGGGTCCAGGACTCAAAGTCAGGGGATGCCCAAGACCTTTCCTTCTTCCCCTCCTCACTCAAGCTCCCTGACTTTTGGCCACTCTGCTAACACCCTTAGTACCTCTATTGTATGGAGAATTAAAAGGAGCTGAAGTTAAAATAGTCCTCTTTGCTCTTTCAGATGACTAAATAGAGATGATTTATGTAATGGCATTGCTCAAAACTATCTGCAGAATTATTCCCTTTATAGTCACCCTATAACTCTTTCCCTCCTCTCAAAATATGCCCAGAAACCTAAGAACATAGAAAAAACAGTTCCACTATCTCTATTAACAGGAGACATCAAGGCCTCCACGAGCCTCCAGACAGCTTTCTTGTTATTCATGTGCCTGGGTAGAGGCTTCAAACAGATGAATGTAGGGGAGGGAGCTCTGCTGTACTTTCTGCCCAATCTTTGTCCTCAGCCCACATGCTAAATGAGCACAAGGTCCTTCACTGAGACCTCCTCCTCTTTTTTTCCTTTATGCCCACCCTTGTCCTAGTTTTTGGTATCATCTGACAAACTAATTCACGTTGGTCACTAAGGTATATATGACTTCATGGACATCTACACCAAAGCAATACAGTTGGTCCTTGAACAATGCAGGGGTTAGGGGTACTGACTGCCACCCTGACCACACACTCAAAAATCTGTGTATAACTTTTGACTTCCCAAAAACTTAACTATGAATAGCCTACTGTTGACCAGAAGCCTTACTGATAACACAGTCATTTGACACATATTTTGTATGTTACATGTATTATATGCTGCATTCTTACAATAAAGTAAGCCAGAGAAAACAACATGTTATTAAGAAAATCATAAGAAAGAGAAAATATACTTATGATCCATTAAGTGGAAGAGGAACATCATACAATGGAAGTGGATCATTCATCTTTGTTGTCTTCATGTTGAGTAGGCTGAGAAGGAGGGAGAGAAGGGGTTGGTCTTGCTGTCTTGGGGTGGCAAAGATGGGATAAAATTCATGTATAAGTGGACCTTCACAGTTTAAACCTGTGTTGTTCAAGGGTCAACAGTACATTCTGAAAGAGAGAAGACATTTTTGCGTGAAAGAACATCCTCTAATTGTTAAAAGCCAGTACCTGTGAAAGAGAGGCCTTCCTAAGTCCTACGAATTCCATCATGTGCCTGGAGGCAGGCAGGAAGATGTGTGAGCAGGGCCAAGGCAGACAGGCTGGAGAGTCTGGGAACTGTGTGTGGGCAAGCACACCGCCAGCATCCAGGGGACAGCCATGGCCTCAGACAGCCATCTCCTTCTGAGAATGCCATCCCCTCCTCTCAGAGCCACCAAGGATTCAAGAGAAACCAGAATTCTAGATTTTCATGGGAAATCTCGACATTTTTAGGTTGACTACTAATCAGTTGAAAAATTTAAAAATGAAATATATTAGGGCAAACAACCCTCATCCACACACTGACATGACTCTCCTGTTCCCAGCTTTCACCGTTGGTATTGCTATGCAAGAATTCAATGTCTCTAACACTATGTCTAACACTACCGGTTGCTCATGGCAGTGGGGAGCAAAGAGATTTCCACCCCACTTCCTATTTCAGTCTCTACCCAGGCAAGAGAGTAACAAGAAAGCTGTGTTGAGGCCTGCGGAGGCCTTAATGCCTCCTGTTACTAGAAATAGTGGAACTATTCTGTGTTCTTGAGTTTCTGGGAGTATTTTGAATGGAGTTGGGGATCCCACTCCCAAGGGACAGTGCTGTCAAGACTTATTTGAAGCTCAAGGTAGGCTTGGAGGCCCAAGGCTCTGCCGACAGCTGTGAAATGGAGCACATTTCCCTTCCTGGCTTGTTTGTCCACCTCCAGAAGCCTGCCACCCAGCCCATGTGACAGTTGGGACAACCCAAGATCTGGCTCCAAGATTCTCCCTCAACTTGTCACAGGTAGATAGAAAGGCATGAGCAAGGCAGGAGAGGGCTCTGCCTCCACCCACTAGAAATGTTGGGTGATGGTTCTGCTATTATCTCATTGCCTCTCTAAAAGTGATAAATTGGCAGCCAGTGCCAGGGAGAGGCCATTTCCTGATGATCCACACGTCTTAATATTAAAGTGTTAGTTAAAGGCAGACCCCAGGGAGAAGAAACTTCCTGAGCGTGCACATTAAGAGACAACAGTGGCAAAGTATGGTCTTCCGGGTACACTCCACCAGACACAATGAAGAAAGCCTCAGATGGGCATGCGCACAACTTCCTAAACACACTGCGCGTGCTCAGTTCCCAAGGGTGAGGGAAGCACTGTGCATGCGGGAAGCCCACCCTAAGGGAAGAATCGTGGGAGAAAGGCAAGCCTATAAGGCCCTAGGATTAAGGTTAAAGGCCCCTTTTTTTTGTTCTCTTTTCTCCCTTGGACCTTCAGACACCCGCTTGGGTCTCTTCCAAGCGAATTTTTCTTTCTTTCCTGCTCTAAAGTCTTCTTAAATAAACTTCCACTCCTGCTCTGAAACTTGCCTCAGTCTCCTTTTCTGCTTTATGCCCCTCAATCGAATTCTTTCTTCTGAGGAGGCAAGGACTGAAGTTGCTACGGACCCGTACAGATATGCCGCGGGTAACTTGGGGTAACTTGGATCTCTTCCACCGGCAGCAAACTCACCGTGGTGTCTGTCCCACATTCTACCTTTGCAAAAAGCTGACTTTGGAAAGTTGAATTCTCTGACTGCTACCCTGCCTCCAATATTCAAGAAGTTAGAGGTATTATGTCTTTAAAAGCTCAAGGCTATTTCCTTAATTAATCAAAACTGCTCATCATAGAAACATTTTTATACAAATATCTCAGAATCAGACCTAAATTTTCAGAGTATATTTGGAATGACCAGATGAGATTTCACAATGCTTTGTACTCACAGTTATTAAAGTGCTAAGTGGAAGCAAACTGAATCTTCAATTACAGATAAAGGAAAGCAAATGTGCATAAAGGGCATTTTTTAAATTCCACTTTTCAATTTTTTGGAAGATTCATCCCCAATAATTCCAAATGGCCTCCCAGAGGTTTATGGGAACAGACAAAGGCTCAAGACAGTTCCCTAAATCCAGTTGCACAGATCTTTGGGTTAGCCAACCTTCTGAAATATTTCTGAAAACTGTCATTTCTTCCTTTGAATTGTACTAGGCTAAATTAAACTGAAGAAGAGAGATGTAGATCCCGTAAGTGTATCCATGCCTCAGAATGTGTCCCTGAATCTTATTATGGAAAACAAGAGCTACAAAAACAGGTTTGTTTAACTCTTGCATTCACTAGCTGAAAGAATAAACCGCAAACAAGCTACTGTGTTAATCTTCAGATTAGCCCTCTAGTCTGTCGATGTAATACTGATTAGTAAACAATGTCCATAATTAAACTGTTGTCAGAGACACAAATGCCCCACGAGCCTGAGCTAATGAGGCAGTATTCAACTCCTTTACAAAGGCCAGCCTAATACAATTTCAGGAATGTTAATGCTGCCAAGTATCTGTGATGTTCTCAACAGTGGGAAAGACCACTGAGTTGAGGTAATTAAGTGTCCACAGCCTCTCAGAGAATTGTGTCCCAGTGCTATTTGTTTGTTGAGGAGATGTGCTTAGGTGCAAGCAATTGGAAACCTCTGAAACCAAATTGAGCACATTGGGCATCAAAGCACCCCAAGTTCTCTGCTGAGGCCTGTGACATTAATGTGCATGACAAGGGGGCAAGGGGGCCATAGTCTCCTCATTGTCCCAGAGACCTTTTAGTCTGGGGGGAGACAACATGTCTTGGTATTTATGTAATTAGTTGCACAGAAATCCTCAGTGCAGCATTCCCTTGAAGTCTGGCCACATGTTAACTAGGGCTCGATGGGTTTCTGAGAGGATATTTTTTCATTCCTTTTGCCCTGGGAGATGGATGGTCCTTCATAAACTACCATCATCCTGCATTATTTTATCTAGAAATCAGAGAATCACAACTATTTTTCTCTTCTAGAGAGCATTCCCACTAGGAACATCTTATTTCCCCTTCTGTTTTTCTTGGAGTCCCTTGAAAATACCACTGCATAGTCCAAGGCATTTTGCAACAAGGAAATTCACATCAGGGGAGCCTTCCAGGCTGAGGGGTCGCACACAGGACCATTTCCACAAGGTGCTCACATTCATTGTCCACTCATCCCAGCCAGCAGGCCCCTCTACAGCTGGCCCAGGGTTGCCGACATCCGTTCAGTTACTCCAGAGCCTACAGGAGAGGTTCAGAGCCTGCCTCCTGGGGCAGAAGGGCACCCATCTAGAAGGGAGTTTCTGCACTGTGACAAAGAGGGGAGGAGATAAGAAGGGGAGAAAGAGGGCACTGCAACCTGATGTCCCTGTGACATTTCATTGCAGCCTTGAAAATGTCATCAGAAGGTCAAGCTCCCTGGGGGGACAAGATTATGACACTTCTCTATTTCCAAGATCAAAGGAAAACCAGTTCCTGTCATGAGGATGAGGGCAGGAAAAACACTGGACTTGCCAAAACTTAGCTCTGTCCATTCATTTATTCATTCGGCAATATTGAAGCAAGTCCACCAGGTGCCAGGCCCTGGGGATGCAAAGGTGAATAAATACAAACAATCCCTTTCCTCATAGTTTACTGCCTACTGGGGGAGACAAATATTACCCAAATCATTCTTGCTTAACTGTGAAAAGTGCTATGTGGAATGACAGCAACAAAACCAGGGTGTTAAGCAGGTTACCTAAGCAGGCTAGGCCTCAGTTTCCATATCTATGAAATGCCAGGTGCTAAGAGGAGTTGCTCCTAGATGGTAAGATAGTACAGGGTTTTATTTTATTACTATCTCCTTATGCATATTTCCTTGGAAGCCAGATAATTTATTTTTTTAAATTTTTATTTATTATTTATTTTTAAGAGACAGGGTCTCACTCTATCATCCAGGCTGGAGTGCAGTAGCGCAATCCTAGCTAATTGCAGCCTTGAACTGCTGGGCTCAAAGGATCCTCCTGTTTTGGCCTCCCACATAGCTGGGACTACAGGCACCTGCCACCATGCTCGATTAATTTTTTTAATTTTTTGTAGAGATGAAGTCTTACTGTGTTTCCCAGCCTGTCTCAAACTCCTCACTTAAAGCAGTTCTCTTGCCTCTGCCTCCCAAAGTGCTGGGATTATAAGCATAAGCCACCGTGCCTGGCCTAGGCAAACTAAGCTACCTGATTTTGAGCAATTTATTTCAAGTCTTTGAGCCTCAGTTTTCTTACGCTATATTGTAGATAATGATAGTCAATTCCTTGTTGGCTGGTTGCAAGGATTAAATAGAATAAACATTCAGGAGAGGGCATATTACATAGTATATATTTTGAGGATATGTTATATCTACAAAAAATGAAAATATGTCAATCACTCTTTTTAAAAGGGAGGACTGATTCAGGCAATCTCTACTGTGTCTTCCACCTGTCGGTAGAAGGAGTCCCTCATTATAATTACAATCTTCATTGTTCAACTTGTGTGTTCCAGGTCTCTTGTTCTATTTTCAATATTTTTTAGGACATCATTGGATTCTACTTAGGAGAATAGCAGAATCATCCCTGAAACATCCTCCACTGTTTCTCTTTTAACTGTTCTGTGACGGTTTTCTACCCCCATAATGTCTCTATTCCAAAACATACGGGGGATAGAGGTGTAACTTGAGATTCAGAGATCGGAATTGAGGAGAGAAGGGAGGTAATTGTTTCTTTCCCACCATCCTTCTCCCCAGACTCAAGCTTTATCCAAGCCTGAGGTTTAATCTTAACTACAAATAGTCTTTGGTCACCAAATTCACAAAATTATCCAGTCCTTTTGAAAACACAGCCGCAGAGCTTGACTTACTGACCTCTCATGACAATGAATTCCACAGACTTCATGGATGGCTTTTCAGCCTTTAAAATTCGGTCAAGTAAATAAATAACTTACCAGCCCTAACTTCGTGCACACTCCATTTCTTCCAACTTCTGTGAGGATGACCTCTGGCAAAACTCAAGGAGAAAAAGGAGCAACCCAGTCATACCCCCTTTCACACAAATATCAGAAACAAGTCACCACAACGCGTCCCAGACAGCATGCTGGAAAACCCATCCCCAGCTCCATGGAGTCCCTTGGCTGGTCCTCTCCCTCCTTCAGAAAGCAGAACTGTCCTAAGGCAGCTCTCGGAAGCTGGTGGCGAAGGGCCTCGATTTCTAGCTGATCGGGAGCTAGAGATATTATTTAAGTGTTAAATAACAATGTAAAATACTCTGATTTTATCCCACTCCAGACATTTTCAGCCACCCAGAAGGATGGGCCACTTATTTCCTAACTCCCAAAGAATAAACTGTTCTGTTATTGTTAATCATGATGCATTATCATTAAACGTATTGCCTATAGCCTAACTCATGATTTTTATTTCTAAACTTTTAAAATTAATTTTAATTGATAAATAAAAATTATATCTATGATGTACATGTTTTGAAATATGTATACATTGTTATTAATTATAGTCACCATGTTGTACTAGATATTTTGAACTTATTCCTCTTCTCTACCTTTATACACTTCAACCAATATCTCCCCAACCCCTTACCCTGCAGCTCCCGGTAACCACCATTCCACTCTCTGCTTCTATAAGATCAACATTTTTAGATTCCACATATGAGTGAAATCATGTGGTATTTGTCTTTGTGTCTTTGGCTTATTTCATTTAACAGAATGTCCTCCAGGTTAATCCATGTTGTTGGAAATGATAGCACTCCCTTATTTTTTTAAGGCTGGGATAGTATTCCATTGTGTATATACACCACATTTTCTTTACCCACTCATCGTTGATGGACACTTAGGTTGATTCCACTCCTTGGCTCTTGTGTAATGTTGCAATGAACATGGGAGTGCAGCTATCTCTTTGACATACTGATTTCATTTCCTTTGGATACATACCCAAAAGTAAGATTGCTGGATCATATGGTAGTTCTATTTTCAATTTTTTGAGAAATATCCATATTATTTTCCATGACTGCTACAGTAATTTACATTTACACCAACAGCGGCAAGGGTCCCCTTTTCTCCACAACCTTGCCAACGCATCTTTCGCCTTCTTTGATAATGGCCATTCTAACGGATGTGAGGTAATGGTAGGAATAACGCTCAAAATCCTAAGGAAATTGAACACTCAAACAAAGGATTCTCAGCAAAGCTATTTTACTTCTTCACAGAGGGGTGCCTCCTTGGCCAGTTGCCATGTGAGCACACCTGAACAAAGGGGCACGAGAGCCTTTATTCCTGACGCAAGTCCTGCCCCGTACCCTTTCCCCATTGGCCGGGGTTAGGTTGTACAATCTAAACTAACCCCGGTTGGCTAAACATTTGATTTTTTTTAGATAGGGTGGGCAAGTAAAAGAAAGTGAACGGGAAGGGGTGTCTGTAATGAGCTAGAAAGTCAGTCCTCTTTCCAAATAAGGAAAGGAATGTCAGCTGGTACTGACAATGCTTGCTACTGTGGCGTGCCTGGGCATTTAACAAAGGCAAGAAAAGGAGGAAAAAAAAAAGGGGGGGGTACTATAAATTAATGAATAAAAGATTGATCAGATTATTTGAAGAGAAACCTCATCATATCACACAGTAATATATCATTGTAGTTTTAATTTGCATTTCTCTGATGATTAGAAATGTTGGCTATTTTTTCATGTACATATTGATCATTTTTATATCTTCTTTTGAGAAATACATATTCAGGTCCTTGCCCATTTTTTAATTGTGTTGTTTTCTTGCTATTAAGTTGTCCGAGTTGCTTATATATTTTGATACTAACCTCTTATCAGATGAGTTATTTGCAAGTATTTTCTCCTATTCTATAGATAGTCTGTTTATTGTTTCCTTCACTGTGGAGAAGCTTTTTAGCTTGATGTAGTCTCATTTGTCTATTTTTGCTTTTGTCACCTGTGCTTGTGGGGTCATATTCAAAAAGCATTGCCCAGACCAATGACGTGGCCCTTTTCCCCTACATTTTCTTCTAGAGGTTGTATGGATTCAGGTCTTACATTTAAGTCTTTAATCCCTTTTGAGTTTATTTTTATATATTAGGTAAGGGTCTAATTTCATTCTTCTGCATATGGATATCCACTTTTCCCAACAATATTTATTGAAGAAACTGTACTTTCCCCATTGTGTGTTCTTGGCATCTTTGTCAAAAATCAACTGACTGTAAACGCATGGATTATTTCTGGGCTCTCTATTCTGTTCCATTTGTCTGTGTGTCTGTTTTAATGCCAGTACCATGCTGTTTTGGTTACTATAGATTTGTAGTACATTTTGAAGCCACCAGCTTTATTCTTTTTGCTCAAGATTGTTATGGCTATTCAGGGTCTTTTGTGGTTCCATATGAATTTTAGAGTTGTTTTTCCTATTTCTGTGAAACATGTCATTGGAATTTTGATAGGGATTATATTGACTCTGTAGATTGCTTTGGGTTAGTATGGACATTTTAACAAAATCAATTCTTCCAGTCCATGCACACAAGATGTCTGTTTATTAGTGTCTTGTTCAATTTCTTTCATCAACGTTTTACAATTTTCAGTGTGTAGGTCTTTCACCTCCTTGGTTAAATTTATTCCTAAGTATAATATTTTTCATAGCTCTTGTAAATGGGCTTGTTTCTTTGAACGGTTTGTTGTTAGTGTACTAACTCGTATTTTTAAGTCCGTTTTAATACTGGCAAAGTTTCGACCAAAGCCCACATCCCCAAGTGAAAGCTTTGCTGAAGCGGAGAACACGGTAGACTCCTAACTCCACCACTTACTCGCTGTGTGACCTTGAGTAAGTCTCCTACTCTGAACCTCAATTTCTTCTTCTTTGAAAGGACGACAAAACTTTAAACTGTTTTCAAGGGGATTAAATTAAGTTAGGCAACTTAATAAGCTGGTTAACCATATACTAAAGCCATATCACCTGAGTTTAAATCTCAGCTCTACTACTAATGACTGTGGGGCTTTGGGAAAGTTATACAGCCTCTGTTTCCTCAACTTTAAGATGAGGATAGTAACATCCCCTTCCTTACAAGGTTGCCGTGGTAATAAAATGAGTTCATATTAGTAAAGCACTTAGAACAGTATCTGGCAGATGGTACACACTAAATACATTGTAGCTGTCACTATATTAATAGAATTAATAATTTTTAGTGTTACTACTATTACTATTACTATGTTAACATTGTGTTCTTAACAGATAGAAAACAAGGAAAACAGGAACTAACACTTCTAATCGTGCATTCTGTGAGCCACCGAATTAAGGATATCTTTTTTAATCCTCACAACAGCACTGTAGTGTAGACACTATTATCCATGTTTACAGCTGAGAAATTTGACGCTCAATTAGTTAAGGAAATTGGCCCAAACAAATGTTGTTAGCAACAAAAATGGGAATTATTTCTGCATTTAAGGAAGAAATTTAATGAGCATCTGCTAAGTAAGTGCTAGGAGAGATATTAAGTGCAGAAAATGTAAAGATGTGCACAGCACAGTCCTCGCCCTCAAGAAGCGAGATAATAATGAGATCAAAAAAGGACTTTGGCACCCACAATTGGTGGCAGAGAAATAGACATAGAGGGGTGTTGCATTTGCACTGACTGTGAAAGACACAGAAAAGAGGACCTTGCAATGTGATGAGAGCAAAGAGCCTATCTACAAGTTCTTCTGAAAGTACAGAACTGGGGAGGTTGGGAGGGTGGTGGGGAGAGAGATGGGAGAAAAGTCACTGAAGGGAGTAATGCAAGGGTTGAATCTTAAAGGGTGGGTGGGATTTCAGCCAGTGAGGAGGGGCAGCAGGGTGCTTCAGATAAAGGGGACCCCAGAAGCATGGTACGAAAGAGAAGGACAGCATGGCTCAAAGGAGGGATTAAAAAGTCAGTTTTGCTAAACTCTCTCTCGAATGTGTGGCACAAGATAGGGACTGATACCAAAGCCTGGAAAACCTGGAGAGCCCCTCATACAATACAAATAGACAGTCAAGGTCAGACTCCATCTATGGAAGGATTTTAAGCAGGGAAATGACTTCGATTTACATTTTAAGTTGTGATAGCAGTGTGAAGGTGAATTTGCAGTGCCTAAGACAAAACACAACAGCTTAAAAGGTTGCTGCCATAATCCAGAAGAGGCGTGGAAAGCTCCTGGAAAGGATGGAGAGCTGGGATTGAAGGCAAATCAGCAGGTGTGTCATGGAGTAAATGCCCAGGGTGAGGAAGAGGAAGGTATGCAAGTCCCTACCTTAGCTATCTGAATAAATTGAAGTCTAACTGAAAGAAAAGATACAGGAGGTCAGTAAGTATGCAGGGAGGAGTTTATAATAATGAGATCAAAAAAAGGACTTTGGCACCCACAATTAGGTGGCAAAGAAATACAGCAGGATAGTGCAATTGTGCACAGATACTATACTACCTCTGTGAAGGGTGGGAGGATGAGCAATCTTTACTCAGACATCTCCTTTAGTGGGGACAGGTCTCTCTATGGGTGGGAGGAAAGCCTCCTCCAGGAGGGAGCAATGGCTTTATTTCTGTGGGGCAAGAGTTCCTAGTAGCACACTAGAAGGGTTTAGAAAAGAAGGAAGCAGAGGGAAGTTAAGCACAGAGGAAAGAAATTCAGAATAGAGAGGAAGGGCCAGGAGGAGGTGTGTGAGCCAGGCCATTTGCTTCTGCCTGTGAAGATGGATATGAGGAATATGAGGCAGGAGGTCATGGGGCCGCCATGTTCCAAGCATGCTCTGGCATCAGGTGGCTTTACTGTGAGCAACACCTGAGTCCCCAGGTAGAGTCTGAGGCCTAAGTGAAAAGTCATTGTTCTGCCTGTTCCCAGTGGATTGAAACCAGTGTCAGCACAGCCCCCAAAAGCTGTGCTAAAGACTAAGACATGAAGAGTCAACACTGGTATCAGCCAAACAGGCAAAAGTGAAGAAATTGCCCTGCCACAAATGCTCATGCTCAGTCCACTGCTCCATGTCATGAAGTAAAATATAGGAGCTCAGACTGCAGACACAGAAAAAGGAACTTGCAAACCAGTTGCAATTATGGATGTCAATATTATAACTCAGTTTTGCAACAAGTCCTGTGGTCTCTACCTCAAAAATATCTGGGATCCATCTGACTCTCTGTCCCCTGATCTCTTCCTATACCCTCTTTTCCGGGCACCACCATGACAGGCTCCATCCTGCCTGCACTCCTGCATGGACTTTTGCTCCCGGCAGTGTCTCCACAGGCTCCAGAATGATCCTTCAGAGACGTAAATCAGTTCTTCTCACTCCTACGCAGGGCTGAGACAGAGCAAGAAGAGTGAGAAATTCATTCTCAACATCAGTTAGGTGCAGGGTCACACCTTGTCTTTATTTGAAATTTTGATATTTTAGTCATCATAGATTTTTGGATCCCTTTCCATTTTAAAAACTATAATTTATCTTGTTGGTTGACTTTTGGATTGGTCCCTTGAATTTTGCCCCTGAAGTGAGTGCCTTACTCTCCTGAGAGTGCTTCCATGCCCAAAGTCCCCCAGCCATGTCCAGTGGCACATAGAAAAACTCCAGACTGCTTCTCTTGGCCTTCAAGGCCACACATGACTGGACCTCTGGCTCCCTCTGAACCACTTTCTCCAGACACACTGGCCTTTCATGTTTCTGTGCATCCCAAACTCTGTCTACCTTCAGGACTTTGTGTTTTCTGTGCCTTCTGTCTTGGATGCTCTTATCCCCAGATAACCAAATGGCTGCATCCTTCTTCAGGTGACACTCAGATGTCACCCAAATATCACAGCTTCAGAGAAATCTTCCCTGACTGGTCAATGTGAAGCAAAGCTCTCCATCCCCAGTCACTCTTTTTTATGCCATCCTGATGTATTTTCTTCATACCACTTACCAAGGGCTGACATTATCTAGTCTGTTTATTTGTTCACCCGACCTTTTTCTGTTTCCTTTCTCTACCCATGTTTTGCTCCATTAGAGCAAAACTTTTGTTTTTATTGACACTTTCTCCAGAGGCCAAGAACAAGATCTGGAGCTCAAACATTTGTCAAATGAATAGATGTACTACAGCTACTAAGTACTTAGGTTTCAAAATACTAGAACTAGCTGCACGGTATTTAAAGACAAGACACATTTAAAATCATAAATTCAATACGTTTTTACCAAATGAATACATCAAAAAATGACATAATTTTCTACTTTTTCCCAAAAGTAGTTTTCAATGAAGAGAGATAGTCTCCATAGCACATCTGTGAAAAGGACATTGCTATGGTTTTGCTGTGTCCCCACCCAAGTCCCATCTTGAATGGTAGTTCCCATAATCCCCACATATCATGGGGTGAGACCAGGTGGAGATAACTGAATCATGGGAGCAGTTTCCCCTGTCCTGTTCTCATGATAGTGAATTAGTTCTCACAAGATCTGATGGTTTTATAAGGGGCTTCCCCTTTACTGGACTCTCATTCCTCTCTCTCTTGCTGACTTGTGAAGAAAGACATGTTTGCTTCCCCTTCCACCATGATTATAAGTTTCCTGAGGCCTCCCCAGCCATGCTGAACTAAGTCAATTAAACCTCTTTCCTTTGGCTGGGCACAGTAGCTCATGCCTGTAATCCCAGCTCTTTGGGAGGCCAAGGCAGATGAATCACTTGAGGTCAGGAGTTCGAGACCAACCTGACCAACGTGGTGAAACCCTGTCTCTATCAAAAATACAAAAATTACCCAGGCGTGGTGGCATGTCCTGTAATCCAAGCTACTCAGGAGGCTGAGGCATGAGAATTGCTTGAGAGCCCATGGGGCAGAAATTGCAGTGAGCCAGGATCATGCCACTGCATGGTAGCCTGGGTGATAAAGCAAGACTCTGTCTCAAAAAAAAAAAAAAAAGCAAAACTCTTTCCCTTATAAATTTCCCAGTCTCAGGTATGTCTTTATTAGCAGCATAAAAATGGACTAATACAGATGTCTTCCTTTCACATGACATTCAAACTTTTTCCACCTCTATATATTGAGCAAATCAAGTCACATCTCTCTCCATTTCAGAATACAATTTCCTTAATTATAAAATGAAAAGTGAATGTCAATACTGACTACTAGCAACTTAAACAGGTTCACATACATGAGCCAGCTGGTCTCTAAGACCCAGCCCAATTCTAACATTCCAGCCACTCTAGTTCTCAGGTCACCCACTCCTGGCTTATGCAGATAGCAGGAATTTCCTTGGTGTGGTCAGAAGAACCAGGTGACAGCTGGGGCTTTCAAGTAAGTCACCAAACAAAGAAATAAAGGAACCGGAAGGTTTTGTCACTCACAGAAAAATCCCCACCACCAACCTCCATGTGCACAAAACTTAAAGTTATTTTAACTCATTTGGTGGCAAAGACTGACCTAAATGAAATGCTACGAGTGTAATTACTATCCTAATTTAATCCATTTCCTATGAATATTTGTATGTGTTGCCACAAAAAGAGGAAGGTATTTGATTACAGGGTTCTGCCACATATTACATGATATATATGCACCATATTACTTTTCTAAAATCTGAAAGATGTCTAAGTTTCTAAACACATCAGGCCCCAACATTTTTATATAAAAAATTGGGTATTATCCTCAATTTATAGAGGAGGAACATGGAGGCTCAGAGAAGTTAATTTGCCCAAAGTCACATAACTAGAATACAGTAGAGTCGGGATTTGAACCCAGGTCTTTTGACCCCAATGTCATGTCCTACTCTTAAGCAGCTAATTTTCTAGCAAGGAAGACAAAACATGTACATAAATAAGTACAGCATAAAGGAGAAGGTGAATGAGTGCCTTAAGAGTGGTACAAAATTCTGTCAAAATTCAAGGAAGAGTAATTACTCTGGCTGGATTGTTCAAGAAGGGCTTTGTATGAATTCTTTTTCACAAATATCACTCCTGACAGAGCTCAAGAAGTTTTGGCCACCAGGCCTGCTGTTATCTCAGCAATCCAGGGCTAGCAAAGGAAACTGGGGAATACCCAAAGACTGGTACCAAAAATGAGGCTGAATGTTTGAGGTTGCATGGTGTGGGGTGAGCAGGGAGGGTAGCTTGGGAGATAAATCAGCTGGCAGAAGCAGGAGCTTATTGAAGACAATGGGGCTGCTCAAATATGCTCTCTAAAGATTATAGCAAATACACTCTCTAAAGATTATAGCAAATATGCTCTCTAAGGATCATAGCAAATATGCTCTCTAGAGATCATAGCAAGCTTAGGTTCAGGCAATCTTCAGAATCAAGAAGACTAATATGGCAGTTGACATCAGAGAAGGATCCAGGGAAGAACCTGAAAGCCAGGGAGGGCAACTGAAGTTCTGTTTAGTCAGCAGCAGGGCTACCCATCTGCAGGTAGAGTTCACTAGGAGTGAGACTATGTCTAGGGTAGTCAAGTAAGATGGTAAGTTCTAGTCAGGATAACAGAAAAGCTTAGCAACATATTCTGAGTCATCATGGGAGAATACAATGGACCCCGTAACTCACGGGCTCAAAGGGTCATGATAGATTCTCTGAGTTCAGGCCTGACACATAGACATACTGGATCTGAATCCAACTGAAGACTCAGGGAGTCAGGGACTTCCATTTTTGCAAAATGGTAGACAAGAGATCATGAAATCCTCCAACCATAAAAATGCTTAAGATATATATACATTATTATTTACATAATAATGATACCTATAATATTATTTTGTATGTAACAGACAGTAATCATGTAAAATATATTATGCAATATAAAGTATATAAATTGTATAGGTATATAGACATATATTAATCCATTTTATAAAATAAGTGAAATAGCCCAAGACCAGCTAAGAAGCAGAGGCCATGAGCAGAGAAGTGTAAGAGCACTGATGCAGCCATTGTGCAGAACAGGAAACTGGATTGGTGATCCATCCACATAGGATTCACTAGGGGGTTATTCTCTCAGGAAAATAGTAAACTAAAAGAGAGTCCATCCACCAGTGACAAGCACAGAGGAAACCTTGGCTCTAGATAGGAGTTAAAAGAAACAAAACAACATACTCTTCCTCTGAGATTTCATAAACCCAAATTGGCCACACACAAGACGTAGCGGTTAGAAATCACACTATCTGTGTGGCCCAGAAAACCTCAACGAGAATATCATTTAACGCGGACCCAAGTCCATGATGCTCACAGGTAACTGGCAAAGACAACTGGAAATCCACCCCAAGAAATAAACCCTCAACCCAGGTCTCATAGTACTCCCTCAGAGATAATTCCAAGAAATACGAACTCACAATCAAAAATCGCAAAATCTACCAGGGGAAAAGTACCTTTGAACCAGAGTCATCAGCAGCAACAAACATTAGAACACAGACCCATAAAGGCTTCAGATAATTGAACTATCAGATACTAAATGAAAGATAAGTATATTTAATATTTTTAAACAAATAATTGAAGCTATGAATAAAAAGGAAGAGACCATCTACAATGAAGAAAAGACCAGATATGTTTGAAAAAGAACAAAATAAAACTTCTTGCCTTGGAAATAAAGTAATTGTTATTTAAAACTCAGTGAAATCATGAGGATACAGTCAGGCACACCCTAAATGCAGGAAAACCTATAGGATAAATTATTTATTCATTCAACAACTAAATGGCAATGGGGAAAAACAAGAGTGGAAACTGTTATAGATTTTGCAAAGATGTAAAGACCTCCACCAAATGCAATATGAGGATCCTGATTCAAATAACTGAATCCAAAATATTGTTAAGAAATTATATTTATACAGAAATTGTTAGAAAAACATAAATATTTATTTTACGTTGACTTTGCTAAAATGGGCTTTCATCTTAGACTTATATTGAAGGACACTATAAGAAACAGTCATATAATAGCTTTCCATGGTTTCTAGTGTAGGAATACTTTCTGGGACAACATCCACTATATTACAGTGTCTGCTTAATGAAGACCTACAGGAGAATTTGCTTTCAAGTCTCCACGGAAAAATGTACTTCTCCTAAACTGATTCGATTTTATCTTGAGACCAATATTCCCAAAACCATGCCTGTTTTTTTTTCCTTTGGTCTTTAGGAAACTCAAATATGCAATCAACCTCAAGCTGTCACCCAGAACCATACAGGATACATCCCCGTGTGCTATTTTATCCTAAATTAGCTTTCCTTTCCCTGGAGTCTTTTAACCATGTAGTTTATACTTTGCACACTTTTTATAATCCACCTCAAGGTTTAAAGTTGTAAACCACCTTGAATTCTTTGTGTTTATTTTAGAGGGAACCCAGGCTCTATGAAAGGTTTTTTGGGGTGATTAGGGATGGCGCATAATGATGTGCTTGTCACACTGACATTTGACAAAAGTATTTCTGCACTTAGCTTTTCACTTCAACTAAGCTATAGCTCTTTAAAGGTACAAACTGTATCTTTTTCATCTTTGCATCATTAATAATGCCTTGCACACTTAAATGATCTGCTTGGGAGACAGAGAACTAGAGCATCATTAAGACTCCACATTACAGTGTTATGCTGTAGGGTTAACTGACAGAAATGAATCCTAAGCCATATTATTAGGAGCCCATGTTTGAATCTTTGCTGGAGATTTCCAGACCTAAGACACAAAGTTCTGGAGATAGACACAACTACTGATCGGTACTTAATAGGCTAATACATTGCATTCTACTCCTAGTTAGATTGAAACTATAATCCAAATTAATATGAGCAATGCAAATCATGGCAAACTCATTATATTTTCTCCTCTTTCTAATCTGTTTCTGAATTTTTGTTCAAACTCTGATATGTTGTTCATCCTAGATCATAGCAGATGGTGATATAATACCTGACTCCATTTGAAGTTCTGTATCTCTCATTTCTGTTTGTAGTAAGACTGGAGGCTAAAAAGCAGAGAGAGACATGATTACGTACTATCAGCATGAGTCTTGAGACCCAAGTAACTACTGCTACAGTGGAAATGAGATATGGGCTCAGTAAGGGTGGCACAGGGTACCAAAAGCAATAACAATATCTGTATCTATTACATATTTTTAAAAAAGAACTTATTCCTATTTCACAAGTGAGGAAACCAAGATTCTCAGAGGTTAATTAACTTCCCTGAGGTCCACAATTAGAAAGAAATTGAACCAGAATTTGAACCTGGAAATATGTAATTCTAATGTTTCTTCCATACTACTGTGCCATCATTATAAGTATCACAAAAGAAGTATAAACAATGTATTTGGGAGTGTGAGGAAATCAGAACATCAGGGAGGAAAGAGAGAGGGATGGAAATGAATTGACAACAAGTGGAAGAAAGACAGAAAAGGAAAGTGATATTTATTGAGCAACTACCAGGAGCCAAGCACTTTTACATACAGTATCTTGTTTCAGTTACATAACTACTTTGTTTGGAGGACATTTTTGTCTACAGACAAGACTCAGAAAAGAAAAGTGACATCCCCAAGGTCACACATGGAGTAAATACATAGATGGGAATCAAATCTGCATCTTGTGACCCCACGTTGGGGGCTAAAGGCTCTTCTTTTTCAAGTGATCTTGGGTAAGTACACATCTCTAGGCCTCAGTTCCCTCACGTGTTAAGGTTGGGTTGTTTTGAAGATTAAATAAGATGATCCATGAAAAAGGCTTAGCACAGTACCTGTCTCACAGAAAGGGCTCAGTTAAATTTAGCTGTGGTTGCTGTTACTGTTATATTCCACTGTGGCAGCTTTGGTAGGGAGAAGGTATTATTCCTAGACCTCAATTCAGTTTGCAGAAAAGTATGATGTCTCCTAGAGAGTGTTCCCAAGCTGGCCCTTTCTCAAACACAAAGCATCTTTGCCCTCTTATTCCTGTGACTTCTGTTCATATCTGTCTGACCAAATCTCAAGGACCAGGCCGGGAAGGAGCTAAACCTGGGCTATAGCCAGTCAGAGCTTCCTTACCTAGCAGGACTAGGTGACCCACCATCTTGGCTTCCCCAGGATTGAGGGGTTTCTCAGGACACAGGACTGTCAGTGCTGAAATTGGGACATTCCCAGGAAGGTACAGTCATCCCTCAGTATGGAGGATTGGTTCCAGGACCCTCCATGGATACCAAAAATCCATGGATGTTGAAGTCCCTGATATAATGTGGTGTAGCATTTGCTCATAATTTACATATATCCTCCCATATACTTTAAATCATCTCCAGATTACTTAGAATACATAATACAATGCAAATGCTATGGAAATAGTTGTCATACTGTACTTTGATTTGTATTAATTTTTATTGTCATGTTATTACTTTTTATTGTTTTCCAAAATACACTTCAGTCCACGGTTGGTTGAATCCACAGATGTGGATTCCGAGGGCCGTGTGTACTGACAGGAGAGCTCAGTGGCTAGGCCAGAGAGGGATTCATCTACCATGGGGTTAATAGTTCCATGCAGAGGTGGCCTTAATATAGCACCAAGGAGCAAGGTGCCAGGCTGAAAGGACCAGAAGGGGACAGGTAGAAGATGAGATGGGGTTGGGTGCTGGGGGTTCAGGAGCCGTCTTGTGGATACAGCCCATCTGAGATAAAGTTTCTCTTAGCCTAGGCCAGGAAGGCCTCTCCAGTTTTGGAACATATTTTAACAGCACCAGAACTGCCCTGGCAAACGTCTGACTCTATCAATTTGTTCAAGACAAAGGGTTTGGGGTTTTTTTTTTTTTTAATCTTTTCACCCACATCCATCCACAGCACAAAATTTTGAAATTCATGATTCTGGACCACAGCTTCTCTCCCTACCTTGAGCACTAACAGTGTTTTTGGTATCTTTACCCCTGTTTTAGGTTCCAGCATTCTAAATTTTGCCCATCCTATCAAAATCTAGAAAGGCCCTGCAATCATTTATTTAATCTATTAGTGTGTCTTAAAGCCAACGAGTTACTTTTCCCAGGTATATTTCATCTTACTTTCTTCTACGTCTCCAATTGTGAAATGACTTGCTCTCCTAATAATGGAATTTCAAGCATCAGAGAGTATAAAGCAGGTGTGTGCAGGAAGCAGAACAGCTCTCCCTAACCTTCACCACCATCATATTACATGGAGTTTAGACTCAATAACTAAATCTAATTCAGAATTGCAGCCAACTGGTTGAAAAAATGAGTGAAGCTTATCTTCTTTTAAAATTGTATTCATCTGACTGAATATTTTTTCTAGAACTACAATAGAAACATAGATTTTTAAAAGTTATTCCCTGAGTTCAGAAGACATCTTTTCTGATAGTTCACTAAAAACATGGGTTGTCCTTTGCTCTGTGACGAAGGCTGCCAGAAGTCCTTGCAGTTTGCCACTTTCAGAAATGGTCCTTTATCTCTTCTGAGCATGGGGATGTTCAAAGGCCCATTTCTCCTGCCAGACAGCAGCCTAAGCACAGAGGAAAAAACAATTTGGAAACCAAACTACTGGCTAGAGAGCACAGCATCCCAAGAGCAGTTTTTCCAGGCACAGCTAGCATATCATTCTAGTGTGGAGGTGGAACAGGATGGCAGAGGGTTTTTGAAAGTTTTCTTCATGTTACTTTTTATACTTTTTATCGAAGTATTTTCTAGGTGTACAGAAATACACAAATCATAAGGGCACAGCTCACATTTTGTTTTTTGGGTTTTTTTTGTGCAATTTTTCTTTATTATACTTTAAGTTCTAGGGTCCATGTGCACAACGTGCAGGTTACACATGTATACATGCGCCATGTTGGTGTGCTGCACCCACTAACTCGTCATTTACATTAGGTGTATCTCCTAATGTTATCCCTCCCCCTTCTCCTCACCCCACGACAGGCCCCGGTGTGTGATGTTCCCCCTCCTGTGTCCAAGTGTTGTCATTGTTCAATTCCCACCTATGAGTGAGAATATGCAGCGTTTGGTTTTCTGTCCTTGCGATACTTTGCTGAGAATGATGGTTTCCAGATTCACCCATGTACCTGCAAAGGACATGAACTCATCCTTTTTTATGGCTGCATAGTATTCCATGGTGTATATGTGCCACATTTTCTTAATCCAGTCTATCATTGATGGACATTTGGGTTGGTTCCAACTCTTTGCTATTGGGGCACAGCTCACATTTTGTTTAAAAACTGAAGAAACCCAGGTATCTAGCACCCATATCAACAAACAACATATTAGTGAATTAGTACTTCATGAACCACTCAGAAATAAATCATTATCTTGATTTCTAAAACTATAGCTTATTTTGTTCATTTTTGAAATGCATATAAATGAAATTAATCAATATATACCCTTTTTTCTAGTTGGCTGGCTTCTTTCACTCAGTATTATCTTGTGAGATATTGTTGTATGTAACAGTAGTTCATTCATTCTTATTGCAGTATAATCTACTTTTAAATGAACATACCACAATTTATTTTTCATGCTATCACAAATGGCCATTTGGGTAGTTTCTAGCTTGAGACTACTACCAATGGTACTGTTATGAACTTTCTGATACATGTCTTTTGGTGAACATACGTATGCATTTTGGTTGGGTATATATGTCTAGGGGTAAAATTGCAGGCTTATGGAGTATGCATATTTATATTTAACTTCAGTAGATATTGTCAGACCATTTTCAAAGCCTTAGAGAACAATTGATAATAGAGTCACAGATTGAGAATAAATTCTGGAAATGCAATGAGCACATTCCCTGGTCTTTGGCTGACTTGCATTAACATTGACTCCACTGGGCACAAATCTCTTATTAAAGAAGGTACACACCCCCTCTCCATACTTCCTTTTCTAATCATAACTTGGTAAAAAAGCAGCCATGAAATTACCCCAAGGTAGAGATGTTGTCTTTTTACAAGCCCCTAAACTCCTGGCCCCAAGCTGGCCATGTAGTAGACAACAGTCTGAAATGCTAGAAAACAGAGACCAGAGTTGGGCTCAGTCACCCACTAGCCAGACTTTTAGCTTCTCATTTAGCCTGAGTGTCTTTGTAAATGGAACTTGCCCAAGACTTGACAAAAATGGGATTATATTAGTTTCTTAGGGTTGCCATAACAAAGTACTACAAATTAGTATGCTTAAAATAAGTGAAATATATTATCTCACAATTCTGGAGGCCAGATGTCCAGAATCAAGGTGTCTGCAGGCTGGTTCCTTTTGGAGGCGCTAAGGAAGAATCTGTTGCATGCCTCTCTCCTACCTTCTGGAGGGTGCTGGCACCTCTTGACATTCCTTGGCTTGCAGCTGCATAACTCCAATCTCTGCCTACATCATTACGTGGACTTCTTCCCTGTGTGTCCCTCTCTCTGTGTGTCCTCTCCTCTTCTTATAAGGATCTCAGTCATATTGGATTTAAGAACCCTCCTAATTCAGTAGGACCTCATCTTAATCTAATTAAATCTTCAAGGACCTTATTTCCAAATAACAACACATTCTGAGGTTCTGGCTTGCCACGAATCTTGGCGAGACACTATTCAACCTGGTACAGGGACAGCCAATAAATTCTAATAATTATTATTATGTACTATTTTTGTTATTTGACTGATGGATGGAGGGACCTTTCATTCATTAACTCTACAAATATTTGTTGAGTGCCTACTATGTGCTGGGCACAGTTATAGCTGATGGTCACACACTCCCTGCTTCCATGAAGGTTATATGCTAAGGGAGTGGGAGGGAGATAAACAATCTGTCAACAGCCATGTAACTTGTCAGATGGTGAGGAGCACTAAGAAGAAAAGGAAAGCAGGAAAAGCGTATCTAAGCATTCTGACTTTGTTTCCTCCATTCTATTTTGTATGAGACCTTCTCCTGCTTTGGGGCTTTGTTGTTGTTGTTGTTATTGTTTTTGTTGTTGTCTCAGCCCTTTGTGGCGTTCTTCGCAAAAGATGACATGAATTTTTCTATCTCAAAATGGGAAAACCCATTCCAGATAGCATTTTCCATTACAGTGGAATAATTAATTATGATTATTCCTTAAACTAGAGACCTGTATAACTGAGGAAATTGTTTCAAATGAAAGAATAGCTCACAGGGTAGGAGGTAAATCGAATTCCACAAGTGATAATAAGAGAGAGCAAAAAGAGGGCAGCTATGTATCAGGCCACATGAATCATTCACTATAAATCCAGATGTTCGTGAAATGAAAAACAGGCCAAGTCCATGACCTTGTGAACTGATGTAAGAACTAGTTAAAATATGATGGGAGAATAAATATCGTGGAAATATTTTTCAAGTCATGAAAAGGCCATTTATCTGTCACCTAAAACATGTAAGAGATATAAAAATATTAAAGATTTTATTTTGAGCTGCCATCAAAGTACTTAAATTTTTTAGCAACCAAAGTTTCAATTATTATAAATCAGTAGCACAGCATGAGTGGCTTGTTATATCATTGTAGAGAGAAAAACACTTTGTTAAGCTCGTTTCCAAGGAAATGAAACGCTTTTCAGACATGTCATTAATGCTCATAAAATCCCCTGGAGCCAAGTAGAGGGCAGATGTTATTTTTCAGAATGGTCACAGACCATCAATAGAAGGAAATTTCATTTAATTGTTTGAGTATTTATTTGCTTACTTGTACTTCAAGGGACCTATTTAAGAAAGGAGACTGAGGTGATCTGTATTATTTAAAATATATCAAACAACATACAGAGCATTGCACTTTAAAAAAAAAAAAAAGGGAAGGGGCCGGGCACAGTGGCTCACGCCTGTAATCCCAGCACTTTGGGAGGCCGAGGCGGGCGGATCACCTGAGATTGGGAGTTTGAAACCAGCCTGACCAACATGGAGAAACCCCACCTCTACTAAAAATACAAAATCAGCCAGGCGTAGTGGCGCATGCCTATAACCCCAGCTACTCGGGAGCCTGAGGCAGGAGAATCGCTTAAAGCCAGGAGGCAGAGGTTGTGGTGAGCCGAGATTGCACCATTGCACTCCAGCCTAGGCAACAAGAGCGAAAAGTCCGTCTCAAAAAAATAAAAAGAAAAAATAAAATTAAAAATGGGAGGGGAAGGATACATGGAGAATTAACCTATCACAAACAGAAGCAACACATCAGTAAAGTAGAAACTTTCTCCTCCTATAAATTCATGAATCAAAGAATCCTGAACCCCCACAGCTCCTCCTGAGTTTGTACCAGCCCAGACTTTATTTCCATACCTTATTTTCTACACAACCCAGAACACTGCTAGTGCCCCAATATTCCACCCCAACCTCCCGTTTTTGCCCCCTCTCCTACCCACTACACTTCCATTCTATATTTCTAAATCCCACATTTCTCTTCATCTTCCTTGCATTGCTCCATTTCCTTTCTGGATACATAAACCACTCTTCTTATCCTCTTCCCATCACTACCATTTTCTGGGAAATGACGTCCCTGCCTACCATGCATTCCCAGCTTCTGTTCTCATTCTTCACATTGAAACCCCCTGCTCCTAATCTGCTTACCCTACTTCTAGTCTTGCAAGTCTCCCCTACCTGTCCAGGGAAGTAGAGGTCATTCTGAATGCACAAAACGCAGCAACAGTAGTCAGGTTCTCACAGCTCTTCTTCCTATGATAGGTACAACTATGAGTCTATGAGGCCTAAAAGACAATTCTGAATTCCTCAGTGTGTTCATTCACAGAATCACTCCTTAAGGAAATATCTATTGAGCAGTGTTGGGTGAGAAATTCCCATGACACAATGGTAGTCCCCAAGTACACTACCTGACAAGCTCTCCCAGAGGTCATGGAACAGAAAGGCTCTCAGACCACATGAAAATGCTTATATCATATGGTTCATTACGTCAATTTAAAGCACATAGTGAGTAGCAAGGGGAAAATACATGGTGTAAATTATCACACATACGACAGAATGAAAGCAGGTGGAAGAACTATACAACCTAAATTCTGGGTTTTGCCTTTTCCACCAATGGTATTATTGTGAGGGCCAGAGTTGAGGTTTGAGCAAGAGGACCCAACAGACAAAGGTGCCAGGGGTCAAGAACACGTACATTTGCTCTATCAGATAGACCCAGGAGCAAGTCCACTTGGGTAACTTGACAGTTACCCTATTGAGCAGCCATGAATTATATCTGTACCTCTTGGGTAGAAGACACATGGGGACAAATGGGTGTGACAATGGGGATTCAAATTAAGACATTATAAATATTCAGTACTGAGACAGCCGGGTGGGAGGGGTTCCCTGGCAAAATGCCAGCTGGCCTGCACACTGAGAGGAATGCACACTGGAGTGGAACCACAGAGGTTCCTGCCATTTGCAGCGGGGAGGAGCCTGGCCCCTCCTCTTCCTGTGTGGACCTGGGATTCAAACTGTGGGTGGGAAGTGCTCTAGCAGGGACTCTGGCCTTGCAGAGGATCCTGTTTTCCCTTTTCCCCCCTTTTTACCCAATAAAACCCAGCTTTACACACCCTTCAACGGACAAGGACCCTATCTTCAGCTGAACTAAGGAAAAGTCCTGCAACAGTACCTCATGTGTATTTACTGTGTCATGAATATTTAGTAACTACTTGGTCCTTCCACCTCTTTTTGTCTGCATTCACACATGCTCTACTTATTTGTCGACAAGCTACTTGTTATCTGTGCTGAACACATCTTACAAGTTTTATCCATTCTATTTGTTTCCTTCTATAGCAGAATTGAATATTCTCAAACAATATAGCAAAATGTGCATTGGAGCAGCTACTATGTTTCAAACTCTGGGGACAGGAAGAAAATTAGAGCAATGGCACAGCAGTGAGCAAGCACCTGGGGAGGCAGGCAGCAAGAACATCCGGAGAAGTTGATATCTGCCCTGAAACTTAAAGCTGAGTCAGACCTGACTGGGGAAAGCAGAGGGTTACAGCATTTCAGACAGGAGAGGGACGATGTGAGCAAAGGTACTAAGTAGTGAAACACCAGGATACCTGGGAAAAACTAGAGAATCATGCAAAAGTGCAAAACGTGTTCATGGCCAATGGGGCTGAAGAGGAGGCAGGGAGGCCTGGCAGGGAGAAACTGTGCATTCAAGCTGGAGTTTGGACTTTATCCTGGAAAAGATAGGCAGCTACAGACAACGGCAGCAAGCCTGGGCCATTCCCAGTGGGTCTTGGTGACGGAGGCTTCAGGCTGAGGAAGTGGTGGGAATCCAATATGGTTGGGAGACAGGCGGGGACAGACAGGGACTGGGCGCCATGTCTTGGGGAGTGGAGGAGCATGGTTCAGCACCAGCCCCTTTCCCCTCATACTTTCTGCTGTTGATGGAGCTGTGTGGGCTTTGTTTGTCAGAACTGTCTCAAAGTAAATGAAGCGGGTTTCACCTCCTTCCTTTCCAGCAGCTGATGGATGATCTCAGGCAGTGGTACCCACATTGGACACTGTGTCATTCCACATTACTGGTCCTGCCTGGCTTCTTGAGGAATGGGGCCAACTCAACTCAGTTTTGATTTCACAAAGGGGCCTCTTTGCTCCACTCATTACAGATAAGCCCCTTTTCTGAGCCCCTTTTCAACCAATGCTGATTAGGCTGTATTTATATTTGTAATAAAAGGGTAAACATGTCCAAATGTCTTCAAATATCCACAGACAGAATCATCAGAAACTAGCTAGTCTAACTTGAAACTCCTAACCTATAACCTGGGGGCAAGGAGGGGTGGCAGGAAAGAAAAAACTATATATCTGCGAATTATAAACTATGTGCTTCTTAGTTCTCAACACAAGCTCAAATTCCAATGGGCTGATCCATTCTCTCATTCATTCACTCACCATTCTTTGAGCCGCTACTCTGTGAGCAGCACAAGTATGTGGGTACCAGGAGACAAACAGGGTTTGAAATGTAAGCAACCAGAAGCTAATCTATGGAAAAATGTTTTCAGCCATCATATGTGTAAAATTCTAAGGAGGGGAAATGTAGAGGGCAACATATTAGGACAGCATGTCAGGCAGCTAATCAAAAAAATATTCAGTTACTTTTCTGCATTATTACGATACGTATGGTAGTTGCCAGCACTTATAAAAGTGTAATATTGTGTGACTTCTTTTCTTATGCTAAATAAGTATTCACTTTCATATTTAATTTCTAAGTGGGCCCTGAAAACTGCACTAACAGGCCTCGTAGTGGACTGGTCTACAGCCTGGGGCTTGGGGACTCCTAGACTAAGGGAAGCAGATATACCAGAAACTTTTGTTATTGTTGTTTTTTTGTTTTGTTTTTTTTCTTTTAAGTTCAGGGGTACATGTGCAGGATGTGCAGATTTGTTACATAGGTAAACGTGTATCATGTCCCTGCAAAGGACATGATCTCCTTCCTTTTTATGGCTGCATAGTATCCATGGGGCATATGTACTACATTTTCTTTATCCAGCCTATATTGATGGGCATTTAGGTTGATTCCATGCCTTTGCTACTGTGAATAGTGCTGCAATGAACATACGTGTGCATGTGTCTTTATAACAGAACAATTTATATTCCTTTGGGCATATACCCAGTAATGGGATTGCTGGGTCAAATGGTATTTCTATCTCTAGGTCTTTGAGGAATCGCCACACAGTCTTCCACAATGGTTGAACTAATTTACACTTCCACCAACAGTGTAAAAGTATTCCTTTTTCTCCACAACCTCTCCAGCCTCTGTTATTTTTTGACTTTTAGTAATAGCCATTCTGACTGGTGTGAGATGGTATCTCATTGTGGTTTTGATTTGCATTTCTCTAATGATCAGTGATGTTGAGCTTTTTTCCATGTTTGTTGGCCGCATGTATATCTTCTTTTGAGAAGTGTCTGTTCATGTCCTTTGCCCACTTTTTAATGGGGTTGTTTTTTTCTTGTAAATTTGTTTAAGTTCTTTATATATGCTGGATATTAGACCTTTGTCAGATGCATAGATTTCAAAAATTTTCTCCTATTCTGTAGATTGTCTGTCTACTCTGTTGGTAGTTTCTTTTGCTGTGCAAAAGCTCTTTAATTAGATCCCATTTGTCAATTTTTGCTTTTGTTTCAATTGCTTTTGGCATCTTTGTCATGGAATCTGTGCTTGTGCCGATGTCCTGAATGGTATTGCCTAGGTTTTCTTCTAGGGTTTTTATAGTTTTGGGTTTTACATTTAAGTTCTTAATCCATCTTGAGTTGGTTTTTATGTATGGTGTAAGGAAGGGGTCCATTTTCAATTTTCTGCATATGGCTAGCCAGTTCTCCCAACACCATTTATTAAATAGGGAATCCTTTCCCCATTGCTTGCTTTTGTCAGGTTTGTTGAAGATCAGATGGTTGTAGGTGTGCAGCCTTATTTCTTGGTTCTCTATTCTATTCCATTTGTGTATATAACTAGAAACTTTTGTAGTAATGAGTGGGAAGTACAAACTAAGAGACTCAAGACATAAAATGAATAAATCACTACATGCAGTGTCTGTAGATTATTGTACGAGATGGACAATGATCCTGCGAGTTTCTTCCATTTCTGCAGTCCCATTCTGATGGACAAAGTTACTGCAAAAGTCCTTCACACATAGATCATGTGTCATTTAGGATGAGATGCTTTGGGCAGAAAACCTGATTCAACTAGCTTAAGCACACAAAGAATTAATGTTCTTATATAACAAGAAGTCAGAGGTAGTGTCACGGGATCCTTGGGATGTCACTTCACCAGCTGGAAGCCTCTGTGGCTGGTGGTGCCTTTGCCCAAGTTTTTACTCAGGCCCTCTGGGATCATTCTGCCCACTCAGCCTAGCAGGCTGCGCTCAGCTCATGCTACCAGCCTAAATTTCATGCCGGCCAAGGGTGAGCCAAGCACGGAGCAGCAAGGTGTGCGTGAGGAAGCGAGCATGGGATCTAGCCACTGTGCATAGCCAGGTATGCCATCTGCAGTGGGGCAGGCAGCTCCAGGCACCAATACGGGCACTGGCTCCCTGCGAGGATGCAGCTGGACCAGGTATCCTACAAGCAGCTTCCATGGCTGGCACCAGGGAATGTGGTGGTGCCTGGAAGCTTGGAGACCCCAGGAACCACAGAGCCCCGGAGAGGGTGTCATAGTCCTGGCTCAGGGAGCTCCTAGGCCTGAGCTCCTCAAAAGGCCATAGCACTTCTCTCCTTCTCTCGTCTTCTTGTCACTCACAATGTGGTGAGCAAGGGCATGTTTCAGCCCTGTTTGTATTATAGCTGTTTTATCCCCACCATTCAGCAGGTCCTGAGTTCTTGTCCTGTGTCCAGGAAGAATGAGGTACACATACAAGTAGAGGGTGAGCAAGGTGAATACAAGCTTTATTGAGCAGCTGAATAGCTCAGAGGAGACCCGCAGTGGGTAGCTCCTCTCCATAGGCAGGGCGTCCTGATGAGTATTCAGCTTTCAGCAGGGAGGAGGCCCACATTGGGCAGCTCCTCTCCACAGCTGGTCATCTGGTCATCTCCTGGAGTCTAGCTGAGTCCAGGGTGTTTTACAGGCTTCAGAGGGGAGGAAGTACATGCTGATTTGTTCAGGGATGGCCATGAGCAGGCCCAGGAAAAGCACCATAAGTTCCCTTTCTGGTGCATCAGCCCAGATCCCAGGCTTCAGGCTGTCCCTGGCGTGAAGGTGGGGCTTCACGAGCCTCTTTCCACCCAGCAGCCTGTCTGCCTCCTGCCATCACCCAGGCTGTTTGTGCCAAGGGGTGCCTGCAAGCCTGTGCCAAGCCACCCTTATCCCCAATCAGTGCCCAAAGTCTGGAGGGGTCCAAGGCAGCAGGGGCTGGCATGTCAGCGCTACCCCAAGTGTGCACACACATGGCTGGGTTGCAGTAGCCCAGGTTGCAATAGGCCAAGGCTCAGCCTCAACTTTGCTCCAAGATTGGAACAGGTGCAGGGAGCTGGGGGACGCCAGGCAGCAGGACCAGGTACTTCTGAGCCTGTGGGGACAGGGGAGCTTTCCACCCCAAAGAGGGCAGAGACTCCAGGGCCTGCAGGCTTGGCTGGGTGGCAGCAGCTGCACCCAGGTTGCACAAGGTTCCCACCCTGTGAACTTGGAAGGGGATGGGGCTTCCACCTGTTCCCCACTCCCACCGGCTTGCACCAGCTCCATGGAGGGCCCAGCCCCAGCTGTGCCTCCCCAGCTGCAGTCAGCACCATGTCAGTGGCTGCTCCAGATGGGACCACTGGTCCCATCAGTAGGGCAATTCTAGGGCTGGTTAATTTAGCAACTCAACAAATTTTTCCCCTCCACCTTCCTCAGTGTGAGACCTTCCAGTTTGGCTTCCCCTCATGGTCCCATGATGCCACTTCAGTTTCAGATAACATATGTTGAAGGCATTGTCCAAAGACAGAAAAGGGCCTGCCTCCTCTCACATGTGGCTTTTTTAAAAGTCAGGTTTATGAATACAAAAGTGACAGTAAAATTAATCATTTCTAAATGTATAGTTTGATGAGTTTGACAAATGTATACAGTCATGTAGCAATCAAGGTAGAGAACATTTCCATCACACCAAAAATTCCCTCGGGTCTGCTTGTAGTCAGTCCCTTCTCTCAATCTGAGCACCTGGCAACCACTAATTTGATTTCTGTCCCTGTAATTTTCCCTTTGCAAGGATTTCAGATAAATATAATGATACATTAGGTTAGCCTTTTGTGTCTTGCTTCTTTTATTAAGCACAGTGCACTTGAGATTGTTCCATGTTGCAAATATCAGTAGTCTATTCTGTTTTATTGCTGAGCAGTATTCCATTGTATAGCTATACCATAGGTTTTTATCCATTCACCAGTTAATGGGCATTTGGGCTGTTTCCAGTTTGAGCTACTATAAATAAAGCTGCTATGAACATCCACAAACAGGTATTTGTGTGGACATATGTTTTCATTTCCCTCTAGTGGGATTGCTAAGTTGGACAGTTAACACACTCTGCTTTTTAAGAGCAAGTAAACTTTTCCCAGAAGTTCCTCTGTGTCTTGGGTCACATGCCCCTTCCTAAGCCAGTCACTGGCAGAAAGAACAGAAAGAAATTCATCAAAATCCCTTCTCATGGCTCTGGGGATAGGGCAATCTTTCCCAACTATATATTTTCATGTGGAAAAAAAATCCATGCTCTTTAAGCAGGAAAGAAGAGAAAAATAGGTTTAGACAAGCAACCAACAACAGCTCACCCAAGAAACACCTTACCTCTGGACATATTATTATATTAGATCATTGGTTCCTTATTTTGTAAGCCACTTGAATCAAATTTTCTGCCAAAAGCATCCTAAATGGCACACGACCTATGTGCCTGCACCCATTTTACCAACCAGAGGGACTATCGTGACTTACACCTTGTAACCATGGGGTGCTAGCCACAGCTAATAGGACCACATGCTGATCAGCGACTCATAAGGGGCCCAATGAGGCGTTCTACACTGGATTTGACTGAACCAAAACAGATACTCTCTCAGAGGGTTTGAGTTCAAGACATCGGGAAAGAGAATGAGTAGAAGAACAGCAGCAGAATGGAAGACAGACACAGGAAAAACGAGCAGAAAGCACAAGGGAAAGAGAGTAGAGGGATTTCTCACTGATGCCAGAGTGAGAAAGTGGATCCAGGTGATGAGAGAAGCAGCCGAGATCAGCAGAATCATCTGTAAGACCCGGTCATAGGATTCGGGAGCACTGGCGTCACTTCTGGGAGAGGATAAGATGCCTGCTACCACAGCAGCTGTGTATCTAGAACGTCCTCCACTTTTGTTGAGACTGCTAGGGTGGTTGCCAGTCTCTTGGATTTCCCCAAGTGTCCATATACCGAATCTGCCACCTGAGATGACCTTAGGTGACCAAGACTAGCCTTGTCCTTTGCCCCGAGCTCACTCACTTCACAATCTTCTAATCACAGTATGCCTAACTGCCTCCCTGAGGCCAACATATACAATGAAAACTTAGTCACACATACAACAACACATCCCTCCTAAGCATCATCAAAAGGGCAGAGACCAGTGTATGTGACCAGACTGACCAACATTCCCTGAGAGCTTACTCAGAGTTAGGCACTGTTACGTATCTTACCTGGGTTAACTCACTGAATACTACAAACGCTGTCACATAGGTAATATTATTGTTCCCATTCTACCGACAAAGAAACTGACACCAAGCACTCAAGTAATTTGCTCAGCATTCACAGCCAACGCATGGCACAGCCTTTACCTAGGGGTGAGCAGCTCCCACTGCCGGCCTAGGATCAGGGACCCTGATGGAGGCAGAGCACAGCAAGTGGCAGGGAAGGTGAAGAGCATCTCAGTCCCACTGGAAGCTGTGGTACTTGTCCAGGAACTCCAAAAGCAGGACTGCAAGGAGCCCAAGCAACACACAGCACACACACATTTCCAACGCTCCAGCCCTGGAAAATGTCACTCACTTCAGAGTCCTGGCCCCAGGATTGAGTTGAATCTCAGGCCAAGACGAAGCAAGCAATTTAGACTGAAGAATTTGTTCTCTAAGGCCTCACTACTGAGAGTGAGGGCTACGGGCCCGCAGTATGGGCATCACTGGATGCCTGTTGGAAGTGCAGGATCTCAGCCCCGCCCAAGACCTAGTGAATCTGCATCTGGATTTTACAAGACTCACAGGTGATACACATGGACTTACACTTCTAAGATGCTCTGCTCTTATGAGTCCTGGAGGGCTTTGGAACAAAGGATGGTGGTAGGGGAGAAAAGAAGGGCCAGACAGTCCCTGATTTTACCCTCTGTCCAAACCTGACTGGCCAGTATATTTTTCAGCCTTGTGTTTAATGATCTCAGGATGTATCCATCTCTGCACTGTGGGGTTGGTATTTTTGAATGCCCATTTAACAATAAAAGCAGGAATTATTTTTTTTCCTTATGAATTGCTTTATTGAACCTCCTATATGTGTCTCATCTTTTCTTCTTGGCTGCATTGTGTGTTTTTATGTGTGGAAAAAAGCAGGGCTTAAATGTCAGAAGGAAGGGATCAGATTCCCTATCCTCTTGCCAACCAAGAGCACATTTACTAGTCTCTTCCCTCCATTAAACATTAAATGATGTTTATGAAGCACCCACATGGGCCTGGAGCTTTTCTCAGTGCTTGGGGTTGCCAGGTGGCCAACATAAATGGCATTACCCTTTATTTGAACTTTCTACTCTGGTGTTCTTGGAGGCTCTACAGGAACATGAGGAGACCCATATTTAAAGTAAGAACCAAGCAAGGGGATAGACATGACACAGGAGATGTAGTCCCCGACTCTTAATCAATCAGGTAGATCAGTGAACTGATCGTGATCAGTCAGTTATCTTATCTCAGTTCCCCATAAGCCCTGCCCAACAGCTGTCCTTAACTTCTCTAGCCATCTCCCACCCTGGCTGAACTCTGCCTGCTCCTTATTGCCCAGAGGAGAATTTGACAACCCATCAAGAGCTCAAAAGAGTGTCAAAATAAATCAACTTTTCCTATTAAAATCTCACAGATAGAGTGACCAGACTCACTAACTCAGTATTGGGGTTTATGATTTTATAATGGGAAAGTACTTTTTTTTTTTTTTTTTTGAGACGGAGTCTCGCTCTTTCACCCAGGCTGGAGTTCAGTGGCGCAATCTCGGCTCACTGCAAGCTCCACCTCCCGGGTTCACGCCATTCTCCTGCCTCAGCCTCCCGAGTAGCTGGGACTACAGGCACCCGCCACCGTGCCCGGCTGATTTTTGAATTTTTTAGTAGAGACAGGGTTTCACCGTGTTAGCCAGGATGGTCTCGATCTCCTGACCTCGTGATCCACCTGCCTTGACCTCCCAAAGTGCTGGGATTACAGGCAAGAGTCACTGCGCCCCGGCCGGAAAGTACATTTTAAACCAGATGGGCCTAAAAGTCCAGATTGTAAGGTCATTATAATTGCAAACCAGATAAGTATAAAAATTGACACTTTAAGCTTGATGCAGTGGTTCACACCTGTAATCCCATCACTTTGGAAGGCTGAGGTGGGTGGATCACTTGAGGTCAGGAGTTCAAGACCAGCCTGGCCATCATGGTGAAACCCTGTCTCTACT
This sequence comes from Homo sapiens, assembly GCF_000001405.40. Lineage (NCBI taxonomy): Eukaryota > Metazoa > Chordata > Mammalia > Primates > Hominidae > Homo > Homo sapiens. The sequence goes on from NC_000014.9 coordinate 54,287,040, forward strand.
AAAAATACAAAAATTAGTTGGGCATGGTGGTGGGCATCTGTAATCCCAGCTACTTGGGAGGCTGAGGCAGGAGAATTGCTTGAACCCGGGAGGCAGAGGTTGCAGTGAGCCAAGATCGCACTACTACCCTCCAGCCTAAGCAACAGAGCGAGACTGGTCTAAAAAAAAAAAAAAAAAAAAAAAAAAAAAAAAAAAAAATGGACACTTTATCCTAGAACATGAGATAGAGGATAGGCTTCCATAAAGATGAATCATATTCTCCTTTGTGTGTTCAAATCAGATCTTTCAACATCTTGTTCAGTGTAACAACTGCTAAGTAAACTCACGGGGTATAATTATCTTCCTATCATCACCACGAACTGAGATACATTTATATATAAAAGTAGACTGCTACATCCTCCTCCTCCAAAAGCACCATTAGTAACCAGGCATCCAGGGAAAGCACACGGAGGCTCCTTCACAAGAACTCCTCTGCAGAGAAGGCAGGAAGGAGGAGGAGGAAGGGGAAGTATGTGCGCCACCGGACTCTGGCCCTCCTCTCTCATGCTTCCAGGCCAGCAATGATGAATCTGACGCCATGTGAACGAGATTTGCAGGTGTGTGTAGGAGGCCACCGGGGCAAGCCCGGATGAATGGGAATGTGGGGAGAGGAGGATTTCTGGGACACAAGCAGAAGCAAAGGTTGTGCTTGAATGAGCAAAAATAGGGCAGATGCCTCTTCCTGAGGGAGGGTGGATAGGTCATCCTGCAAGATTTAGAGCCCTGCAATGCAAGACCCTAATACAGTCACCGGGGAGGATATAACACGCAGGATATCCCCTGCGTGAGAGTCAACAGACACTGAGAGTCAGAACTGTCTGATGACTTCGGAAGTCTGCCGAGCCCATTGAAGCTAACTTCACAGCGGCCCAGGACAGACAGCCATCTTGATGGGTCAACTTGAGGCAGGAGGATCACTTGAGGCCACGAAAGCAATGGACTGGATTAGCTAAGGGGTAAGCCACATAGTAGGCATTCAGTAAACAGTTATTGAATGAATGGAAGGGTGGATGTGCCCACGTAAACTTCAGAGTCAATAAGTTGGCCCAAGGACCCTATCCATCTCTTCATCAGTTCATTCAGTACAGAAGTTTTGAGTGCCCACTTTACGTCTCACACTAGGCAGGACCGAACAAGGCAGACTAGATTAGAGGAGAGGTTGGCAAGCTTTTTCTGTAAAAGGCCCGAGGGAAAATAAGTGTGGGCCTGACACTCTCTATAATAGTTACTCAGCTCTGCCACTGTGGCATGAAGGCAGCCATGGATAATATGTAAATGATGAGCATGGCTATGTTCAAATAAAATTTTATTTATGGACACTAAAATTTGAATTTCATATAATTTTTATGTGTCATGATACATTATTTTTCTTTTGTTTTTATTCAGTGATTTAGAGTGTAAAAACCATTCTTAGCTCTTGGGCCCTACAAAAGCAAGTGGACAGCTAAATTTGGTCCCCAGTCTATAGCTTGCTGACCCCTATGGAATAGAGTGACAGGGAAAGAAGGAGGCCTCTGCCAGGAAGGTGACATTCGAGCTGAGACTAGAATGAGGATAAAGAACCAGCCATGCGAAGAGAGAAGGGAAGAACATTTCAAGCACAGGAAAAAGTTGTACAAAAGCCATAAAGAGGGGATGGACTTGATGTGTTCAAGGAACACAAAGATGAGCAGGGTGGCTAACATACAGTGAGCAAGAGAAAGTTGTATGAGATGAGTGCTTCCTGAGGCATATGGTCTCAAAATCAGCTTTTAACAATAATATATACATATACATATACATATACATATACATATGCACAGTGGAATCCACAGCAGAGAGCTATTGAATAGTTGTGAGGGAAAGCAGATCTAGAAAATTCTGTGTCCTGGTTTAATCATGGTTTCAAGAGATAAATATGAAGGCAGTCCCAGTGTCTGTGTCCATCAGCAGCTGTGAAGCTTCTTGTTTGAGGGTACAATTGCAGACTTTGATTCATAGGCATGTCTTTGGACAAAACCGATTGTGACTCTACTGGCCCTGGTTTCTCTTCGTTGTTCAGGGTTGGTCGTTCTTAGGTTTTAAGCAACAGCATCTTTCTGGAAAAACTGTGAGAGAAGCAACTCACAACATGATTTGAGTTTTGTTTCACTTTGAGTGCAAAATGGCTATTTTGAGGTTTACAACATTTTGAGTGTTATGGATTGTTTGATTCCTAGATTCTAAAAAATACTGATTAGCTTGGTATGTTTCACATCAGCTTGGTACCTTTTATGTATTAAGTTATGACAGAATCTTATTATATTCAAATTATGAAAAGTCTTCTGGCATGCCCTATTCAAAAGGAAATAGACTACTCCAGCCATCAACCACACGCCGTGACAACTATGGATACCATCAAAAACTTGATGGCAGGCCTCTGAGAACCTGCTGTACCTCCTCCATCTCGTATTAAATAGAGATAGAGCAAGAGGGGCTGAAAGAGGGAAAGAGCCAGGAGCAGGTGAAAGAAACTCGTTTTTGCAGAGTATTGTTTTGATTTTTTGGCTTCTGGCCTCCATAGCCTTTGACCTTGAGTCAATCCCTGCCCTTGGAGAAGCCATCCTGGTCCACATTTTGCCCTTCATATATGGATGTTGACTTTGTCAATTAACATTACTTGCACAAAATTAAGGCACAGAATAGCATCCCAACCCTTCATGGCCTCAACTGGGGGGGCAAAGCAACTCAGCAGTTTTCTAGTCTTGGCAGCATCAAAAGAGCATCTGCAATCAATTACCATCTTTTCCCCCGTTTCTCACCATCCTTTGCTTAAAAATGGCTAACCCATTTTTTCCCTCATATCCTTATAAAAACACATGCACACACCAACACACACATGTGCTCCCAGGCTGAAATCACAAATGCCAAGGCTTAGCCCAGAGAGAACATTTATGACTGGGTTATACATCCCCAAAAATAGGGGCTTATAATGGAAATACTGACAGATCATTAACTATAATAGCATAAACCAAGGCACAGAATTTTCACATTGTCTCCATTCTGTTTGTGTCAGCAGGATTTCCAGGCCCAGAATCCAGCTGAAGCTCATGAGCTGTGCCTGACTATAGGGGGTAAATTTGAGGGCAAGAGAATAGCCTAGAGAAAACAGCTTGGGACCTACAGAGCCTTCAGGTACAGGATATTCTGCAATGTTTGGATTCAGTAATGATCACAGAAATCTCAGCCACAGAGAAGATACCATGTGGGCTAGAAGCCTAAATCCCTACCAGCAACTCATCTCTAATGACCAATTTCTCCTTGCCGCCCCAGGTGTGACATTTACTGACCTAAAGAAGCAACTTAGAGCAACAAGCCAGCAACTGATAGGTTGAAACTATCCCCTGCCAGGTCTCAGTTCTGGTCCTCATGCTCTCCTTCAAGATCAACCCACTTAAGTTTATCACCAGTGCTTAAAACATTGTCTGACACATAGTAAATGCTCAGTATATGTTTGTTGTCAGATGCATAGACGGATGGACCAGCAAGTTAATGAATAAAGGAATTAGCAAAGGAATATTGGTCTCAGTTTTCTCATCTGTGAAATGAGATGGTTCAACAAAATCAGTGGCTTTCAACTCTGTTTACCCATTGGAATAACCTAGAATCTCTTTACAAAAACACTGATCAGATGCTACGCTCAAATAAGTCAGAATCTCTAGATACAGGGCTGGGGTATCAATAGTTTTAAACGCTCCCCAGGTTTAATACAGAGCCAGGTTTGCAAAGCAGTGAATAAAATAATTCTAAAATTCTGTTCTGGATTTAAAATTCTATGGATCTTAACTAATTTGGGTCATAAAATTCAAGGCCTAGAATTTGTCTCTCCCCAACTCAGAGAAATAAAATCAAGGTAAGTAAAATGACATCAGTAAATTATATTGAGGGAACAATGACCATTTATTGGATTCCTTGGTGCCAAGCACTGTGCATGGCATATATTATCTCCAGTCCCTCTGACAGGTGGCATTATCTCATTATCCCTATTTTTCAGATGAGGAACCTGGGGCTCAGAGATGTTAAGTGAATTATCTAAGTCGGCTCATAAACAGAAACACAGACCTCCTGAGCTGCCACAAGGTGTTATCAGTCAGGTAGCACCCATCTCCTTTTCAGAAATAAATGATGTTCAGCATCAGGCAAAGATTTTATGTTCATCCAGAGTGGAGGAAGAAAGAGAAGGGAGAGGTTTAGGGAGAAAGAATTCCCTCCCACCCTTGTTCCTCTTCAACTTGAAAAAGGACAATCTTGTCTCTCCCCAGGCCTTTAGCTGTCATAGATGAGCCCTGATAAAGGCCTGGGGCCCCCTCCTTGAATTCCTTTGTTCCAGTACCCATCCCATTAGAAAAAGGTCACACATCTTTGGCCCCTTTTAATTTCAGGGGTGGAGAGGTAAAAGCCCAGCCAGGGAACCTGTGCAATTATGAGCAATTACTTAAACGGCTTTCAGACAAGACTTGGCCCTCCACCAGCAGGCACAGGGGCCGGCGTCTCGGTTTTGTAGGCAAGAAGGAGCAACGGTGGGAAGGTTGGGGGCATGGGAGGAGACAGCAAAGCCTTTTGTCACTGCGTTACAAAAAAAAAAAAAAAAAAACAACCCATTGGTATTTCCTGCCACTGCACTAGCTGACACAAACCAGCCCCGTGCAGGGGAACTATTCACTTAAAAGTCATCATTTCCTTAACTTATCTGCCTCTAAAGAAACAAATCTATTAGCAGCAAGAAATCACTCCAGCAGCTTTAACTAAGTACTGCTCCTACTGAAAACACCAAAGCTCTGCCTTCAGCTCACTCCGGCTGGCTGTCCCCTCGCCTCCACTCCTCCCTCCTCCCAGGCAGCAGCTCTGCACTGGCCCAGGTCAGAAGAGTCTCTGACCACTACAGATAACAAGGGCCATTACATTCCAAATCCTTTCTCAACCTCCTCCCCTCCCTTCCGCCAAAATCCAAACCCAATTTCTCCCTGGCAGATCAAAGGCTGCTCAAGCTACAGGAGAGCTCACTCGATCAATAAACCCTTGACAGGAGAATAAACAAAACCATCCAATATTTTCCATCAGGATTCATGTGGTCCATTGCTCAGCTCTCCCTTTGAGAACTGTGAAGATCTGGTGTGGAGTTCAAAATAGTTTGTTCTCTGAATTAAAAAGTGACCCAATAGTCCCAGTACACTTTTCTCATCTTTGTCTGTCTTAAACATACAAACCATAAGAGAAGGGCTAGCAATACAGTTGGACATTTGGGATCTTCCAAAAGCAACTTTCCTTCCACTACAGCTAAGCTGGCAAGAAGCAACTGGAAAGCTATCTATGCAAGTAGATCTAATTTTAACAAGTTTGTAATTTAGGAAGTATAATAAATACTAATACACTCCTCCCACTGTTCATCCCAAAGAAGTCAAAAGCGCTTCACTAACAAGGCCCTGAAACCATGAATCAAAAAGTACAACAAATACAGCTAAGTTAAGGATGCTGTGCATTTTGGGACATATCAATTGCTTTTGAACCCATAAGAATATTCATTTGAAGATCAATTCTATTAATTTCTATATCACTCTCCTACAACTATTTCTTTGATTCCTAAATCCCCAAGCCATGAAATTGAAAGGGAGGGATCATGGAAACGGAATTGCTAAAATGGTCCATAGGACGCATGTGGAATGTGGCCATCTAGGTTGCTGCATTAACTAATATGTCATGTTTACTCATGTATGCCTTCACTTACATCAAATATATTATTCCAGCATTTGGAATAAAGCCTTGCATCATCTTCTTCCTTTACAAAATGTAAATTTACATCAATTTGAGCTTTTCATTAGTATGTAAGGGAAGTGCTTGACAAAGATCACTGAAACATACTACACCACTCTGATGTAAGATCCAAATAAGAGAAAGCAAAGCAGTCCAGCAATATAAGCCAGAAAATGAGGACAAGCGGGAAAAACAGCATCCTGGGGCACAATGACAGCTATAGATTGAGTTCAATATACAGGCAACAAGGTGTGTCAGCCTTACATTTATAGCCTGGAGGAAGAATGTCAACTCCTTGCCAAGCTGTTTGTATATTTCCTTCTAAAGCGTTAGTTAATATTGATAGCTACCATTTATTGAGAGTTCATATTTCCCAGGCACAGAGCTAAACACTTGACAAGCTTTATATTATTTCTTTCAGTCCTCACAAGAGTCCTATGAAGTAGGCACCATTTAACAGATGAGGTAAGTGGGTCCTAAAGAGCTTAATGACCTTCCCCCACAGTCACATGGATGTAATTGGAAATGCTGGAATTTGAACAGAGGTATCTGACTTCAGAACCAGCACGTGAACTGCTAACCTGAGATAAATACATCTGCAACTTTCCTACTAACCCAATATTTTCCATTTCGACCAAGCGACAACAGCCTGTCTTCCATGACATCTTCTCCCAGTCTTCTCTATCCAAACCTTCATATGGCTTTAGCAATGCCTGTTTTATTCAGAGATATGCTTATGTTGCCCATCTCCAATTAGCTTATTATTTTTTAAACACTTCTCCCTTTTTCTTGCATTTCTGTGAATTAAGTCTGGAGAAAACCTGACTGAATTAGCAGAATGGATCACAAAGTGAATCAGTAGGGACACAGTAACAGCTCCACTGATGCCATATGCCTACCTCCTGTGTCTTGTGTACTTCAGGAAGTGTATCTTTTACATTAACTTCCTTGGTTTTCAAGTGCAACATTTTACAGAAGCCTGACATTATTAATTGATATTTCTGTCCTCCAACAGGAGTATACTCATTTTACTCATTTCCCTCTTCCCACTGTAAGCTGTGATTTTCACCAATCTTTTGGGATGGGAGCCTTTCATTCTATAAGGTAATGAGCAACTGTCTTCAGACCCTGCGTTCAATGACTTCCTTGCCAGCCCTCTCAAGTAGTTCACCATGAGAGGTGAGCATCAAAGAGTCTTTGGATGCATACATACTACATCTCTCAGTAAACTCATCTGGAATGGTCTGCCTGCCTGAGGATGGAACTTGGTCTAGGATTGATCAGCACCACTGATCAACTTTCTGGGGAAAAAAAAAAAAATCTCTAAGCTAAGCCATACACTCTTCAGCCAACATAGGTAGAAAGAAAGAAACAAATTTTTAAAAACCCACAAGCCAGCCAAAAGGCATTTTTTTCATTTCTGTCGAGAAAATCAAATTGTTTTCCTGCACCCAATACTGCATAACTTGAAGAAGGTCCTATAGTGTGCTGAGATTTACATTAAAATGTAATCAAACCAAGTTGCTGAATAAGGTCAGGGAAACATTAGGCGAACAAGAGTGTCTTAGCAAAGGGAAAACTAACTTGCCCAATCAATGAGTCCTAATGAAAAATACTAGAATATGCCTTTCAACAGGATTTCTCAAATATCAGAGGATTTTGCTATCAAAGGAGGAGCCTCAGCTCAAGGTGTCCTTGTGGGGGCCACGTGAGACAATTGCCTGATCTCCCACATGCCTTTCCCTATGATAGATCTGCCCTGCCCCCAACACACTGTCACCTGGGCTCTGCATGGCCAAAGGCACATGTGCCTGAAACTGGCTAAATGAATTCTTGGCCTTGTAACAAAACAAGGATAACCAACCACTGATGTGTGACCTGATGTTCTTTGCCCCATTAGCACCACACCTTCACCAACAGGGTTAAAGAGCAATACTATGTGGTCATATCATCTAGCACGAAACCATCAAACCTGTGAACCCTCGATTGGCAAGAAAGTCTTGGGAATTTAAGGCTAAAATACTGTCTACACATCTGTCTTAGTCTGTTTTCTGCTGCTATAACAGAATACTACAGATTGGGAACTTCATAATGAACAGAAATTAATTTGGCTCATGGTTCTGGAGTCTGAGAAGTCCAAGAACATGGTGCTAGCATCTGGTGAGCATCTTCATGCTGCATCATCTCATGGCAGAAGATGGAAGGACAAGACAGCATGATAGCAAACAAGGAAGAGAGGACCAAACTTGCTTTTTTAATGAAGCCACTCATGATAACTAACCCACTCCCGTGATAATTACATTAATTCATTAATGAGGGCCCTCATGGTCTAATCACCTCTTACTAGGCTCTACCTCCTACCACTGTTGCACTGGAGATTAAGTTTCAAACACATTAATTTGGTGGGGACACTTTCAAACCATACCAGCATCTATTTCTAGGTGATATTATACTTCATACAACATGTTTCTATTTTTCAAAAATATCAAAATTTATACGAAATATAGTTGATTTTGAGCCTTTAATAGAAATATAAGACTATATATAAAAATACATAATACATGTAATATATATTGTGACATGTTAGATATATAATAACATTTGAGGACCATATTGAAGATAAGCTGAAATAAGGTGTTTCAGAAGCTTTACAGTGGCTCCATTTCACTCAGGCTCACCAGGAAGACTGGGGAAATGAGGATTTTATTGTATTTTGTTTTATTTTCTAAAGTAAAATTGTCACCAAAATTCTAATGTTCTTTTTCCCTGTGATCCTTTTTTTAACTTTATCTCCTGATCTTTCTCTTTGTTGGGTGTCTAAGGGGCAAGGAGTCAGTTTACCATGGACACTTCTGCTTTAGGGGACTTAAGTGGAGTCTGATCATGGAGATATTTCCTGCAGTGACCGCCCCCTCTTCCCCTTTATAATTCTTTGGTCCTTGACTTTGTCCCTTCACACAGACCTCGGCCTGCACCATGCTCCCTTTCCCTCACCACATTCCAGACACGATCACCTTCTTTTTCCTTCTCCAACACATCAAGCTCCTTCCTGCCTACAGATGTTTGCATTTGCTGTCCTCTCTACGTGGAAGACCCATCCCGTCTCCTTCTTGTCTTTCAGATCTTGGCTCAATAATCACCTGCTCAGAGAGACTTCCCTGACCTCACTTACCTGAATCACTCCTCCACCTCCACCCTGTTATTCACCATTATATTGCCCTGAGACTTTTCTTTAGAGTACTATCATAATAAAGGAATCCTCTTTGGTGTTTATTTGTTCATTGTTAGCTCTCTACCCCTTCTAAAATATAAGTTTCATGAAGACGAAGCTTTATCTGTTTTTTGCACTCTTAAACATTCAGGACCTATGCAATACCTAGCACACAGCAGGAGCTAAATCAACATTCAATGAACAAATGAATGAATGAAATGTCCAGTGTTCCTCAGAAGAAAGGTACAGCTTCTTCAGAGGAGCTATGGAATATCCAACTTGTTATTTAGAGGGCTTGAAGAGCATTGAAGGCTTCTAATAACCTGGCACTCTGCTTAGTGTGCAGGTGTTTTGAGAATCTGCCTGGCTTTGGGGGGATGGGGAGAAATAATCCAAACACAAAATTGCCTGTATGTATTTAAATGCTTAGATATGTTTAGCATCTAGGGAATAATAAGTTACAATTTTGTGAGTATCTTCCCTCACCAGGAATGTGTATAACATATTCTCACATCAGTCCCCACAGCACCCCTATAAGGTAGAGATTATCCCTATTTTAGAGATGCAGAGATTGAGTCTCAAGTGGTTTCCCAAAACATATGGAACAAATAATGATTAAAGTTGAAACTTGAACCTTGTCTGCCTTATCTATCTGGAAAGATTATGCTTTTAACCTCATCTTGGTTTCAAGAACCCAAAACATCAGTACGGTAAAGATAATGAGCCCATGGTTGCTCATACATATGATGCTGCAAGAAAAAAAAACGCATTTGTGTGGTGTTATTTGTAGCAATTGTTTTCCAACCCCTTCATACCCATTCTAGAGAAGTACTTATTTGCAGGATAGTAATACAACCACTTCAATTTTTTTTGTGAGTTCTTCTGGGTTTTCACATATTGCCCCCATCCATTCCAGGTAATGAAAACACAACTATTTGAGATTTAGCACTCATACTGCTCTTTGTTCAGAGTCACAAATGTCTTATATTTTTCAGAGCTATAAGCTGAGTTTTTCCTTTTTTGGTAGGGAACTTAAACCAAAATCAAGGCTGAAAAAACTAATGTTCCTAAGAGTAAAATGTACAATTCCTAATTTCTCTAGCCTATAATAATGGCTATATCAGCAGCACTGCCACTCAAAGAAAGCTATGAAAACAAGAGGATGTTTTAGAGAAAATCCAAGAAAGAAATAATTTATTATCTTCCAATCCTCAGACAGATATTTCTCTTTTATCTTGATGCCTGACGTTTCTTTCTTAATATATCTACCATGTAGATGGCTCTTTCTGTATCTCTTTTTTTCCCGTTTCTTCTCTTAGAACTCGTCACTAGAGTATCTACCTATTAAGCTCTTAGTCCCTCCCCTGCCTTTTAATCCTCCCTCCACCCTCAATTTCTACATGAAGTGCACCAGCTCTTCCCTTAATTTTTTTTCTTCTGTGAGATGAGCTCCCAAGTTCTTACTTCTTTCTGCTTAACTTTGTGTGAAAATGCAAGGGTTTAAGATTTACAGCTCTGCTTAAAAGGCTCTCTTCCTCCCTATTCTGGGGCTTGACTACTGAGCAAAGAATCCCCCAGCTGAAATCTCAGCAGAAGAGGGGTTTTGAAGACATATCCAGAGCTCCCAGTTCAATCAAAAAAGCAACTTTTGAACTTGTCCCATTACGGTGGCGACGGAGTTTTCACAGCCTGATCCATATGTCTAAGGACACTTTCAGCAGCCTCCATGATGTATTAACCAAACACCTGGATTTAATAAGAACCTTTTCACAATAGGGAGAGCCTGTGTGCACACAGACTTACTCTCAGGTCAGTTGAGAATAGCCAGTGTTGATGTCACAGAACAAGGCCCCACTCCTGGGTAAAGTAACTAAAAGGCAGAGAAAATACAATGTTGAAGAGCAGCAAGAAATGATATATACTGGTCATTAAGAGCATGGGCATTGCAATCCCAGTGTTACCACAGAAGAGTTTGTGTGATCTTGAGCAAGTTAACTTCTCTAAGCCTCAATTACCTCATCTGTAAAATGAGGCTATTTCTGGTAGCTACCTCATTTTTCTATGAATGTTTGATGAATAGTATAAAAAGCACCTATTTAGCACACATGGTACCATGCTTGATAAATAGTTCCTATTATTATTATTGTTTTTATTTGCTGAAGCATCATTGAACCAGGCAACTTCTCATGATAGCAAAGTAGAGTTTGGGCCAATGAGTATATTGTCAGGTTTCCCTCCTGGATAATCCAAGCTTTATACCAGACGAAGTAAATAGAAAAGAAGAAAAATAATAAACAAAGAATTTTTAAAATGTGCTTCTAATATAAATGGTCTAAAAGCAGAAAAGAAAAAATAAAAACAACAGAGAAAACAGATCTGTCATGAATTTGGAAAAGACTCATCCATGAGTCCTTCAAAATTCTTTTCTCAAGGGAGAAGAATCTCCCCCAGACAAGAGAGGTAACAACTAGTCTCAAAATACCAAGAGAAAATGCAAAATTCTGGCGTTTGGCATTGAGCTAGCAGTCTCCAGGTCGTGTTTTTGACCTGTCTGCCAAGTTTCTGCTGCTGGAACCACTGAAAGAGGGATCCTAAGGAAGATACACATATACTTTCAATCCTAAATGCATGCACATTCAAGGGAATGCCCTGGAGAGAGGGGCTAACTTCATCAACCTTACCACACTGGTACTTGTAATGGCTGATATTCTGACCCTGTGGCCAACCAAGTATCCAGAGAGGGATTTCTCCCTTTCTCAGAGTTGGAGTAACCTCACAGAAAGGTTGTTCCAATGGCCCATAGTTGATAGCAGACAAAACAAATTCAGATGTGTGGTAGAATGGGGCCAATTCTAATATCAAGACCATGGTTATGCTGCCAACCACTTCATTGATTTTAAATCTAGTTTACTGGGGCCAGAAAATTCAACAGCTTCTACATCCTAAAACATGAGATGCCAGCAATGGTCAGATGTCCTTAAAATGAGCCTTTGTGTTGATTCTTTTTAGCTGGAGCTGAAAGGAGAGAGCACCTGTGAATTGTTCATGGGCTTAAGTAATTGTTGAATAAAGGTTTCCTTAGTATGTGCTCAAAATTTTCACCTGTGTGGGAAACGGCACCAGCCATGTGCCTCATTTACCTAAAATCCAAGCATTCTCCTCCCTATGGAAATGTAATTGTTCCCTAAAATATCAATGACTTTGTTTCATTCTTGTGAAGTATCTTTTTCACTGATAATGACTTCCAAAGACTTCAAATATCTGAAATCATCAGAGCAAAACTTACATAACGGCCTTTTTTCTCTTTATGAAATAGCTGCTTAAAAGTCGTAATACAGCCGAAGTCCAGTTACATTGCAAACAACACAAAACAAAGTTCCTTGCTTCTTTCACTCGCTTCATCTAGTGACTGACATAGTGAGAGTAATAGCACTGACCCGGTGCCTGGCGAACGTTTCTCCTTTTATAACCACTTGAGCGTGGCAGGCTCTTCCTATTAACTACATTACATCATCATTATCAAAGACGAAAGGAAATTAATTTTGTTTTTCAAGGTCTTGGCAATAAGTCGGTTCTTTACTTCATCAGACATCTGCTGTTTTTCTACGTGTGTCATTTGTGAAGCTGAGTTTTCCTTATGACTTTATTCTCATAACAATTTATCACGCAACAGTGTTTACCAGAGAAGTTGGGCCGACGGATTTTTCTCTCTCCAAACAAAAAGTGTAACATTAACTTAAAGCCAATATCATCATCTATATTTCATTCTCAAATAGTTTTCTGGGCTTTAAAAGAAAAAAAGCCAACAAGGCTGTCAAGAAAAAATAACCACTTATGGTCTCTCTGGTTGAAATGTATTGCCAACGCTCCTCGACTTTGTTTTAACAGATGGGTCTTTATCAGCAAATTCTGTGGGCAGCTCACCAACTTCCCTTAGGAATGGAGGCATGCTTCCATTTGCTTCGGCTCTTATCTGTTCACTTACAGCCACATTTGACCACAAAATTCTAGGTTTTTTTTTCATGTATTGATACAAAGGAGAAACTACAGAGAATCTTCTGTTCTCCAATAATTAGTCATTCCTGGACTGATGGATAGGCTCTTAGCCTGACTTCACATCTGTAAAAAAAAAAAAAAATTTTTTTTGGTAGTTCACATGGATACACTGACTTTACTAATGCTCTGTGCACGATTCCCTCACCTCATGTAATAAGGGCCCCCGAGAAACCTCTTCACAATATTTATTTTGATGAGTAAACTGTTGGGGTTTAACTCATCTTTTTCTTCCTCAATCTCTTCTTCTTCCTCTCCCTTCTTCCAGATGCTAGCTAACTCCTAGAAGCCTTCATTCTTTGAGTCAACACTGGAGCAAAATTCATGGGAAGCTATTGTTTCAGATGAGAGTCATCCGCTCTAGAATAGGGTGTACAGGGAATCTAGAAACCGACTTCAAGGAATATTAGAGAAGACCTCTACTTGCCACATGCTTTATATATGGACCTGTGTTTTAATGCTTATTTTTTTTATTAAGGAGATCCGTGCCAAAAACAGAGATGAATGATGACTCTTAAAATTTTATTTTACCATGAAAATTGCTTTCGCCTTTTCTTGTTGCAATTTGACATAATCATTTCCACAAGAATCAAATCCCTAGGCCTCAGTTTCTCTAAATCTATAAAATGAGAAGTTTGAACGAGACCCAAAGTGGAGCGCTCATGAGAAACACCTGGAGAGCTGGTTAAATATGCAGATTCCTGAGTTCCACTCCCAACAATTCTGAGTCTGAAGTTTTGGACCCAGCAAGACTCCATTTCAGACTCATTTCTGCTTAGTCTAAGGCAGGCAGTCCACAGGCCAGGCTCTGAGAGTACTGATCTGATGAACTCTAAGGTGCTGCTTCTTCCAGTAGTCGGAGACTGTATAAAAACTTCAGCTGGAGATTAGCTGATTATCCAGGCACACCTTATGTTTATTGACAAACCTCTCTCTATCAGCCTCTCTAGTCCTTGTGTACTTTGTGAGCAAGGCAAGCCCTGCTCCAAGGTGAGTGTGAGGTACAGTGGAGGAGGGGAGGCAGCGCTGCCCTCCAAACTCTGAGCAAGTGAGCTCTGCCCAGCCCAAGGACTCCTCCAAACCTCCAAGACAGGGGCCTTCTCAAAATGCTACATGACCTTTGTGCTCAAAGTGCATTCCCAAACAGCAGACAGTTGCATTTTCAAGGTTAAGTGCAGAAACCTTTCCTTTTAAAGGCAAGTAGTGACCTTTGGATCTCTGATTTTTTAATTTAGTATATTACAAGTCTTCTCCATTAGCAGAATGAGAGGGTGTAGTGGGAATGAAGTTAGAAAACAGATTCCGACCCACGAGACAAATGAACCGCAACTGAGTGTGGGTTGTCTCATCCTAACCCCAGGCCTCATCAATGCAAACCAGGGGAAGTGCGTGGCTGGGGTGACCTAGTCACCCAGGGACACAGCACTCACACGTGCTGATGAAAGTTTCGGGGTGCTGTGTGGAAATGAGTCCAGCTTATGAGTACATTAAATCAGAGAACCAGGCTTGATCACAACTTCCCTAGTAACTACTTGTGTAACCTTGGTCAGGTTACTTCACTTCTCTGTTTCCCCACTGTTTCTTAGTTTCCCGTGTGTAAAATAGGGCTCACAGTTATTCTACACATTAACTGAGTGCCCAGAGTGGGCCAGTAACTACACATTAACTGAGTACCCAGAGTGGACCAGTAACTATATAGTAAGCTCAAGCAGTGGGTGAAACAGGCAAAAATCCCTGCCCTCAGGAGGAACACAGACAGGAGACAAAGAAGTAGAGACTACAGGGTCATGTAACAGTCAATTGATTCATGCTATAAAGAAAAATAAAGTAGGGTGAGGAGCTAGAGAGTGCTGGGAGGCTATTTCAGATAAGGTGATCAGGGAAGGTCTCTCTAAGGAGGAGGCATTTGAACAGAGTGTAGAATAAAGGGCGGAAGGAGCATCATCATATCCAGGCAAAAGTCATCCAGGCAGAAGCAGAGTGCAGGTGCAAAGCCCCTGAAGCAGGAACATTTGAGGAACGATCGAGTGACAGCAAAGAGGCCAGTGTGGCTTGAGGAAAGGGAGCGATGGGGAAAGTGGTAGGAAATGAGGTCAAAGCCAGATCATAAAAGGCCTAAAAGAGAGTAGTTTGGTTCTCATTCTATGGTGATGAGAAGCCATTAGAAGTTCTTAGCAGCATAGACTGATGTATGTTTCAAAGAACAACTTCAGTTGCAGTTTGAAGAGGAGACTACAAAGGGAGCCCATCAATCAGGATAGGCTAGATCATGCTGCTATAATAAATAACCACAAACTCTGAGTGACTTATAAAAGCCAAGGTTCTTTCCACTTACACTCCCCATCCACTCTAAGTTGGCTGGGGTTCTGCCCCACCCTGGAAACTGGGGACCGAGCAGCCTCTATTTGAATCATTGCAGATCACCATGACAGAGAGTAAAGAGAGCACAACAACTCATGCATGGGCCCTAAAGCATCAACCTGGAAGTGACACTTGTCACTTCCACTCACATTTCCTTTCATTGGCCAAAGCAAATCACCTGACAGCATCTGACTTCAAAGGCAGTGGGAGACTACAACCCTGCCATGTGCCTGCAAGATGGAATATTGTGTGAACAGCATTAACAAATACCACAGAGACCAGAGGGAAGCAGAGAAACCTATTATGAGGCTATTACAGTAATCCAGGCAATCGATGAGAACAGTTTAGACTGGGCAGTCACAGGGGAAGGTGTTGGGAAACAGATGCAGAAGATATTTTGAAGGCAGAGACAACAAGATTTGCTGATGGATTGGATGTGGAATAATCATAATCACCTCATAGTGGATGTATTTTGGTGCAGATTAAATGAGATGATGTAGATAAAGTTCTTGCACAGTGCACAGTGCACTGTAAACCTCAATAAGTAGTGATTATTATTGCTGTAGTTCTAGATTGAAGAGGTGTTTATGATAACAGAAGAGTTTAATTTTGGATCATTCTATTTTCCAAGATATATACTTGCTTTACCCTAATATCACTATGCACACTACACACACACACACACACACACACACACACACACACACACATGCAGATTTTCCAGAAATAATAATAGTGGTTGTTATCAACTTGCTTCTAAACAGCCTTTCCCTCCTAGGAAACTTTCTAATAATGAATTGATTTTCCTATCAACTTCAGGGAAGTTTTTATTCCTGCAGACACACATTTGGGACCCAGAAAGTAGACTGCATAAAAGTCAGGAAGCCCCCAGTCTTTCTACTCAGATGTTGTAGATTAATAGTCATTTGATTTGGGAATGTGAAATGAACTGATAAGAAAAGCCATACGTACCAATGACATTCAGGAATGAAAACTGACAGATCACCTGCTTTAGAAGATTTAATTCTTCAGATTTTAAGAGGGAGGGAAAAGACCTTTAAGTGACATTTGCTCTCTTATGGCTTACATTAAACAATTTAATATATAACATGAGGGAGAGGACATGATATAAACAATATATCCAGGAGGAAAAATAAATGACCTCAGTCCCAAAAGGCACTGTTATGCACTGGTACTATTCGTGTACACTATAAGGAATGATGTATCAGTTTTACGTCTAATCAGTGTCTTAATATATCACTGTCGGTTCCTGGAGTGCATTACACTATCTTGAGATGCGTGCTCACATTTTACATTAATGTGGAAAGTATCCATCCGTTATCAGCAGAACTTAATTCTACACTGAAAAATGAGGTGTCTGCTTGGTACACTTCTATTTTAAGGTTTAAAGTCATTGAAAAACCAAATCTAAAAGAGAACTTTGGGACTAGACTATGCTGTTTTTTATGACATGGATGTTGAGAGAGAATGGTTTGTTGGGTGTCTGACTTGAGGCATCACCTATGTTTTGGGTGCCTCTAGTTTGCAACCCCATTTCAGGGCCACTGTGGAGGCATCCATCTCATCATCTGTTCTTCATCAAAACTTCTCTCCTAGATCTAGTATCTGCTATGGTCTGAATGTTTGTGTCCCCCCAAAATTCATATGTTGAAACCTAATCCCCAATGTCATGGTACTAAGACGTAGGGCCTTTGGAAGGTGATTGGGTCATAAACATAGAGCCCTTATGACTGGGATTAGTGCCATTAACAAGAGACCTTGGAGAGCTGCCTTGCCCCTTCTGCCATATGAGACTACAGTGAAAAAAGGCGTCTATCTAAAGGAAGAGGGCCCTTGCTAGACATCAAATATGCCAGCACCTTGATCTTGGACTTCCCAGCCTCCATAACTGTGAGAAATAAATGTCTGCTGTTTCATAGCTACCTAGTTTATGATAATTCTGTTAAAACAACCCAGACTATGATGGCATCTATTGATGATTCTTACCAGAAGTAATTTCACTATGACCAGTCACAAAATGATGACTTTTCCAACTGTAGCACTCCTTACACATTTACCAGTCAGGTACTTGGTATTCCACTATAAGCAAGAGATGTCCTTTCTTCTCTACTGATTTCTTTGTCTATTTATTACCAGTATAGACTCAGGACTTCTTTCTTCTTCAATGGTTTACAATTCATTATTGTCTTTAAGTGCTCAAATTATCTCTGACTTGACCGGTGAGAATCCTTTCAAGCTGCTTTCTGTGTCCTAGTGATACATTCCATCTTTTTTCCTTTATCAGTTTCTTTATTTCTGGTATAACAAGATATTTCAGGTTCATTTTGTACCTTCCTTGCCTCAGCCTGAGGATCAGTCATTTCTCCAAGGAGTCCTGGTTCCCTTTATTGCGGAATGATACCAGAGACCAAGATCTGGGTGTTAGATGTGCTCATTGCTGCTGGACTTTCATTGCCTCTTGGCCTTTTCAGTGGATAGAGCTGGGAAATATGCATATATCTGTATCTATACACGATACTCATACACACGATTCTGAATCCACACCAATGCCTCTAATTCCAATCAGTTCCTATAGGGTTCTTTCTTGACTTACACATTTGTACCTCTCTTATTCCACTATGCCAACTCTTGTTCCCAACAATATGAACTAATTTATTCATTACTCAATCCTGTAATATACCTAAAATAGTCTCAGAATGGTTTCTCCCAAAAGCAAACCCACTATAAAGAGTTCAGGACTTGGTTATTCTCATCTCATCACCCTATCCAAGACAGCATGGATAGAGTTGAATACCATGTTCATAAGTTATTCCAATCAGGTTTTTTTCACTGTGGTCATGTGATTCATTTGAAATACAGTGGGGTTCATTTGCTTCCGTTTTCTTCTAGTTTGAGGATGCTTTTTTTACTTTCTCCTAATTGCTAGTTTGATTTTATTGTTTGAATATGTAGAACATTAACATGCTTCTGAAAGTCAAAACTCTGTGAAAGGCAATACTCAGAGAAATTTACACTATGTTTTACTCCTGTTTTTAAACAAGTAGCATGCCTTTTCTGTCAAAAAATGATCAAACAGAAGGAAGAAGGAGAGAAGAACTAATGACAATAGGCAAGAGAGAGGAGGAGGGTTTCACATCATTAGGAGCTGGCTCTAGACCAAGTTCTGTCATCCACATGGTGGGGACATCAGGATGTGGAAAGGGTTATGGATGAGCTCCAGGTTCCAGGCTGCCATGCCTGGGGGACTGGAGGTGCTCCTTTGCAGAATGCAGCTCACAGGGGTAGAAACTGGCTTGGACAGAAAGACAATGGATTTTGGTTTTGACATGTCCTGTATTCTAGTGCAGCTTATCTTCTGGAAAGCCAGAAGAAGCCATACTAAATGACAGAAGAAAAGGGAATAGCAGCAGCAGGAAATATGGGAAGGGCCAAGGAAAGCACACGGCAGATGAACACTTGGAATTTGTCCTTTAAAGTACCTTGAAATTGCTTCTCTTTATTAACTGTCCCATTACCATAGCCACAAACACAGCATCCACTGAAGCCTGTGGTCCTTTCTCGCCATTAGCCCCTCGGTGGGTCCTTTACAGGAGCACAGGGTTTAGTGGCTTTGGAATCTCATCGACCTTACCTCAATTTCCACCACTTTCAGCTAGGTGACCTTGTGCAAATCAGCTCATCTTTCTAAGCTTCAATTTCTCTTCTGTAAAATGGAGAGAGAACATATCACCTGCTTTGCCTGGCTGTTGTGGGGATTGTGGGTTAATATAAGGTAACTGCCCAGCACAACAGCTGACGAGGAGAAGGCACTCAGTAAATAACCGATATTTTATTTTTTTCACTCAGCCTCAGGTAATCAAGAGTCCATCTTGCTCACACTCTAACATAACCTATGCAATACTCTACTGCAGTGGTTCTCAACCTTGGCCACACATTCAAATCAACTGGGGAGCTTTAAAAAAATACCAAGACTCAGACCTCATTGCCAAGAAGAGTCCGATTTATTCAGTCTGGGGTGGAACTTGGCATTGGTATTTTTTAAAAAAAGCTCCAAGGTGATTTTAAGCAGAGTTCAGCACCAATGCTCTCTTCGCATGCTAAATCCGAAGAGGGGCTCTCCTAGGTTGTACTCCCTCTTGACCCTTCTGACAGCACTTTAGAGCAGAAATAGATTGCTTAAATTGTTCTTTTTTTACCCCAAACATCCAAAGCCTATAGCAATATGTTATTCTTCGGGAAGTTCTTTTCTGAGAAACATAAATACCACCTTCCCCACAGGAAGAAAGGAATGTTCCTCCCCACCCAAAAGAAACCTGCTCCTTTCTTACCCACCCAGGCAGGCTAGAAAGCAAAATACAATTGGAGCTTGGTCAGCATAAACTCAGCCCAGAGGAGAGGAGCCAGTAAGAAACACATCTTTCCATGGGCATAGTCCAAGCCAGTCGTGACCGGCGAGGGACCCAGAGGCTGGGGGCACTCCCAGAGGGCAGCACCATTTCTGTTCATTGAACAAATCATACTTCATGGCTGTTGTCAGCCTCTTGGAAAGCCCCATGAGCCACTGCACTGCAGCTATGCCACCCACGTGCAGCAACCCTACATGTGCACATGCTAAAAAGCAAGGAGTTAGCTTAAAAACTCTGGTCTGCAGGAGGAAAGGGAATGAATAACCATAAGCCAAGGCAAAATGTTCATGAATGGCTGAGGCCCAGTGGGGATGGCGGTGGATGAAGACCTTAGTGTGGACAGGTCCTAGCCACTGCCTCTCAGCCAGCTGCTTCCTGTAAAACCAGAAAAAGGAACAGTTCTGAGAACAGATCATGGCCTTATGATCAATTTATTTTTTATTTTGCAAACTTTTATTAATCTAAGATGTTTGATTTCCATTGTTTACTAGGTTACTAGTAGTTTGATAAGAGAGTTCTAGGAAATACCTTCCCTGAGGTCTAGATCCCCAAATTCTATCTGGAAAGGAAGTTTGCTGCCTTGGGTCACCAAACTGCCCTCCAAGGACACAGAAGCCTACAGATCTTCAATATAAAACTGGCAGATGCATCTCTAAAGGTGTTGGGCAGAGCATCTAAAAGGAGAGTGGTTAGAATGTAGGTGCCAATACTGTACTGGTTATGAGCTATATATTTTTAGAACATTAAAGGGATCTTGAGCCAGGGCAATCCAGCCCCAGAGGGTCTTTGACCATTCTTGATGTGCTCAGGCAGCCCAATCCAACAGTATCTTTATAAGACGGAGGGCCCCACGACCAGCTGCCTAGCACAGGCCGAAACCCTGGGACACCCACCACGTCTGAGCCATGGCTGCTGCCCACACACAACCTCCAACGGCGCAGACCTGGGGTCCTTGGTGATCCAAAGGCTGTGGGAACAACTCCACCACCTCAGCCCCTCCCTCCACTCCTCAACTCTTTTCTCAATCCTGCTTGTAGTAGTAGGGAACTGTAATCATCCTTTTTATTCCCACCAGTTCTCAGAAAAACTCTAGGGCACCAGGTGGAGAATGAGAAAGCAAGAAATAAATAATTGTAAAGACAAACAAGAGACTAAGGGTTTGGCCATCCATGTGAACCAGAATTATGACCCTTCTGCAAACCTACCTTTATTTACTACTTGGCTATAATTTGCTTTAAGATAGTTCAGCATGTGCAGGGGGCGCTGCGTGTGTGTGTGTGTGCACGTGTGCGTGTGCATGTGTGTGTGTGATCTGGTTTTAGCTATAAGTCTAGGGCTGGACTGCCCAAGCTCAAGAAAGCATTCTACTCAAGAATGCACAGACCTGCAGGGGTCAGCAGGAGTCCTCATTAGGAAACCCATAGTCCAGAGGCAGCTACTACAAATGTTTCTAATCCATATCTCAATCAAACTTAAGGCTTGCAAATTGACACATTCAATGCCAGAAATAGGCTGTTGTGTTTTTTTAAACAATAATAGTAGCCTGTTTACTAGAATAATGAATGTTTGAAATAGGTTCTCATTGGTAAAATTTCAAGTACATAGCATGTATAGAATAACAACAAATATAGACCATCCCCACCCTTACATGAATGAAGTTTGAGATTCCAGGTCCAGCCCACACATAAGAGGGAGGGATTATAAAAATGTATGGGCACCAGGAGATGGGCATGATTGGGGGACATCTCAAAGTCTGACTGCCTTCTGTTTCCAACTGTGGATCCTGGAGGATTCTGGTTTCCTGGGCCAGTTATAAGAGTAAACAAATCCTGCCTCTGGAATCTTGGCATTTGCCTCGAATAACCTTTTACATAAAATAGTGGTCAGAGCACCCTCCACAGAACGTCACTCAATCCTGAACTCCTTGGTCAGTTCCCCCTTTTCCAGAGTGTTCCTCTCTTTCTCTTCCAGTATAAATAAGCCAAACTTGTGTCCTGGATGCTCAATGCATAAAGTATATCTGGAAAACACACTTGACCTGAGATGTTAGTGTTAATGAGGCTTACAACACTCTCCTTCACAGGAAACATATTTGAATTTTAACTGTAGCCTCTGGTGAAAACACCTCCCTGGGAAGCTGTTTGGAAGATGCTATGGAATGCAGAACTTTGATGCAGAAGGGGACCTTAAAGATTAGAGAGTCCAATTGCCTTCCTTCTATAGCAGAGTAGAAAATGGAATCTCAAGGACCTATATGACAACTGACCTACCCAAGCTCACGTAGTGAGATTTGCAGGGATCTTTACAACCAATCTCTCTCTCTCTCTTTCTCTGTCTCTCTCTCTCAAATAAATAAATAAAAGGGCAGGCTTTTTGTCACCCTCAAAATGGGTCTAGAGGTGGCAGCATTAGAAGCAGAAGCGGAGAAGGATTATCAGTACCATAGCCAGGGCTTAATGCTGACTATGTATGTTTGTTGGTTGTTCTCGACACCTAGGGTCTTTCAGCCTATTCTGGTAGTTCCAAAGCCTGCGTTACCCAACTGTCCTGGCTCTTCTCTCCACTTCACCCAGCCCTGTTCCCTCAGGCTGATCACCCCAGCCCCTCAGCAGTGCCCACAACAACTCTTACTCTAAAGATGACTGTCCTCTGAGGATGACATCCAGGGCTGAGAGTCAGACCCAAGCACCAAGAGCCGGGGTGTCCAATCCTCTGGACAGACTCCGCAAGACCCTCTGAACTAGACTGCCCTTGGAAGGCGGGCTTCACTCCTTGACTTCATGTCCAAGAAAATGTCATTGGTATTTGATATTTGAGCAAAACAAAGATATCCATGTTACATGAACCGATTAGGCAACTTCCTCATTAGAGGGAAGCAAGTCTCTGAGAGATCCCAGGCAGAGGGCTTCCAGTTCCATCCAAGTGTGTTAGCTCACCACCACTCAACACCGGTGTAAAGAACCCAGTTCTGAAGTCACTCCCTAAAACCAAGGCTTCTTAGTCCTTCTCATCAGGGCCAAGGGAAGGGCAGCTATCTTTACAGACAAGAGTCCCATCTTTGGAAGCTGGTTTCAGAAGGTACACATTTCTTAATATTGTACTATTCGTTGGATTTGACTTGTGTGGCATAATGTTTCCTGAGCCTTAAAAAAGGAAGCGAAATCCAAGTTTAATGGGGACAGCACTGGTCTATGTTGGAATGCATGTTTGTACATTCCCCATCCACAATCTTCTAATGGGAAAATGACTTCAACCAGCCTTTTATGTAGCTTAAGCTGTCTCTCAAACGCTTGTCACTTTTGGCCTCCTGATTTTCGGGTTTGGCTAGAGGGTGTGGAGGACTGAATTAAGATTCCACTCGGGCTGGAGGTAGGGAAATCTGAGTCGCCACTGCCTCAGATCCGCCCCTCTTCTCTGTGCTCATGCCCTGTCACACTTCCTGAAAGAGTCTTGGCAGACCCGTGAGTAGGTGTGTACTTGTTAGCGGTACCCTTTAATTGCCCTTTTATGTACCCCAACAAGATGAGGCACTTCCTGTCTTGCCACAAGCCATGCCCCCAGGTCAAACATCTCCCCTCACATTTTGTTCATCAAAGACCAAGAGAAAATGATCATGCAGCATTCACATGGAGATGACATCAAAGATCCAACTGAACTGAACCTGATGAAGGCCTCCCAGGGGCTGTGGAACAGAGGAGGAGCTCCTTACAAGGAGGCCCCCCTCACAGTACATCTGGGCTGCTCTCCACTGCCAGGGAGGACACCCGCATGCATGCACATGTGGATTTGAGCCAGATGGCGCACAGGAGGTTTGAGGCTTCCCTCCTAAATGTCTGCCACAATGGTTTAGATAAGGAAAATCCCTGATAATAGAAATGTCCCTAGGAGACCTTTTTAAATTCCGTGGCATCCTTACCTAATAGCTTCTATGATCCTTTCCTTTTTTTAAAAAAAAAAAAGAAGGATTTATTATCATGATACAAAATTTATTCTCAATCTAATTTATTTCCCATCATCTGGGGCAAGAATGCAGCTGGGTGTCAGGATTGTCTAGAACTGTGCTGTAGCACCCATTCTTTACTTATTCAGCAAATATTTATTGAGTGCCTACTTTGGGCCAGACGTAAGAAAATGCTGAGTATTACTTAACTCTTTCACTGGTGGAAAAATCACAATGCAGGCTTCCATTCCAGGCTGCAATCTATGAGGATAAGGGTGCAAAGACATTATTACGTTCTTTTTTCATTTGAAGCTCCACATATAGATACAAAAGAACACAAATTGTAGGCATGCACCTCAATAAATTTTCCAGCCATACACTCCCATGCAACCAACACCCAGATCAAGCAGCAGCACATTACGTCGGGTGCAGTGGCTTACAACTGTAATCCCAGCACTTTTGGAGGCCGAGGTGGGCAGATCACTTGAGGTCAGGAGTTCGAGACCAAGCCTGGCCAACATGGTAAAACCCCATCTCTACTAAAAATACAAAAATTAGCTGAGTGTGGTAGTGCATGCCTATAATCCCAGCTACTTGGGAGGCTGAGGCAGGAGAATCACTTGAACCCAGGAGGTTGAGGCTACAGTGAACTGAGATGTCACCACTGCACTCCAGCCTGGGCAACAGAGTGAGATTCTGCCTCAAAAAAAAGCAGCAGCAGCACCTCACACCACCACCAGCACCCCCACCCGCAGAAACCTCGTTTGGATGTCCCTTCAGTCACTATCCCCCACCAAAAGCAGCTGCTATCCTGACTTCTAACATCATAGGTAAGTTTTATCTATTTTCAAACATTGTATACATGGAATCACTGTATGTACTCTTGCACATCTGGCTTCCTGTACTATTACTGTATTACTATTACTGTATTACTATTACTGTATTCCTGATATTACTGATATTACTTCCTGTAATATTTTGTTTGTGAGATGCAACCATGTTGTTTCATGTAGTTACGGTTTGCTTATTCTCGTTGCTGCATAACGTTCTGTTGTGTGATTATAACACAATGTATTTATCCATCCTGCTGTTGATGAGCATTTGAGTAGTGTTCGGTGTGGGGCTATTACACATACTGCTACTTTGGACATTCTCTTATAAGTCTTCTGGTGAACCCATACATGCATTTCTCTTGGTTATATACCTAGAAGGGGTCATATGCTCTCTTAAATAATAAAGATTTGAAAAAGCGTGGAGAAGTACATGATAAATCTGATTCTTGCTGCTGTGGTACCTATGCCTCCACCTTGATCCAACCAATTTCTTCTCATTTCTTTCTTTCTAATTCAATCCCATTATCTGATGCTGGTACACGGAACAAGTCTGGGTGGTGACTTCTGTTCTAGTGGGGAAACTCACTGAAGACTCAAGCTGTGGCCAAGGAAGCTGAGCTGGCCAGCAGCAGGCAACCTTGGAATGTAACCACAACATGCCCCTAGGGCAAAGCTGACAGGTCTGCACAGGAAATTGAGAAAGCATTCAGTGGGAGGCTTCTGAAATCACTGCCACTGCTTTGTGCTAGCTCTGAGTTTCTGACTTGCTCTGGAAAGGCTTCCAGTTCCTTGCTGTAAGCCCCGGTGACCAGCCCCAGGCATCCTATGCATACCACTGCTGCTTGGATGGGCAGAATACACCCGATGCCAAGGGGACCTAACACTGACTTGGCCTATTCCAAAGGGTAAGACCACCCTGGGCCACTCTGCCAGTATCCAGGATGGCTCCCCACATGCCCCACCCCAGCAACACCCAGTAAGTTTGGGTGTGTTGCCTCCTATAAAGAACTGGAAAGAACTTCCACTAACTGAGATCTTCCAAAGTGCTAGACAGTGGACTAGATTCTTTTGCTTATATGACCTCATCAAATATTCATATCCTTACCCTCCACCTGCATGTAGTAGGTATGATTGTTTTACAGATGAGGAAACTGATATGGTTTGGCTGTGCCTCCACCCAAATCTCATTTTAAATTGTAGCTCCCATAATTCCCATGTGTTTCCCCATACTGTTCTTGTGGTAGTGAATAAGTCTCATGAGAGCTGATGTTTTTATAAAGGGTTTCCCCTTTCACTTGGCTCTCATTCTTTCTTGCCAGCCGCCATGTAAGGTATGCCTTTCACCTTCTGCCACGATTGTGAGGCCTCCCCAGCCACATGGAGCTCTGAGTCCATTAAACTTATTTTTCTTCATAAACTACCCAGTCTTGTGTATGTCTTTATCAGCAGCATGAAAAGGGACTAATACAGCAACCAAGACTGCTAGAAGTTATTCACTTGCCCAATATCATAAAGCTTATACATAGTAGAGCAAGGAATTGAACCTAAATCTAAACCCAGCTGTTTTTTCCAGTACAATTGGAATCTCAATATAAGCCTAAACAAAATGTAATCTGAAAATCAGCAAGACTAGTTAGTGGAAAGAATATGGAAATAAGAAGTGGGAAATTAGGGTATTGTTCCATTCCAGTTTACCACCACCTAACTGGATGATCCAGAGAAGGGCCACTCAACTTTCAGGGTAATCAGGTCTTTAGCTGGAAATAAAAAGGTGCATATTACCCACAAACCATACATGCATAATGAAAGGACCATGTCTTTTTTCCCTGACCATAGTGTCTCCAGCACCCACCATAGTATTATGGCCCCTGGTAGGCACTGCATAAGTGATGAACGGATGCATAGGAATGCACGTCAGACTCACCTGCTAGCTTTTTCAAAATGCACATCCCAAGGCCAGCCCCATAAATCCTGGCAAGTACGACACAATCCTATACATTTTTTTAAAAAAAGAAGAAACCTATCTAGGCAGTTCTGATTCAGACCCACAGTATGAAGTCACAGCTCTAAAATTCTATTATCCTATTAAATCAGCTGTATAAATAATCTACTGCTGAGCTCAACATAAATTTATTTATTCAATTTTACATAGTTCCCTCTTAATTAGGACAAATAGGTAATGTGTGCTATAGATTTTTTCAAATCACTGAGAAGTTTCTCTCATTTCTTTCTTTTTCTTCAGCTAATGTGTCCCCTTTTGTTCTCTTTGACTGCTGTATTCTTCTCCCAGTTGCTTTTAAGAGTCTATTTTTTTAATTGCACCAGTTAGATTGAGACATCAAATCTATAGGGACATGTAATATGCAAATACATTAGAAACTAAATTATTGAATTAAATAATGTCTTATTTTGACTGAATTCTTGTGTGCTGGTTCCCAAGTGTTTTCTTTTGTCTTCTTCTAAAATTCAATGGGAAGGACTAACTGAAAAGTTTGTCTTTTTCAACCCTGAGTAGTTATTTCCTATAAAAAAAAAAAAAAAGAAAGGAAACCTAAATTGAATCGACATCTCAAATAAGTCAAGTGACCCAGTAGCCTACAAATAAACATTGCTGGCCTGTTTTTGTCTTAGGAGGGGCAAAGCTAGCTAATACTAGTTTTCTTCTGTATTTTCTCAGTATAGATGTTACCCTAAGAACTGTACGCCAGACTGCAATGAAATCAAACTTACTCTAGTGACTTCTTTAAACACGTGCTGATGCTTTTTCAGAGCTGCAGCTTAAGAACCTTCCCGCTTCTGCTCACCTGAGAAACACTGGCTGCCCCTGTTACAGGGAGGCTTGCAACCCTGCAGCCTTGCTCTCAATGTTTCCTGCACACCCATGTTCAAGTGCCCTAATCAAGAAGTCCAGGCCAATAGCAGGCTATTCAGTGATCTCCCTTGTCCCCTCCAGTCCCTGCCACAAGGTCCTCTGCAGCTTTTCCACTTGCGTGTTGCTTAAACAAGTGAAGAGGGCAAGAGAAAGAAAGAGTTTGCTGGCTTCCTTGCCAACCAGGCCCTCCCTTCTAAGACCACACGGCCCCAGTTTCTCTGTTTCCTCTTATGTTTAATTTTCTTTGGCCCAGGCTTTCCTCAATGGTTTTCTTTTCGCATTTTATCACCATAAATTAATTAAAATGTTTCTGGCACTGAGTTCACATCTGATCATCTTGGCAGGATCCCCTTACACAGATGGCGAGTAGATAAAGGGCAATCCAAGCATCCAAGAACAAGAACAGCCCACATAGGGAGCCGGGCGAGAGACTTCCAGAGGAGCAGAGGCTGATTTCAAGAATAGCCACTAGACTAAATGCAATGGTTGGATTGCGTGCTCGGGGGTGGGGAGGAAGGAAAAGACTCTCTTGGAACTTTTTGTATTCCTCCACTGTTTCCCCAAACCCCGCAAAAGAGAGCTTGTTAGCAATTAGGAGAAGAACGAGAAGAAGCTGCTCTACCTCTACTCCCTCTTTACCCTTCAAATTCGGGAAGTTCGGGCAGGCTACACAGGTGTTGGAAGATGGAGGAGGCAAAATGTGGCTGGTAGGAATGGGAAGAAGCAATGATCGATATTGACTGAGAACCTGGTATGGGGTAGACACTATGCTACACCCTAGGAATATAATAAAGAGCAAGGCAGACATGGTCCTTGCCCTCATGGGGTGTCTAATCCAGCAACAGAGACAGATATTAAATACCAAATATCTTGAAGTGGAAAAAAAGAGACCATACACTGAGAATGTGAAATACAGTCTTGTCACTAATGAGAAGGGCACTGCAGAGACAGACAAGAGTACTCACCGCCCAGAGACTGGGACCACCACACCCCAGAGGCTGGCTGCCTCGAAATTACTCCAAAGAGCCCTGAGCACCACTTAGAGAAAGGCTTTGGGGTCCAGACACTCAGGTGCAAAAGAGGAGACCTTGTGATACTCAGTAAAGGAAGGGAAGCAGACCCATGGTCGTACACAAGTAAACTTCCAGAAGGCTATTTGCAAGGAGAGCTAAAAACCTATTGAAACTTTAACTTTTCCCAAAACTACTGACATATAATACTGTCTTATTATAGAGGGCTGCTCTCTTCATCAGAATTAGTAAGCAAAATAAACAGTATGTGAAAAGCACCATGAACAAAATGAACAAGACGCTGTGCTGAAGAATAAGGGAGGTTGTGATCACTTTAGGTAGGGCAATCCAGAGAGATCTCCCTGAGTGATGACATTTAAACTGAAAGATGGAAGGATCCCAGGACCTCACATTTAAAATGTACCATCAGAACGAATGCAATTCAACCAGCCGAAATCAGCCACAGGCCACGAGCAAAGCCCCGCTCTGGGAGTCCAGGGAGAATAAACAAAAACACTGAGTTGCTGTCCCCCCAGAGCTTATGGTCTCCTGGAGCCGTGGAGGCCTGGAAGCCTGGGATCTGGTCACAGTTTCTGGTGGCCTGATGATGTGTTCACTGAAAATCAGTGAGGTCTGTCGTTTCCTGGAGCAAAGCGTGAACATCTTTCCAGCTGATGCCACCCTCCATCAGGGAGGAAGGAAATGCAGTTCACACCATTTGCTTCTATCTTTGGTCTCCATACGTGCCAAGCCTAGCAGTGAACAACTGCTCTCCTGAGACCTTTTTGTAAGGGGAAGAAAACCTCCCCGGAGGCCTCGTGGTCCCTGTCTGCCTTCACTTCTGTCATTCCTTCCCTCTCAGCATCACTGGGTCACTTTTGCATTTACACACATGCATCATGCCATCTCGGCATGTCCCTGTGCATCTCCTGTCATTTTGTGCCCAGGTTTTGTGTCCAGGCTCCACTCTGCCTGGATTCTAAGCAGCTCTGACAAGACTGTAAGCCGCTTCAGAATGAGAATTGAGTTGTGTACTTACTTTTTTTCTTGGCATTTAGTAGGTGCTTGATTAACACAATGAATTGAATTTAAAAGTTACCATGAATATGTAACTCATTTCCAAATTGTTAAAGCATCAAAAACTTTTTTACCATCCCTGAATTTTATCTTACAGATTTACTTTAGAAATCCTGAAAGAAGTGATAGATGCAGGAGGCAGATAAGGGGGAGGGTCCCCAGAGAATCTCCGATCCACTTGCGCACCGGGAGAACAAGGTGGAGCCACGGGAAGTCACACCTTGTGCAAGGGCGAGGGGCCTGGCCTCTTCGGCTCATGCGTGGTGACCTGGAATCCATCTGAGGTGGGGGCCTGTTAGCAGGACCCCCTCTCACTTTGCTGAGAGTTTTTTTTTTTTCCCAATAAATTCCGCGCTACTCACCCTTTCAATGTGTCCGCATTCCTAATGTTTCCTGGTTGTATGACAAAACCCAGTTTTAGCTGAACTAAGGAGCAAAAATTCTGCAACAGAAGGAAGAAGGAGGAAAAGCACTGCCCGTAAGTCCCCACTGCGCTTTACTAGTATTATATTTTCTCTATTATTCTAATGTGATACACAAAATCCATCCTAAAACAGTGACAAATATATATATAATACACACATACACACACTAATTTATTTGACAAGCCTTTCTGTATAAATTTTTTTCAAGAGTGGGATGATTTTTTTCATGATGGGATACGAGAACAAAAAATATTTTAAAAATTTAATGTCACCAAGCATTCCTCGTTTTGCTGTCCTTTGTTTAAGTTCCTAGAGTCCTGTTCCCCACTCTCCCAGCATTGCTAAACTCAGAGAAATACAAAGCAGATTAAACCATGAAACAATACATTAGAGAATTCTGAGGCCCTGAAAACCTCAAAGATACAGGGTCAAGGGAGTGCTGTTATTTTTGTATTCATTTACATTTGTCTCCAATTTCGAAACAATTCATGTTGTTCTCATCTTGTCCCTTGCACATCAACTTGGTCTCTCCCAGCACAGCTACAGCAACAAAGCAGAGCTGAAGAGAGTTCTTTCTGAGAGACTCGGGCCTGAGCAAAAGTCCAGTGTGGGAGCTGCTTGTCCAATGACTGTGGCCTGGGAGCAACTGAAACCTTCGGGGAAAACGGACTTCCACCACCTCTGATGGTCTGGGCTTTAGAGTTGACCCTTAGAAAACTACATGGAGAGCTCTGTCCTTCGAAAAGGACATTTTTGCAGACACATGTAACTCTGTGCATCTTATAGCATCGGGATGTTGAGTTGTGAGCTCTTCTTGACCCTCAGTCTCACACACTCTATTTGGAGTTTAGCCACCTTCTTTCCTATAGTTCACATTTTCTATATTTAAAGGTTTAGGAAGTGAGGCAAGAGAGACATGAAAATAATCTAGCTTAAAATAGATAATTTGAATAAAAAAGGTTTTCAGATATGCTTTTCATGTAAGTATCACAAGCATCTGCCAGAGTAAGCAATTAGTATTCTCTTTTGAAAATTAAAAAAGGAAACAGAAAAATCCATTATCTTTTTTTTTATTTTTCCAAACTGCTTCAGAAAGAAGAGTCCATTATCTTGCCTTTAGTTCATCGGACTCTTTAAAGGTAAAGCTTTGAACCTAAGTTGAACCTTCCAACCCCGGCATACAGACATCACGCTAACACATGGCCTGCTGCTTGGACTATATACACATGGACAAAAAATCCAATTTTTAAAGGGGCAGGAAAGCTGACGCAGAAGCAGAAGGGACTCGTCTACAGCCTGCAGCCTTGTTTCAGAACCCGTGAGACACTCTGGATCCACATCCAGGCCTCTCAATTCTATTTCCCACCACCCCGTCCTCTGAGGCTAGAGCCCATCCCTTGTCTTCTTAGACTCCACCCATGTGCACAGTTGATGTTCAAGATGTTTCAGACAACTCTGAATTTCTCACCAAGGAGGCCAGGTGCTTTGGCTCACCCCTGTAATCACAGCACTTTGGGAGGCCAAGGCAGGCAGACCACTTGAGCACAGGAGTTCAAGACCAGCCTGGGCTACATGATGAAACCCCATCTCTACAAAAGACACAAAAATTAGCTGGGTGTGGTGTGCACCTGTAATCTCAGCTACTCAGGGGGCTGAGGTAGGAGCATCAGTTGACCCCAGGGGGTGAAGGCTGCAGTGAGCTGAGATTGTGCCACTGCATGGGTGACACAGTGAGACCCTGTCTCAAAAAAAATTAAAAAAATCTCACCAAAGATGAGAATACCAAGCAACAATGCTCAGTCAAAGAAAGTTTACCTGTTAGTCTTTTTTATGTTTAAATTTTGGCATAAATCTGGAAGCCATAATCAATTGCTGGTAAATTCTGACTCAAACTGTACTGACTCCCTGCACTCAGCTAAGACAGAAAACTATCTTGCCACAGTTTATATAAAATAGTAGATACCTCTATTCCATAGAAATAAAACTCTCTTTAGATACAGTCCCCACCTGATGATATCAGATATATGCCAAGAACCAGTCAGCTACTTCTTTCTTCTGGAAAAAAAAAAGAAAGAAAAAAAATTTTTTTTTCTTTCAGTCTTTGTTGGGCAGATGGGGGTGGGAGGAGAATGAAAAACCAAAGTCCCGGTTCACATCTGGAAGCCAGGCCGCTGAACCAGTTCAGCTCAGATAACTTGTCAACTGGTCACAGTCTATGAGATCAGAAACAATACTTTTCAACTAAAACATTTTTCTCAGGGTAAATTTTCATGACAGTCCACAGATATTGGAGTCAGGTTTGCAGTTGTGGTTAGAAAGAGGAGTAGGAAAGCCGCCTGTCTCTGCTTCTTAGGGTTGTGTGCTAGCAAGTGTCTGGCATTTGGTCTCCGTACACTGATCAATATTAGTGACACCCAGCAGCCTCCTCTTCAGGGAAGAGGTAAGTATTGGGAGGCTCTTGCTCTTTGCAATAGTCTGATAAAAAGCACTGGCTCCCTGCCCCACACCCAGTAATCACAACCTTTCTCCCTGTGCCTCCCAAAAGCAAAGACAGTTCTCAGAACATAGAATGTCCCATTTCAATGAAGCTGTGTAAGAGACTGGGTCTCATTCTGTGCATCCACAATGACCTGGAAACTCAGCATGAAGACACTCACAGGGGTAAAGGAAAATACCTCCCCTCCACTCCCCATAAAACTGCTTATAAAGAAAACAGAAGTAATTATGGAAAAAAAATGCTTAAAAACCTAGAGGGCTCTATTAAAATGAGCCTCACATGGATTCTAGTTTAAGTTTCCAAGATTCGGGCAAGAAATATTCATGTTTAAAATCTTTCTTACCCAAGATACTTGGTATAGCCAGTATAATTGTCCAGAAACCTAAACAACCTCATCTAGGGAACTAGTGGCTTCTTTTTACTTTTAATTTACTGCAAAAACTGCATTAAAATAGCAACAAAGGAAATTAGAAAAGAGAAGTTTTCCCCATTCCCACCATGAACCATGAACTTGCTTTTAATCTCATCATTTTCCTTCCAGTCCTTGTCCATGGGCCAAGGTGATTTTTTTTTTTTTTTTGAGACGGAGTCTTGCTCTGTCACCCAGGCTGGAGTGCAATGGCGCGATCTCGGCTCACTGCAAGCTCCACCTCCTGGGTTCATGCCATTCTCCTGCCTCAGCTTCCCTAGTAGCAGGCGCCCACCACCACGCCTGGCTAATTCTTTGTATTTTTAGTAGAGACGGGGTTTCACTGTGTTAGCCAGGATGGTCTCGATCTCCTGACCTCGTGATCCCCCTGCCTCGGCCTCCCAAAGTGCTGGGATTACAGGTGTGAGCCTGGCCAAGGTGATTTTTACAGAGTAAATAAGTGTCTCCCTAGTCTCATTGTAAAAAAATATTTGCCAAGTAACTTTGAATATATCAAAATCCCATAGTGATCAATCTAGCCACACTCTGAGCCACATCTTCCAGTTAGATCTAAATTAAGCCAATCTTTTTTTTTTTTTTTCTTTGCCTAAAGATTCCTATTTGTGTGAAAGCAAGCCACTCCCAGGCAGATGTGAATAGCACCCAAATACCCAATATGACAGAGCTGGACCATTAACTGCCCATGTAAATCATGCACCATGCCATGCACTATGCCAAGTATCTCCCAATATATGCACCAGCTATATTTGCCCCTCCAGATCCGCTCTTCACCTTTCTCCTCCCTGTTTCATACCCAGGAAGGCTGTCCTGCATGAACTGAGACTTGGGCCCCTTTACCCGCTGGCTGCCAGCTGAGTTCAGCCAACGGGAGGCATCAGCAGGAGACCAGAGGGCAAGAGGAGAATGAGATCAAGATATTTATTCCCGTAGCTTCTTTCCTCCTGGGTCTCAATGGAGTGGATATATTCTTCTGAAGGCCACAGATCCTCAACTCCAACTACAGCTATAGCTCTCAGGGCTCAGTAGCTGCTCACTCCTACAGGCTTTCCACAGTTGCTGCTTCCCGTAACCATACCCACGCCTTTGTGATTAAGCCCTTCCCCTGCTCACCCTCGTGAGCGCACTGTCGAGGCAGAACCACACTCCATGCCAGCTACAAGGTGTTGATTCTTAGATGGCCCAATACTTGACATTATCCCAGATCTGCTCTCCTTCAGTCAGGGGAATAAACCAAGAGTGGACATCTAGAAATCACTTCAACTCAGCTCCCCTAGCATGAAGGCAAAGTACTCTTCTTACCCTGCAAGGTCTTCAGGAAGTGCATGAAACTTGTTCTCTATGGTTTATCTTCTGACTGCTCTATTTACCTGATGCAGAATGAATCATTTCTTCACACCTAAGGATTTTTTTAAGTATCTATTCAGGCTGTTGCCAGAAATGTTGTCCAGTAAATAATCTTTTAAAAAATACTTTCTCTGGTTAGGCGTGGTGGCTCACACCTGTAATCCTAGCACTTTGGTAGGCCAAGGCCAGTGGATTGCCTGAGCTCAGGAGTTCGAGACCAGCCTGGGCAACACAGTGAAACCCCGTCTCTACTAAAATACAAAAAATTAGCTGGGTGTGGTGGCACACGCCTGTAATCCTGCCTGTATCTCAGCTCGGGAGGCTGAGACAGATGAATCACTTGAACCTGGGAGGCAGAGGCTGCAATGAGCTGAGATGGTGCCACTGCACTCCAGCCTGGGTGACAGAGCAAGACTCCATCTCAAAAAAAACAAAAAACAAAACAAAACAAAACAAAAAACCTTTCTTTTTTAAGAAGTCAAGAAATGATTCCTCCAGTAGTCTTTTGGGTATGAAATAAAATATATTAATTTATTATTATTATTTTTGAGATGGAGTCTCACTCTATCACCCAGGCTGGAGTGCAATGGTGCGATCTCAGCTCACTGCAACCTCTGCCTCCCTGGTT
The DNA here is from genome assembly GCF_000001405.40 of Homo sapiens. NCBI lineage: Eukaryota > Metazoa > Chordata > Mammalia > Primates > Hominidae > Homo > Homo sapiens. Next base: position 54,321,956 of record NC_000014.9, read on the forward strand.
CAAGTGATTCTCCTGCCTCAGCCTCCCGAGTAGCTGGGACTTCAGGTGAATGCCACCACGCCTGGCTAATTTTTGTATTTTTAGTGGACACAGGGTTTTGCCATGTTGGCCAGGCTGGCCTTGAACTCCTGACCTCAGGTGATCCAACTGCCTCAGCCTCCCAAAGTGCTGGGATTACAGGAGTAAGCCACCACACCTGGCCTTAACTTCTTATATCATTAGTCCAGGATAGTGGGGTGGAGGGGAGACAGCACGTGATGGAAACAGGCGAATTTGAGGAATTAGACAAGGAGAGGGGAAGAGCCACAGAAAATGTAGGCTGGTGGTAAGCGGCTAACAATACGTGCTGAGAAAAACGCTTCGGCACTCAGGTAGTTCTATTCCTAGAGATGTCAAATGAAATAACTCTAAGCAAGCCACTTAGCATTCCTTTAAGTCAGTAAGATTCTTTTTGGTTCATTCATCTGTAAAACGAGAACAAATTCCACTTATCTGGGATGACGATCAACATCAGAAGATTACACATGTATGGATATCCCTGGAACCACAGCCAGGAAGTCCGACAGGAGGATCTAGCAGTGGAATCTCAACAACCTAATATCTAGCTTCAAATGAAAATATGCCCCTTGTTAGGTAGTATTCCAAATAAATCATTTACAGAGGGAGTATGTTCAGAGCTCCTATTTCTAATAACGTGGGTGGGTTTGTAATGAACAAGATTCCCACCTCTTGCTGTCTGCTTTACTTTCTAAGACAGCCCCTGGGCCTGCACACAATTCCCCCCTCCCTGCCTTTGTTATTTTATCCAGCAATAAAGCCCCGCACCCAGGGCCACACATGGGGCTGAGATGAACATCACAGGCCCAAGCTTTGTGGAAAATGGTCTTTCAGCAGCAGCATCTGGCTTCTTGGCATGCTCCCCCAGCTGTTGCGCTGACAGCTCTGAAGTTGCTTTTTACTCTGTCATATGGTTCGGCTGCTAATGGGCTGTCTCTTCTTGCTTGTCCTCCTCTGGGTCATTTTTCTTTTCAAACTCACATTGAATTCCAAGAAAATTGCACACCATGACTCCCCTGCAGGGAAGGCCCCATCCCTAGTTGTCATGGCATTCAGAGAGAGCTGGGCATCCCACATGGGGTAAGCAGTCCCAATGCTCAAAGGGGAAACAACTAATTATACTGTCTGCTACATTCATTCAAGGAGAAGTCAGCTTATGAACTGGCGATTGGGTAACCTGACAGGCACAGGTGGCAGACTAATGTAAAGCGTTATTTGTCTTGGTGTTTACACAGGACCCATCACCATAGTACCCAGGGCTTACACAGGCACATAATTTTGACACAAAAGGCCACAACTAACTTCTCACAATTGGCAATGCTATTGGATTCCAAGTATTTTCTTCTCTCAGTGTCAGTCTGAATACCCAAATGTGAAATATAGCACGTGTGAGTGGTTTCTGGGGCTCCTAGCTCTCACATCCACAGTCTGTGGAGTCTCTGCATGTGAAATAACTGACCAGACAAGGGCGAGATGTCCAAACAGGAGCCTGGTTTCCTAAAACTCTGAGTGGTGAAGAAACCAGCATGCAGTTGGCTTCCAATCTGACCCTTCTGGAGATACTCAGGGTCCAAATGAGCCCACAATGACCTATAAAAAGAAAAGAAAAATCATGGAACCAACCCAAATGCCCATCAATCAATGAGTGGATAAAGAAACTCTGGTGTACATATATATATATGTGTGTATATATATATATATATATATATATGTGTATATATATATATGTGTATGTATATATATATATGTGTATATATATATATGTGTGTGTATATATATATATGTGTGTATATATATATATGAAGAAATATATGAAGAAATATATATATGAAGAAATATATATATATGAAGAAATATATATATGAAGAAATATATATATGAAGAAATATGTATATATGAAGAAATATGTGTATATATATAGAAATATGTATATATATACACATATATATACATAAACTCTGGTATATATATGTGTGTGTGTGTATATATGTGTGTGTGTGTGTGTGTGTGTGTGTGTATATATATAATGGAATACTACTCAGCCATAAAAAGGGATGAATTAACAGCATTTGCAATGACCTGGATGAGATTAGAGACTATTATTCTAAGTAAAGTCACTCAAGAATGGAAAACCAAACATTGTATGTTCTCACTGATACGTGGGAGCTAAGCCATGAGGACACAAAGGCATAAGAATGATACAATGGACTTTGGGGACTTGGGGGGAAGAGTGGGAGGGGGCGAGGGATAAAAGACTACAAATATGGGCCTGGACAGTGGCTCACACCTGTAATCCCAGCATTTTGGGAGGCCGAGGCAGGTGGATCACCTGAGGTCAGGAGTTCCAGACCAACCTGGCCAACATGGTGAAACCCCATCTCTACTAAAAATTAAAAAAAAAAAAAAATTAGTTGGGCGTGGTGGTGGGTGCCTGTAGTCCTAGCTACTCGAGAGGCTGAGGCAGGAGAATCGCTTGAACCCAGGAGGTGAAGGTTGCAGTGATCCGAGACCATGCCACTGTACTCCAGCCTGGGCAACAGAGTGAGACTCCATCTCAAAACAAAAAAAAAAAGACTAAAACGATGGTGCTGCTTGGGTGATGGGTGCACCAGGTTCTTACAAATTTCTGCTAAAGAACTTATTCATGTAACTAAATACCACCTGTGCCCCAATAACTTATGGAAAAATAAAATTTAAAAAGAAAAGAAATCAGCCAAATGTGCACCTGAATTTCATGGGCCCACAGTCAGGGCTGCTACATACAGTTAAGCAGGCTGAGCACTGCTCAGCTCCAGACAGCACTGTATGCAGAGGCTACGACGCGAAGAGTGCCCCCAATTTTGTGCAACACAGTGGCCCTGCTCTTGGTAAAAAGATAACTAAGGAATGTGGGCAAGGACAAATAATCACAAATTTAAATCCCCCAAATGTAAACAACAGAAAGCTGTAAGGTTATTTTTATAATATAAAATTCAAATCCCTGAAATAAGTGTAAATGAGTTTCTGGAGTGACGAAAGAGAGTTGATGTAATCCTAAAAGGTGGGACCATTTCTGGTAAAGTAAAGCAGAATAAAAAGACAATGGTTTTCTGAGGAAGAAAGAGAAGACAATGTGACATGATAGCAGCAATGCAGAGCCTAAAACAAAATCATAGTAATGAAGAAGTTGGAGATCTCTTCAGGAGGAATTCTAGGGGCATCTAGAGTATTTGATGAGGCTGCTGGAACCTAGCTTTATTTCCGCTCCTTCGTTGTTTCATCTATCACTGTCGTCCAACTCCATTCATGCCTTCAATGAATACATGTTTGAATTCCCCAAGTGAGGGCCTATGGAGAACCTAAATATGAGTAAGACAAGATCCCTGTCTTCAGGAGGTCAAAGTCTAATGGGGCAGTTAAGGCAAGTATATATGAAGGTATGGGGCAGCACGGGACCATTGCCTTACATGGTACAAAGTGCCACTGGCATCCTAAGGAAAGAGAGGTCGCTTCCAACAAGGGTAAGGAGGGAAGTCTTCAGAGAAGAAGTGGCGCTTGAAACTGATCTTAAAAAACTGTTAGGATGTCAGCCGGTGGAGGTGATGGAGAACACATTTCAAGCAATCAGTACCACATGAATAAAGGCACAGATGTCACAAAGCACGTTCAAGGACAGTTTGCTTAGAATAAAAGAACACAAGGGGGGAACTTCATGCAATTTAACACTGGAAAGTTAGGCTGAAGAATACTGTTAAAGACCTTGGATGACAAACTAGAGAGTCCAAACATTCTGAGTCCATAGGAAGAAAGTCATTGTTATTATTCATATTATATTCAACTGAGCAGAGAATGAGGTAATCAGAGCTGAGCTTTAAAAGAGGCTTTATCTGGCAGCAGAGTCCTTATCCATCGGGGACAGTGGAGACTAGTAGCCATGGGACAAAATAGCAGGTGGGAGGCAGCATGGGGCTGAACTGCTGCCATGGCAGTGGGAATGGAAAGTTTGGGTTGGATGCCAACACAGCTAGGTAACCTTCTGGATGTGGCAAGCAAAAAGGAGAAGAGAAAAGAACAAGCTGAGGTCTTAAGTCTGACAGAAGAGAAATGTGGTTACTAACTGGAGTGAGCAGAAGAGACATGATTTTCACTTTCACACATTAAATTTGAGATCTGGTGGACTATCCAGGTGGAGACACTCATCTGGAAGCTGGGATTGTGCTGGAACTGGTATGAGAGGTTGGATTGGAGGAGATGGGTTTTGGGGTCCTGCAGTCCTAAGGTCAAGCCCTGGCTCTACCTCTAGCACATTCTATTTAAGTTATTTGGGGCAAGTTAGTAACCTTGTTAAGTCTCAGTTATCTCATCTACAAAATGGGGATAAGAAAAGTATTAATACCCCCAGCATTGTTGTGAATATTAAATGAAAGAATGGATGTCAGCACAGTGCCTAGAGCACACTATGCCTTCAATAAACAATGCCTATTGTTATTTTTTCTATCAGTCATTCCCTTCATTTCAGTGACTAATCAGTTCTTAATACTGTACCACAGCTGCCCTCCTGCCCTTGTGCCACTTGGGGTCTTTGTGGGGGCTGGGCATGTAGCCCTCCTGCCTTCCTCTGTCCTCTGAAATCTGGGCTACCCTGGGTCTTGTCTGATTCACCCAGCTCATGAGCCCCTAACTCTTCCCTCTGACATGGTCAAGGTTTGATAAATGCCATGTTCCTCAAATGTGCCTTCTGCCACAGATCCTAACCCTGAATTCCCAATCCAGTGCTGCCCACATCCTGCTGTGAAGATCATTTTCTAATCTGAGGTCAAAATGAGGGGAAATGGGCCCATATCTCAGCCAAAAGGGTTTGACTTCAAGTCTTAGACAATGTATTTCTTCACTATAAAAGTTGTAAAACATTGGGATAAAGTTTCGGTTTTACTATCCCCACCTTCGTGCTCCCCATAGCACTTTGTCCATCTCTTTATGACAGAATTTATCACATTATGTTAGAGTTGGTTGTTGATGTGACTGCCTCCCCTGCCGAGCCATGGGCTCCTCCGGGGCAGGGACCAAACCTTATTCATCTTTGTTTCCCGAGCCTGCCATAGGTGTTCAATAAATACTGAAAGAGAGTTAGCAACAGCTTACATCTGTGTAGTTCCTTATGTTTTGCAAAGGCCGCTGAGGGAGATGGTGGAATCTGGCTCTAGAATGCTAAGCTATAATTTTTCTCTTGTTCAACGCACCTTGAGTAAGTGTAGCCATCAAAATAGGAAGAAATAACAGGACCACATGCCAGTTTTAAAAAGCAGCAGTTCCCATACTTCTGGGTTTCAATAATCCGTTTTTTAAAATAAGCTTTAAAAGCTTATTTTGAGGGTAGCAACATGGCGTTCCCAACTACTTATTTTGCCAAATAGATACATTTAAAAAAAAAAATCAACTGCTTCTCTCTTCATTTCACAAAAGGAAGAAGATTTTAAGCCTCCACTCTCCAGAAAAGGATCGACGTAAACATAAACCCAGAATAAACCTTAGCTTTAGGAGAAGCTAGGGCACTGGTCTGTTTTTTCCTCATCTCACCAAGGACAGTGGCCTGGTCCTGGCGTCCTGGCCCATGCTGGGACATCCACAGGTCAAAGCAGTTTATCAGACTGAAGTATTCCTGGGAATCCGAAATTGCTCTGTTACAGTTTTTTACTGTGGTAAAATATACAACATAAAATGTACTAGTCTAACCAATTCTAAATAAAATTTAGTGACACTTAAGTACATTCAAATTGTTTTGCAACCATCATTACCACCTGTCTCCAGAACTTTCTCATCTACCCCAGATGAAACTCTATCCATAAACACCAACTCCCATACCCTATCCCTCAGCCCTGGGAAACTATCATCCTACTTTCTGTTTCCGTGATTTTGGCTACCCCTAGGTACCTTCTATAAGTAGAATCATACAATATTTGTCTTTTTGTGACTGGCTTATTTCGCTTAGCATGAAATTTTCAAAGATCATCTATGTTGTAACTTGTCAGGATTGCCTTCCTTTTTAAGACTAAATTATATTCACGTGTGTGTGTGTGTGCACATGTATACACCACAGTTTGCTTATCCATCCATTGATGAACATGTGAGTTGTTTCCACCTGTTGGCTACGGTGCTCCATTAGAACTTTTATTTTTTTCCCATGACAACCATCTCAGATGTGTAACATAAGCAGATTCTGAATCATCTTGCTAGTGTCTTACAACTGAGCCCAGGTCTGGAATCGCCATGCCTGGCATCTGCTTCTGCCTTCCCTTGGCACGTGCTCCACATGTGACAATCTCAAGGTACTTCACATTTAAACACACTGGTGGAGGAATAAAGTCATCGCAAGGCTCATAGTAACATAGGCATGCAGTGCTCAAAAGAACTTTTTGCTACAACAGTCTGTATTCTGCTTATAGTGTGAGCTAACGTGTTGGGTGGCCCCACCTTTGTACATCACTATCGGCAAAGTACAATAGGAAATAACCAACAAAAAAATTTCTAGACCCAATTCTAATAAGCATTGGATAAAATATTCATTTGATGCAGATTTCAATGCACTTCAATGCTAATCACACCTTCTAGTGCAGAAGACACCTTCCCATCATTAACTGATGCCTCATTCAGATTGACATTGGAAAAACTGATTTCCAGCAAAACTTGGCTTTCATATGAAGCCTGAAATTTCTAAACTAGTAAACAAAGCCCTGAAGTTATTCATCTTTTTCTCATAACTTACTTGCGTGTACAGAAATTTTCTGAACTAGCATCATTGAAGTTAAATCCTTTAATTTAATACAAATTAAACTTAGGGTTCAGCCTCAGATTTGTGCTTCTAGTCTTAGCCAGTGATTTGGGATTTAGCAAAATGATATCATCCACTCTATTTGATGAATATTATTATTTTGAATAGTACTGGTTTTGTAAGCATAAGAAATGTATATCTAAACTTAATGTGCATATATAGTATAATAATAAAAAGGATGTTAGTCAATAGCAGAATGCACAAAGACAATGTTGTCCCTTTAAAAGACGTCCATGCATTTCTCAAGTTGGAGAGGCACTGGTCTCAAGCTCTATCCCTGGAATGCTTCCCCTCATGTAAGAAGCAGTGGGGCAGGTCAAACTAATTAAGTGTTCCTAAAAGCAGAGCTCACCAAATACCGTAGCTGCAGAATAACAACACCAAGAGTCAGCCAGCAGCTTAGAGTGGTGCACCAAGGGGAATGACCCCGGCAGACACCAAATTAAAAGCTCCTATTTCACGTCCTCTAAGTAGCTCTTTCCTTTCAAGCTGCGACCTCTACCGCAGCCATGGAGAATGACATCTTTTCCCTACTCCAGTGGGTAAGCACTCTGTCCTCCAGCTTCTGGGCCAAATTGCAACCAAACAATCTATCAGGCACTCCCATGGGATAGTCAGACATTTGCCCTTCGATCTATAACACAATTTGACCTTTTTTATGCGGAGGTAAACACCACGTGTCACCTCTGAAAACTCAGCCTTGGAATCAAGCACATCTGGAATCAGCCTATAAATGTAGTCCTGAGATTAATGTTGAACAAGAAGGAAGGCTAAGGGTATTCCGCTTCTGATTTCCACTTACTGACAATTCTCACTTAGCAGCAATGTTCGCCTTCCACATGCGGACACCTGAACACTACCCCCCTGTCAAGAACACCACGCTTACACTGGCTGAAAACAAGCTTCAGAACACCTTGGAATACAGTTTAGCTTCCTTTGAATCCCCAGCATGTGCTTTTGCATATCTCTGTCCTCCAAGGGCAGAATCAGAAGTGATGAAGCAAGAGTTCAAAAATGTTCAGCTGCATAGTATTCCCAACGAGGCTCACTCACACAGTTACCTGCACAGCATCCCCAAGGAGGCTCACTCACACGGTTACCTGCACAGCATCCCCAAGGAGGCTCACTCTCACCGTTACCTGCACAGCATCCCCAGCGAGGCTCACTCTCACGGTTACCTGGGGTACATTTTTAAACTCTGTTTTCACTGCTTATCATTATGACCACAAGTTCCAGTGTTTCAGGGTAGGAATTGGTACCATAAATTGAAATCTTAGAAACTCACAAATGCACAGAAAATGTTCAAAGTTGCCATCTTCTCCAGAAAGGTTATACTTCCAAGAAACCAAAAATAGAAAGAGAAGCATGAAAGTGTCTTGTCTTGAGCCTAATTGAAGTAAGTCTACATTTGGAGGAAAAGTAAGTAACGCCATATAAAATCCTCATTGCACAAAAATGATCTCCCTGTTAATATATGGAAATGAGCCTCGCAGATCCAGAGTTCAAAACACAGATTGTCGGCCTAGTGCAGTGGCTCACGCCTGTAATCCCAGCACTTTGGAAGGCCAAGGTGGGTGGATCTTTTGAGCCCAGGAGTTCGAGAACATGGTAAAACCCTGTCTCTACAGAAAATTTTAAAAATTAGTCAGATGTGGTGGTGCCTGTGCTCCCAGCTACTTGGGAGGCTGAGGTGGGAGGATTACTTGAGCCCAGGAGGTCAAGGCTGCAGTGAGCCATGATCACACCATTGCACTCCAGCCTGGGTCACAGAGTGAGACCCTGTCTCAAAAAAAAAAAAAACAAAAAACAAAAAACACACACACACACATCATCTCTAACCCTAGTTATACAACTAACATGTTGCTCAATGGCACTGACTACAGAAGATGCCCTGTTGAGAAGGAGGAAGACTACTTCCCAGTAAGATTGTTTCACATTAAATGTAACGTATTTCATGTCATATGTAAGCACAATTTGGGGGGGTTCCACATTTGCACAAACTGCATTATTTAAATAGTGCCTCTTAGCATCAGCTCATCAGCTCCTGCAGTGTGTGCCAGAATTTAGCAGCACAATGTGATTGTATCACAAACATCCTGGCCCTCCTCACTTTACCTCTGAAACCACTTTTGGTGACTGACCTGCTTTCTTGGAGGCCTTATCAGCCTCTTCTCCCCTTCCGATTGTAGATCTGATCTCCTGCCTGACATTCCTGTGTTTAGACTGTCTGGCCAACGGCACTTCCCTTCGCTGTTTAACAAATAGGTTTCCGCAGCCTGTGGAATTTTTTGTTTGTTTGTTTGTTTTCCACACAAGGCTGAGTGTACCACTTTCTGGGAAGTTTCTAGTTATTTCAGGGAATTCCTAGTTTTGTCAGGGAGTTAAGCTTCCCGTTTTTCTAGGTGAGTGTCCCAAAGTTAACATGTGAGATCAGCTGAATCACAAAAACAATTCTGGCCTTCAAGAAAATTTTGTTTGCCTTTATGTTTGATAAGAGTGAACAGGAAAGAAAATAAAATTCCTCCAAATCCATGCCATTTCTCATGTTCTTGCCCCAACTTCAATCCATCCAAAGTAATGCCAATTCATCACCATTAGGTGTTCCTAATGTACTCTTTTCACTAAAAAAGATTAGAACTTCACTCCTACTTTGGTACCTGTAACTAAGTATAACATAGTAATCCATCTTCCTATTGTAATGTTTTTCTATTTTATTCTTTTCCTTTGGGCTTTCCTCTTACACATAGAATTTAAACACACGAACACATATTCCCGTGCACCTCCGAAATCCAACTTCACTTTATCATCTTCTTCCAAGAAATGGAACACTGTATCCCATAAACAGGACGGGTAAGGGCATATCAGAGCCAACCTTTTCTTTGGCTGCCTTTCAAAAAGTTGTTTAAAACAAGATATGCTCTTGAACTGGAAAAAGGCATTACACAGGATAACCTTAGAAAGCAGCCACTTGCTTTGCCCAACTAATATCACCACACAACCCCATAACTTTGTGTGGAGTGTTGTCTTCAATTACAGGCCAGAAGCACACCAGCAAACGGCTAAATTAAGATGAAATTAATTTCAATGTGAGAAGACCATATTGAAATGTCATGCTGAATATGACTATGGGGAAACACTTGACAAGCGTCTGATCATTATGAAAAGAATAATGCAAAACTCTTAATTCTATAAGATGCATGATTCCAGCTATTGTCAGTTATCTCACCAACTGATTTCCAACAGCAGTATCTACCCTGGGCTTTGCTGGGTTTAATCAATGAATTTTCCAGAGTCACCCACACCATCCCTTCATTCCCCCAGAATAATGACCATATTTTGTGAAATAAATATGGTCATTTCTTTCACAAATTTCAATTTTGATGCAATTGAAACATGTTTTTGTTTCTAGGCAGGGCTAACTAGAACCTTAGCCACTAACACCGTAACACCAGATTTACCTAGCTAAACCAACCAAATCAGATGCCATCCCCTCAACAAGCAAATGCAACAGCCTTTATATTAACAACCTGTTGAAACAGACATGTAAGCAAGCCCAGATGCAAGTCAATAAGCAAAAATATAGACCAGGACTCAATAGAGTTGGTCCACAGATACATAATATCTAATAAAAAGTGACAGCACTTATTAGACAAAAAGAACACATACTTCATTTGCAGTTTACTCCTTCTGTGCTAAGAAAGCTTGTAAAGAATTTTGTGAGCTGAAGTATTTTAAGCTAACTGCAAGGCTGCCAAATGCAGTTTTTGCAGAATTCCTCTACTGAGAGTGTGGTGTCAATGTTACCGTGGAATCCAGAAGGATGGATTCTGTTAACTACTCCTCCAGGTACTCCCACCATCATCAGATGTTAAGATAATGATCAGCACATCTTGTCCTCCAAAGCTTGAGCTCCACCGAAACCAGCACGGAATTTCTATTTCAAGCATGTTCAAATAGAGTCACCAGAAGGGGTTCCCTCGTGGTGGGAAGTAACTGCGGTTTGAGTCTATAGTAAAACTTGACTTGGAAGCATCTCCTTGAGTAAAAGTGGCCCTTCCCGTTACTGTTGCTTCATGCCCTGTTACATCTTTCCTAATTCAGTCATCACCACGGACCCACCCTCCGACCAAAACAAAACCTAGATGGCCTAGGTTCCCATCTGCAATGTGGAGCAATGGTGATCCCTCCCAACTTTCAGGAAGAGCAAAGAGCAGCAGGCTGCCTGTTCCATGACAGCAATTATTTCAATAATAAAGATCCCTATTTTACTTTTACGTGCTTAATCCATGAAACTCAAAATGCACAATGTGCTTGGGATAAATAAATTCTTCCATCATCTTTCGGAGACATCGTATTATCAGTCCTTACAACTGTATGTTCGTATGGAAAAAAAGTGATTTACTTCACGACATAGAATGAATCCATGGGAAAAAAAATAATAATAACTTTAAATCCTTTTACCGTTCTCACCTGTCCTACTTTCAAAGTGTAGAGTTGAATTTAATGGGCAAGCATTTATTCCAATGTTAGCCTCTCCCTATGAGTTTTCTTTAAAAATACCTAACCTAATCAAGCTTTTATCACAATGAAAGAAATACTCAAAGCATGATTTATACACAGAATCAAACCCTAACTCTAAAACTAAAAATTTGTCAAGTAGCTGAAAATTAAATTAAGAATTTTTATTTTTTAAAAAAGACCTGCAAAATTGGTTACCCTAACCTCCCCCCATCCCCCGGCCCTTAGGAAATTCAGTGCCCAATGCTTCCCTATAAATAGTTGTCAATAAACACAACTGCTGCAAATGTATTCAGTAAATGTTAAGGTCAAAGGCCTTCACTGTTTATTGCCTTGTAAACTCAAAGACAAGTGAATTTATTGCTTGAATGAGTTTCAGGGTATTGGCCTTCATAAAAGTTCTGAATCCCAGGTACAAAATGCTCCATCAACTCACACCAAAGCTATTCTGCACAAAACTTAGAGACCGCCCACCACTGGATTCATAATTCAAACACGTCTTGGAAAGTGTATTGTTTGCCATGTTGCATAGATCCCCATGGATTAGTGCTGAATCGTGCCTGTCATTATTACAAGAACCGGCTTCAGCCAAACTATAAATTGTTGTTGCTTCTTAAATAATATCACATATTAGCCTACCAACGTAAACTCTCCAAAATACAATAGATGTCAAGAATGGAAGAGTTTCTAATTTTTTTCTAGCCTTCCCAGAAGGAAAATGTCCAAAAACTCCTTGATATAAAATTTGTCAAATTTAAAAGGAAAGGACAACTTTTATATCAGATCACATAAGAGTGTATGGGCTACTTCAGAAAATTAAATTTTCATATTATTCAAACACTAATTTTTTCAATGTTTCAACATGCCATTTGGCAGCTTTATATATCTGTGTAGCACCCTAGGAAAGCTTGCAAAAGGAGATCATAAGACAATTATTGGATATTGTTACCTTTAAAAATTCCTACAAAAGATTTAGGAAAGAAGTTCAAATTTGTAATTTAAAAATTGGTATATAATTATGTGCACATTTCATTGGTCTTTGTAAATATTTTCTTTACCATATAGATATTTTAAAGTTGAATTAATTTCTATGAATAAAGCCTAACTGTGGGCTCCAGGACTGTTGAGCTTTACCATCTTGATTGTGGACCAAAGCAATGTAATATACAAAGGCTACGGTAGTAATACCAGGAATGCCACATTTACCATGAAGTTCAAAATCAAATACCAAACTCAAACCACTGATGGTAAAAATAAAATTACCTAGACTTCTGATACTCTTTCTGTTGTGATAGCTATGGCTTCCAAGGAGTGTTGCTGAAATCCTCCCTTGTATAAGCCTGAATTAAAATGACATTAAATATCTTTCAACTGTCAAAATGTAGAGAATTTTTACATTTACACATATACTAATCACACTACAAAATGCAGGTTTGGGCTTACTGTTGGCTTAAGTCATTTTTTGACGTTACATGGGGAAAAGTTGAATTTTCCATCTAGTTTATCTCAGGTGAAGTACTAGATTATATCACTTCCATGCTTAACAAATTCCCTTCACCCTAACACATATTAAACTACTCTCCAATTTTCTATGAAGCATGGTCTTAATCAGGAATTCCTTCTCGTATATAAGATCATAATAACATAATTGGAAAATATTAAGGTACATTTTTCCTATTTCTAATCAAATGAGTTCAATGAAAATTAAATATATTAGATGACTTATAAAATATCCTATGCACAAAAGGAATGCATTCTTTAAGAAACATTTTGTAGGAATCTACTCTGCATTACTGAGATAATTAAGACAGGATCCCTGCTCTCAAGGAATTGAGAGACCAGCAGGGTGGGGAGTGTGGTGTGAAAACAAATGACCACAATGTCCTATGACAGCCACAGAGGGACTTCATATAACTGGCAGAGTTTAGAGGTGGCAAGGCAAAGCAGGAGGTGATAACTCTGCCTGTGCCTCCTTTTTCTTTTTTAATTACTAATACCTCATCACCCCATGAAATAGCCACATAATGAATTGACTGAAATCCAAATTATTTTCATGCAAAAAACCTTTCTGTTTACCTAGGACAAGATAGAAATAATAAATATTCATGGTGTTTACAAGTATGGAGTCTCTAAACAAGCTGAAGTGAATCATCTTTTAGAAGAATATAACTTCTGGAAGGTAGCATAAAAATTCTACTCCTTTTATTCTTTAAAATGATGTATACGTTGGGCATTTATTTTAGATATATGAAAACTATGTTCATGCTAAACCTGTACATGAATACTCATAGCAGCTTTATTCATAATAGCCCAAAACTGGAAACAACATAAATGTCTTTCAATGGGTAAATGATTAAACAAACTGTGGTACATTAATACCATGGAATATGACTCAGCAATAAAAAGGAGCAGACTATTGATAGGCATAATAACTGGAATGACTATCCAGGGATTATGCTGAGTCCAAAAACAAAAAAGCTAATCCTGAAAGATTACATAGTGTATGATTTCATTTATAAAACATTTGTGAAGTGACAAAATTTTAGGAATGGAGGACAGATTAGTAGTGGCCAGGGGTTAAGGAAAGGTGAGGGCATGGGCAGGATAGAGGTGGGTGTGGCTATAGAAGAGCAATGTGAAGGATCCTTGCAGTTATGGAACTGTTCAGGGTCTAGAAGTAGTGGTGAAACATGAACACACATGACAAGATTGTACAGAACTAAGCACATGAACACATATGCATGCACATATGCACACACACAGGTGAGCACAAATAAAACCGGGGAAGTCCGAACAAGATCAGTGGATTGTATTATTGTTAATACCCTGGTTATGATATTATACTATAGTTTTTTGCAAAATGCTACCACTGAGGGAAACTGGCAAAGATTATGTGGTATCTCTCTCAATATGATTTGGCTGTGTCCCCACACAAATCTCTAATCGTACTTCCCTTAATTCCCATGTTTCATGGGAGGGACCCCATGGGAGGTAATTGAATCATGACAGTAGGTCTTTCCTGTGCTGTTCTCGTGATAGTGAATACATCTCATGATATCTGATGGTTTTATAAAGGGGAGTCCCCTGCACAAATTCTCTTTGCCAGCCACCATGTAAGACATCTTTTTGTTCTTCCTTCATCTCCCACCATGATTGTGAGGCCTCCCTAGCCATGTGGAACCGTGAACCAATTAAACCTCTTTCCTTTATAAATTACCCAGTCTTGGGTATGTCTCTACTAGCAGCATGAAAATGGACTAATACATCTCTGTACTATTTCTTATAACTGCTTGTAAATCTAAAACTATCTCATTAAAACTTTAATTAAAAATATCTTAAGGCTGGGTGCAGGGACTCATGCCTGTAATCTCAGCACTTCAGGAGGCCAAGGCAGGAGGATCACTTGAGCCCAGGAGTTTGAGAACAGCCTGGGAAACATTTGAGATCATGTCTCCACAAAATATATTTTTTTTAAATATAACTGGGTGTGGTGGTGCATGCCTGTTGGCCCAACTACTTGGGAGGCTAAGGTGGAGGATCACTTGAGCCGTGATCGTGCCACTGCACTCCAGCCTGGGCGACAGTGAGACCCTGCCTTAAAAAAGAGAAAAATTAAAATTTTAAATTAAAAGTTATATGTGTGTGATATATTATTAAATTATATAGGCACAATGTGAGAGACTTCACTAGCATGGTACAATGTTAACATAAAAAGAAGAATGTCAGCTGTGATCCATCTATCTAGTCTTCTCAAAACTCCTAGCTCTGAGCTGGATTAGTCAAGGATAAAAGGACCTACCTTATAGGTCTTACCAACTATGTCTGAATACTGGTATTAATAGTAAGTCTGACTTTGATTTTTTAAGCAGCTTCTGAGGGACTATTCCTCATTCATGAACTTTGCTGGAGGGCAATGAGGAAGGTGAATTTAACTTTCAATCCATATTGATAGCCAGTATAATAGACAAAAGAATCCTCATTAACTAATTCACTACCTGGTACACTGCAGCTTTCAGTTTTTAAAATGACACTAAAACTAAGCCGCTGCAGGATATAAAGGCAACAATTGAACTAAAGTGACCTGCATCTAGAAATATGTTAATTACCTGATGCTGAAAACACGGAAGGGATTAGAGGGATTCCGAAGCGTTTGCTGAAACCTTGCATCGAGCCGAGTCCACGAGGGAGCTGAGCTCCTGACCACATTCTGACACCAGCAAAGGGCCGCTCTCTCTCTTACCCTTAGGCTCTTCAGGATCTAAAGCACTTTTGATAAAGATTGTTCCTATGATCAAGGCATTGATTATGCCTGTGTCTTTCAGCACAGGTAGAAATGTATTTCAGATAAGACAATTCCGCGTTTGAAAAGTGATCCACAGTCTTTCAGGTGAAAGACATCTCTGCAGAAACACTCTTTAGATTAAAGCCCCCTAAGAAGCAGAAAAGCTTTTAACATAGGGAGCCCCTTATTCACCATAAGTCCATGAAAAATGATGCTGTGCTGACCCTTTATTGACAAAACCAAAATGAGGTAAGCTTGTCTATGAACTGAAGGAAGAAAGATGGGACCAAAAAATGCTGTGAATAAAAGCCTATAATTCCAGCCTTCCCACCACAGCCTGTGTCACGAAGGTCCTTTGTTCATACGTAGTGTATACAAAGAAGAGGGAAAGCACAGTTTAAAACCAGAAGTTGATTAATTGGCTTTGGGAGCTTCACTCAACCTGAACTTGTTTCCTGAGCATCAAAATAGAAATCATGATTCCTCCCTTACCAAATTCACAGACTGTTAGGAGAATTCAATGAGAAAATATATTCAAAGGCTTTAAATTTTGAATCCACTGTACAAAGATAAAGGTTACTATTAATAGTCTAAAGGGGAGACGTATATTATTAAAAAATCAAGAGAGTACTCCCTAATTTGCATCCTGAAGTGTGCTTCTAAATCAAAACCCTACCTGAAGATTTGTTGATAAGGAGAAAAAAATGCAGGAAGAATATGTGTTTAATTGTTAAATCAGTTTTCTTTGAGAAAACTCATGATTTACCTAGAATTCTACTGAGTATGGTAGGTGATAGGAGAAAAAAAAAACTAGGATAATCATGAAATAATTTTGTCTAATGAGAGTCAATAGTCAAAGTGAGATTTCTGAAAGAATACCTCTATAATTCGTTGATCAACTGGTCAGTTTTCGTGTGACTGTATGGAAACCCCGCCATTGTTTGTTTGGTTGTTCTGTTGTGTTGTGTTGTGTTTGCATTATGCTGTTAGGTTTCGAGGACTGATGGTCCCATTTCACAAGTGAGAAAGGTGGAGACCAAAGGGAATCAAGGCTCACCAGCTTAGTACATACAGGCTGATTTCACATAATTAAAGTCAACACTCCTGCTTAAAGGAAACACCCGACAAGCAAGGTGCATCCATGAGCAGCCCGTGATCTTTGCCAGATTCTGAAAAGAGGCATATAGAAAAGCGCTTCTTTAGCTCAATAGGATTCCTTGCAAATTCAGGACAAACCTTCAGATCTGCCCAATGTCTTGGATGCACACGGTGGCTAAGCAACACTGCCTTCCAGTGGCAACAACATGTCTTAAGAAATCAAAAACCAGAGTAGGTTATGGTATTTCACCTTGGTAGTGCCTGTTTGTCCTTAAGGTCAAGGAAACACCGAAAGAGTATTTTCAAACCTTCAGTGTAGGCACTAATTTTAAATTTACATATTAATAATCTTTCTTAGCACTTGTTGAAAATGTTCAGAGCACCTTCCTCCCTTTAGTAGATGGTAATCCCACTCAGAGCAATTACGTTATTCAAATAACATCACAGCATAACTCTGTGGACTAAATTGAGTGCAGTAATACTGTATTTCATCATCAAAAGCATCACCAGTAGCCAGTGGTTCTGGATATAACAAAATCAAGCTGATGTCTGGCAAAGTGGTTGTTCAAAGATGTTTATGAACTTAAAGAATGTCCAATTTTTTCCTCACTAAAATCAGTCTACTCATTCCTTTCTCATATTTCTCTTAAATTCTCCAAAACACAGAATTGAAGATATTCAGTCCAGGCACAGCAGCTCACACCCATAATCCCAGCACTTTGGGAGGCCGAGACAGGAGGGTCACTTGAGGCCAGAGTTCAAAACCAGCCTAAGAAACTCTGTCTCTGCAAAAAAAATAATAATAATAATGATAAATAGCCAGTCATGGTGGCATGCACCTGTAGTCCCAGCAACTTGGGAGACTGAGGCAGGAGGATTACTGGAGCCCAGGAGTTTGAGGCTGTAGTGAGCTATGATCACACCACTGCACTGCAGCCTGGGTGAC
Organism: Homo sapiens; assembly: GCF_000001405.40. Lineage (NCBI taxonomy): Eukaryota > Metazoa > Chordata > Mammalia > Primates > Hominidae > Homo > Homo sapiens. Next base: position 54,339,665 of record NC_000014.9, read on the forward strand.
AGAGCAAGATCAAAAAAAAAAAAAAAAAGATAATCTGAGAAAGATTTATTGTGTGGCACTTTTTTAGTCCATGCTAACTAGGAAATGTCATTTCCACTTTGTCTCTTAGCCCAAAAATATCTTCTCTAATTATCCCCCACCCTGAATCCTCCATTCCCGCTGGCCTGTCTGAAACTTCACAGTGAGTTGATGGAATTTGTCCTCGTCTTGTTATCTATGACTTAACTGTCACCTTCCCTGTCTGTCTCATGGCAGGGCTTCTGTGTTTTGGGATCCACATCTTAAGTGCTACCATTATTTAGCTCAGCTCTTCCTGAGCTGCTGTTGCTACATAGATAGCTCCAGAATTTACATTTCTAAGGGGTCTGAGCTAGTTATACCAAAAGGCCTGCCCAGTTGGGGGTAGTCAGAAGAGTGATGCCAACACTGGAAAGATCTCCCATATCTGAGGGTATCACAGCACTCCTTGAAAGTTTTCTCACTGATAATCCCAACATCCTTGAGAAGAACTGAATAGCCTCATCTAGCAACTGGAGGGGGAAACTGAGACATACAGAAGTTTCATAAGTGTCTCAACAGGGGATTGGTCAAAATGCAATAAATCATTTTGCAGCATAAAATGCAACCATTAAAATAATGATTCGGATAAATATTTATTGAGGTAGAAAGATGGCTACAATACCATTAAAGAGACAAAAAAAAAACAGGTCACCAGACTTAATGCACCACGTGATTGTCTAGTAAATGTGTGTGTTTGCACACACTCATGCACAGAAGCACCACTGATCTAAAGCTACCCACATACAATCCCTATTAGTCCTACCAATAGCCATTCAGTTATTCTCAAACAGAAAACAAACAAACAAACAAACAAAAAACCCTAAGTAAACTGAGTTATTGGGTTTTTTTAAATAAAAAAAGCTTTGAAAACAAGTTCTCTAGCCCTAGTGGTGTGCTGGTAAATGTTTCACAACTAGTTCGCTAGGGAAAAAAGCTCTGATTTGTAGCTTCTGCCAACTTCTATACTGTAAACACCCTCAACAGGATTAATTTCAAACTCCCAAATTGATGTTACCAAACATAGTGTTGGGAAGAGATGCTCACAATAGGCTCAACTACCCTTGAATGTGGGCCAGCTTCAGTGACCCACTGCCTTGCTCCCACATTCAAACAAAGCATAATGTTGTAGGCCCCTCTTACATAAAATATACCACAGAATACTGTATATGTTTTAGGTGGCTTTTCTTTTTTATTGTCAATCTGTATTTTCTACCTCTTCAAAAAAGACTGTATGTTTTCTGTTTACTTAAATTTAAAAAGAAACTGTTTCTTTTATTACCTTGAGGTGGAGAAGGTCATTGTAACTATGACACAAAACCCAGAAGCCATAGATAAATTCGATAAATTCAACTACATAAAACTAAAGCCTTTTACATGGTGAAAAAGCCTTTAAAAGCAAAGTGAAAACAAATGACAAACTGCAAAAAAAAAAAAAAAAAGTGCAACCTGTTTTTCAGAAACACCATCTACTCTCACCAACATATAATCACTTTGCAACTGACAACCTGATAGACAAATAAGCAAGTATTTGAATAGACATTCAAAAAGAAAGCAAAAAAGAGATGATTCTTAAAGAATAGGTCCCCCATTCCCATAAAAGGAAAAATGCTATGTAAAATTTACATGGAGATGCCATTTGTTTAACCTCTCAGATTGGTAAAGATTCAGAAATTTTGAATGCACATTCTGCGAGTTAGGGCTGTGTTGGGAGTTTAAATTGGGACAAACTCCATGGAGAGTGTGGCCATCTGAATAATGACCCCACAAAGATGTCCACATGCTACTCCCTGTAACCTGTGACTATATTACCTTACATGGCAAAAGGAACTTTGCATAAGTGATTAAAGTTGCAGATCTAAAAATGGAGAGTGTGTCCTGGATTATCCAGGTGAGCCCAATATCATCATAATGCTCTTTACAAAAGTGGGGCAGGAGTGTCAGAGCCAGCAGAGCTGTGATAACAGAAGCAGTGGCCAGAGAAAGAGAGATTTGCAGATGCCACACAGCCAGCCTTAAAGATGGAGGAAGAGATCGCAAGCCAAGGAATGCAGGTAGCTTCAAGAATCTGGAAAAGGCAAGGAAATGGATTCTCCCCTAGAGCCTCCAGAAGGAGCACAGCCCTGCCACATCTTGGTTTGAGGACTTTAGGCCTCCAGAATTGTAAGATAATAATTTTGTGCTGTTTAAAACCACTGCATTTGTGGTAATTTGTTGTAGCAGCTATGGGAAACTAACATGGAGAACAACTTGGCAAACTACAAATGTATGCATGTACTCTGGCCCAACAGCTCCGTATCTAGGAATTTAACCTAAGGCATTCACATAAATACAAATAATGCATGTACTGCATTGCTGTGTGTAACAGCAAACAATTGGAATCCACATAAATGTTCATCAAAAGGAAGCTGATTAAATGATGGGGCTGGGCACAGTGGCCCATACCTATAATCCCAGCACTTTGGGAGGCCAAGGTGGGCAGATTGCTTGAGCCCAGGAGTTCAAGACCAGCCTGGCCAACATAGCAAAACCTCACCTCTACAAAAAATACAAAAATTAGCCAGGGGTGGTGGCACATGCCAGTAGTCCCCGCTACTGGGGAGGCTGAGGTGGGAGGATTACCTGAGCCTAGAAAGTCGAGGCTACAGTGAGCTGAGATCACGCCACTGCATTCCAGCCTGGGTGATAGAGCCAGACCCTGTCTCAAATAAATAAATAAATAATGATATGACCACACAATGCAGCCATTAAAAAAATAATAAGTTTTTTATGCTGTGGTATGAGAAGATCTCCAAGATATTGGAGGTGAAGAAAAGAAGACGCTTTTACTGCAATGAGCACAGTGGGTCCAATATGCTGACAGCTGTGTAGAAATCGGGAAGAGGGAGGATATATACTTATTTGTGTATCTATGCATAAATATCTCTAGAAGGAAAAATAAGAAACTAATAGTATGTGTTGCCTACAAGAGAAGGAACTGGATGGCTGAACAAGAAAAGGGAAAGGGAGACTTCTTACTGTATACCTTTCATGTTTTATTGAAATCTCTGTAAGTAATATGAATAGATTACCCATTCAAAAATGTAAATAAAAACAAAAAGATTACAAACTAAACAAGAAAGAGATTATGTAACTTGGCCACCCACCCAGCCAGTAAAGACACCATGATCACCAGTGGGCCTTTACAGAACCTTTCATTGTTTTTGAGGTTGGCTGTGCCATGAATTCCAATCATCTAGAACCACAGGAGTGAATGCAGGGTGTGGCCTAAGGAGCAGGGTGAGAGCGCGATGTGGTAGTCTGATGGGATGTGGATGAAGGTCTGTGGTTAGCTAAAGCAGAGTTAACCTTACATTGTCTCTAAGTCAGGGCAGGAATTCTTCCTAAGTCCCTTCCGAGACCCTGTCCAGCCACAGAAACTCTATGAGCTGGGTTGCCAGATTCAAAAATGAAACTACAGGATGACCAGTTACATTTGAATTCCAGATAAACAAAAATAATTTGAAAGCATTTGCTGTTTATCTGAAATTCAAATATAACTGGGCATCCTGTATTTTATTCAGCACCTCTACGTGTAAGGAGCCCCATGGCCTGGGGAGAGAGGCAGTGCAGCACACGAAGGCCAGCATGCAAGGCCAATGGGTCACAGCCTCCATGTCACAGCTACCGAAACTGTCCCTTACAGAGACTCTGAACACGTCCTTCTGACAGGTAGGAATAGAGAGAGGAGGGCTGCGTGGTAAAGTCACCGGCCGACAACAAAGTTACAGGGCTCCAAGTTAAAGTCAGTCTCTCAGCTCATTTCTGGCCCTGGAGCTTCTCCTGAAGGTGCTGTACGGAATGCTCTAGAAGAAGTTTGGAATGGGGGTGGGGCATGTCAGGCAACCCAGAGAAATGTTCTCCCAGCCCAGGTAATAAACGTACCCCTTTCCCCAAAGTACCGTTAAAGATGTTTAAAAAAAAATCTTAAAGAAAAAAAAAAAAAACCCTTTAAGCTGACCTCCTGCCAAAGTACACATCAATTATACAGCTTCAGTCAGGCGGATGCTCGAGGAAAGGGGATCATGTTACACCCAGCTGGGCACTTTGTAGTTAGCACAAATGTAATATAAAGCGCAGCAGAGTTCATCAAGTGTCTGTCTGGATTTTCAGTTTTCATTAGTGCTATAATTAAAACCACATTTTCAGCTCTATTACCTGTAACAAGAAAGGAATGAGAAATGAGCTTGTCAAGGTCAGGCTTTTCCAGCTATTTATACTGAGGATCTGCAGGCCACAAGTTGTTGCATTTGGTGTAAACCAGAGCGACCGGCCAAATGTCGCACTCCAATCCATCCTGTGTGGCTTGAAAGGCACGCTCATGAGGTCATTTCCTTTGAGTGGCCACTGGGTCGCAGATGTCCACACGGCACCAAGGACCGGGAAAGATGGGTGATCAGGTAAATCCACCCTGGGCCATGGAGGGGTTTTCTCTCCCATTATGATCAAATTGGTTTCACCTCCTACAACAGCCCCCAAAGGCAGTTCTCAGACACTCGTGTTGAGGGCAGAAATCCTAAAGTCTAAAGACCATCCCCTTCCAACCTTGATGTGAGGTTGTGCAGGAGAGGGCTGGATGGGAAGGTACATTTTAAACCTCCCCTGTTCAACAACACACACACACACACACACACACACACACACACACACACACACACTTCACAGTCCTCACTCTAGGCCGCAGATCCTTTCAGCCTGAACTTCCAGGCAGATATAGAACCCAGCCACTTCTCCCCAACACGCTGGTCCCTGGTACCACCATCTCTCCCCTGGATTCCAGGAAGAGTCTCCCTGATTCTGCCCGGCTCTCCCCTCCACCCTCCCACACACACCCCACCGTCTGTCCCAGCAGAGCAGCCAGACCGTGTCACTCCTCCACACAAACCCCTCCACTGGCTTCCGGATCTCTCAGATTAGAAGCCAGGCCTCACAGTGGTGCTGGGGCCCCACTCCCTCTGGCCTCCTATTGGTCCTGGTCTTCTCTCACTGCACTTCCCCCCATGCTCCTCCTCCCCACTCTGTCCCAGGCCGTCTGGCCTCTGGGGTCCTCAGACACAGCAGCCACAGTCCTTCCTCAGAGGCTTTGCACTTGCTGTGCCGTCTGCCCGGAGTTCCCTTCCTCCTGTTATCCTCATGACTTGCTCTTCACTCAAAAGGCACCTTTTATACAGGGAGGCCTTCCCTGACCACCCTACATCACAGTACAAGCCACCAGCACCCCTAACCCCTACCCCCCTTAACCCCCACCCCACTGACCACGGCATTCCCCATTTCCTCTCTCACCTTTATTTTTCCTCATGGCACTTATCACTATCTGGTCTACAACATACTACTTTACTTCTTTATTTTCTTTAGATGTCTGTCTCTTCTCACTCCCAGAATGTAAATTTCTTGAGGACAGAGATTTTTGTCTGTTCACTGCTGTATCCCCACTACTTAGAAGAGCCCTGGCATGTAATAAACAGTCAGCAGGTATTTGTTGAATGGATGAATACAATCCAGAGACGGCTCAAGCTAGCACCAAGTGGGCCTTCTGTGGGTGAATAATCACTTACTCCCTGAGATCCACCCAGTGAGAAAGTGCAAAGACCATCTGCTCTTCTACCCACCAACCCAAAGGTGGGTCTCTGACAAGTGCTTGGTCTCCGGGCAAACTCAAGATGGCTGAGACACATCTTTCTCCACCAGAACCACCCTTGGAGAGCCGACTGGTCATCCCTTACAGTAGATGAGATCCAGACTCCCCTCACCTTGTAGGAGGTAGAATGCCCTCCCAACAACACTGCCCTCCTTGCCTTCCAGCCTAGATCCTAGGTGAACTGGACCTGAGCACTGAGTACCTCACCTTGATGGTTATATCAACTTGGCTGGGCCACAGAGCCCAGATATGTGGTCAAACATTATTCTGGATGTTTCTGTGAAAGTGGTTTTGGATGAGATTTACATTAAATGAGTGGACTTTGAGTAAAGCAGAATGCCCTCCATAATATGGGTGGGCCTCATTCAATCAGCTGAAGGCCTAAATGGAACAAAAGACTGACCTTTCCTGAGCAAGTATAAATCCTGCAGCAGACAGCCTTCAGACTTGAACCACAGCACTGGCTCTTCCCAGGTTATCTAGCCTACTGGTCCACCCTGTAAATTTGGGACTTCCAGCTTCTGTAATCACATAAGCCAATTCTTCAAAAATCAATCTCTTTAAATATATATACACATATATATACACACATATATATACATATATATGAATATATATACATATATACACATATATACATATATACACACACATATACATATATACACATATATACATATATACACATATATATACATATATATACACATATATATATATACATATATATACACATATATATATAAAACATATCATGTATTAGTTATATTTCTCCAGAGAACTCTGACTAATACACATGGCTAAGCTGTTGAGATGTAGTTCTCCTGGGAGTCAACCCTCCTGCAGGAAACCAAGTTCTTCCAAGGGCCATCTGCTCTGGAAGCATGAGCTTCCATCTCATGCCTCTTCCTTTCATCCATGCGCAAAGACTTATACAGCCCCCTGGCATTCCCAGGACACCTTGCTGGTCACTTCCCAAACTAAAGGGCAGAAAAGAATCCCATATAACAAAAACTGTTGCTCAGCTGCTATACTAGGAACTCAAGGAAACATTTCTTTGTCTATGATGTCATCGTAAACAATCTTACCAGGAGCAATAATATTCATATGCCGCATGCAAACATCACACCGTCACTTCGTGCTAACACTTGACTGAAGTCTGAGAGGCTGAAGAAAGAGCAGAATAGTTAAGAGCATGAGCCCTGGAGGTCTAACTGCTGGGACTCCAGTCTCCACTCTGCCACAAACTAGCTGAGTAAAATGTGCCAATTCCCTTAACCTCAATTCTCTCATCTTTAAAATGGGATGCAATAATTATACCTATTTCACAGGACTGTAATAAAACCAAGTGGAAAAAATACAAGTGAAGCACATATCCCTGTGCCTGACATACGGCCCATGCTCTGTAAAGGTTACTGGTATTTATTGCTGCAGCAAGAAGCCCAGGCCTTAAAGAGTCTTCTACAAATGCACGCAGTACTCTGAAGAAGGTGATTAAATCAGTTATGACTCTGTGGGTTGCAAGTGAAAAGCAGAAAATCCTTCAAAAGATATAGAGCCCTCAAGAACTCTTGGAGGGCATGCTACCACAGACGAGTCTCTTCCACAGTAGCCCCAGAAGTGGTTGCACCACCACATAGATTGGATCCTATGGTGAAAGGCTGGGCTCACTTTAAGGCTGGGCAGACTGAATTGTGAAGAAACTCTGCGACTTATTCATAGATTGTGAGAATAAATGGTAAACAAGTAAATGAGCAAATACATCCATGCCAGGAAGGAAACAAACAGGGTGCTTTAACATTTAAAAAGAAGTGGGTGTGTCATACCCAGCACAGGCAATTCCATACAGACAAGACGGTAGATGAGTGGATGCCAGAGGCTGGGAGGAATGCGAGGTGGGCCGTGACTTCTTCATGGTATGAGGTTTCTTTTGGGGACAATGGAAATGTTCTGAAGTTAGATAGTGGTGATGGCCGTATAATATTGTGAATATACCGAAAACCATTGAATCGTACACTTTTAAATGGTGAATGTGGTGTTTTGTGAAATCTTATGTGAATTATATCACAATTAAATTTTTAATTAAAAAAGAAAAGCTGGCTGGGGCCGGGCCTATTTTAGATGAGGTAGTCAAAAAAGTTCCCTCCAAGGGGTTTCTATGACCAGAGGACTGAGAAATGGGAAGGAGCCAGCCTTTGGAAGATGCACGGAAGAGCTCACTGTGCAGATGGAAGAGCAAATGCAGATGCCACAGAGTGTGCCCCGCTTGGCAAGGTCCATGTGCTGTCCCAGATTCGGCCCCTGGGAAGGAAGAGAGAAAGAGAGCTTGAAGTGTAGGAAGAAGCTATATCCTAGAAGGCCTTGGTAGGGCACAGTAAGAAGTGGGGAGTTCATGCTAAATGAAATTGAAACCCACAGAAGGCTTTTCCGCAAAGGAGTGCCCACCCCACTTGCCATTTTTGGAAGATCGCTCCCAGCTCCCAGCACGCAAAGCACCCATTACCAAGTGGCAGGACCAACACAAGGTATGAGACATTGATGAGATTCATTCTCATTAGTTGGAAGCTTCTGCACTTTCAACAAAACTGTAACCAGGGGCTACGAATTAGATGATGAGCTTATTCTTAAGAAGACATGTTATAAAAGGTAATATGAAACAATATGGATTTCTTGTCTATTCCAAAAGGCACCTTCTCTCTTTCCCCATAAAATACTTGGTAATAAAAGGATACTCTGTCACCTCCCAGCTTCCTGGAGTGACAATGGCAATGCTGTCATTATTAAGTCAAGAGCGCCCTCTACAGTTATGAGTCTAGATTACAGCTTACTATTAGCCTCGAACAATGTCTACTTTTGTGAAAAATTACCATCCCCTCAGCTCATGCCATCCATGATAAGCTAGTCCCACCAACTCTTTCCTGAAAACTGAAGGAAAATATTCAAAGGAAGTGACATTGGCAGCTTTCTTGGATGACTGAAATGTCAACACAAATGTGTCGGCTCTTTGGAGTAACAGTCTCCATAGGCCAAAAGGAGGATGGTCGGGTGTATGTGTGTGTGTACAATATACATCTATCTACTCACTGCTAATCAATATTTGATCTCATTATGTAACTGGAAAAAGAGAACATGTGTTTGATCACTTTGTGATTATCAAAATACTTGATATCAAGTCGGTGAAAAGTACTTCAAAAATGTAGAAGTTTATTATCTTGCCATAAAATAATAGAACAAAGAGGCAAGGGACTGGCTTCCATTGGCCCAGTGACAGCAGCAGGAGGCTAGGAGAAGCTCAACCAACAGCTGAGCAGTAGTATGGACGGGTTGAAAAAGCAATTGATATTTGGGAGGAAGGCTTTGACCAAAAAAGTGGGGAGATGGATGGAACCATGAAAATCGCATGAAAAAGTGCGAGAAGCTTTTTTAAAAATTCCCCAGGAGAGGGATTTTAAAAAGAATACCCAGAGAGAGGCGCCTGTGAGCAGCTGGAGAGGACAGGGAGGACTATTTGTCTAGGAAATTAGAGCTGTTAGGCAGAGCTGAACTGCCTAGAGAATGGGAAATCATAATTTGTGAAACGCTTTTATTGCACCCCGCCATGGTGGATTCCTTGTCCCAAATATTCTTACGCAAAATTTATTCGGGAAGGAGAAAGAAAGGGCATGCGAGTTCAGAACCTGTCTCACGCCTCTAAAACTTCCAGGCCACCTTCAGTACAAAGAATGGGGGGAATGTCCGGGCGAGCCACGGGAGGCGTTGGGGAGAGGGGAAAACGGATTCCTTCCTGCCGTTCTGCTTCCACTGATTAATACAGCCATTAAAAAATGAAATCTGTTCCTTAGACAAAATATGGTGAAACATTCCTGCGCGCTCCATCCTTGAAACAGATTTCAGTATTGGCCTGTCTTCTCAGTGTTTGTTTTGGTTCCTTCAGCCCACGCTGGAGTCCATGGGTTTTTTCCTTCACTCATCATCTCGCCTCCTGCTGCTTCAGCCGAGAATGAAGTAATAATTCAGCAAGCTGTTCAGGACTTCCCATCAGCCCAACTGCACCGCGCCGTGTTTTGAGGGCTCAGGCATCCTTGAACTCCACGGCAGAGCAAGCCGCGGGAAGGAACTCACTCATGTTGGCTCCCTTGCCTCAATTAAGGCAGTTTAGGAAGCAAAGTGAGAGAAGCACTTTAAAAAGCACAAGAATATCTCCTCGTGGGTCCTCACTTGCATGTTCTTACGAAGCCGGATTGTTCGTAGCCTACTCTGCAATTTCAGAGTGGTGAGTGGCTCCAAAGCAGCTTACAAGGAAACATAACTGTCACAGAGGCTAAGAGATTGCTTAAAAATAAATTACTGATTCTCTTTTCCTGAGAGCAACCTGCTGTGACCTTTGGAAGGCTTCTTTTGGGTCTTCAATTTTGCATCTGCCTGAGCTAAAAGGGATTGCCAGAGTCCCACTGTTTGGTTTATGACCCAGCTCATCCCTGTCCCTTGGAGGACGTGAGGACATGAGCCTGGCATTAGTGCACACTGTAAATGTGTTTGTGCCCAGAACTCTCTAGAATAGAAAGGTTTCCAAGTACTTCACTATAATGACTTAGTCACAAATGAATTTTAATATGCTAGAAGAACATGAGTATTTTGGATGAAAAGCCAATCTTTTCGTCCCCCCTTTTAAAATAGAAAGAAGCATAGCATCTGAGCTCTGTGGAAGGGACCATCCAAAACTAATGAAATACCATCTTAACGTAAGCACCTAAAGCAAGCATGTGTGCGCCATGGGGGCCTCAGTCCTGGTGGTTTCCTGGAGAAGATTTCACATGAGAGAGAAAAAGCTTCTCTGTTCCCTGATGCAGTGTGGATATTTTTAAATGGACTTTATGCGTTTTTTGTTTATTTGGTTTGGTGCTGAAAAATTAGACAAGGCACTCAGCTCTCTTCACATGACTAAAGTTTGAACTTGTGCATAATGAGTGCAAAATAGTGTCTGAAAATAGCAAAGAACAGAAGAGTAAGATGATCAGCGGGAAGGGAGGCAGCACGTCATAGGGAAGGCAGCCAGTACTCTGAAAAGCAATCCAACAAATAATTAACTGGTTGAAAGCCAAGAGGACAGTATGATAACAGACACTGATAGACACTAATTATAAGTGCAGTACTGTGAAACATGAAGAAATGATATGGTTAACAATCCTAAAAATGTTACAATGGGCAATGTAAGATGAGCAAGGAAGCTACAAGGAACACTCTATCGTGTTATATTTTGGCTGCTAATTTCTAGCAATAACACATTTATAATGATATGCTATTAACAAATTGACCAATACATCTTTTTTTTTTTTTTTTTTTTTTGGAGACAGGGTCTCGCTCTGTCGTCCAGGCTGGAGTGCAGTGGCACAATTTTGGCTCACTGCAAGCTCCGCCTCCCGGGTTCACGCCATTCTCCTGCCTCAGCCTCCCGTGTAGCTGGGACTACAGGTGCCTGCCACCACGCCCAGCTAAATTTTTGTATTTTCAGTAGAGACACCGTTTCACCGTGTTAGCCAGGATGGTCTTGATCTCCTGACCCCGTGATCCACCCACCTTGGCCTCCCAAAGTGCTAGGATTACAGGCGTGAGCCACTGTGCCCGGCCGACCAATACATCTTTTGAACCACTGAAAAGGTTGGCTGAACAGAAAAGTATTTTTGCATGTAATATATATGGAAAGGAAAGAGAGAGTGTCAGATTATAGGAAGAGTTACACTGAGTCAAGCCCATCAAGGTACAAGGTTGAAGGTAAGATCCCAGGTGAAAGCCAGGCACGGTGGCTCATGCTTGTAATCCCAGCACTTTGGGAGGCTGAGACAGGATCACTTGAGCCCAGCAGTTCAAAACCAGCCTGGGCAACCTAGTGAGACCTTGTCTCTACAAAAACTAAACAAAATTAGCCAGCAATGGTAGCTCTCACCTGTGGTCCTAGCTACTCAGGAGGCTGAAGTGGGAGGATCACTTCAGCCGGGCAGGTCAAGGCTGCAGTGAGCTGTGATCATGTCACTGTACTCTGTCTCAAAAAAAAAAAATAAAAGTGTTCCTACTTCTCCACATCCTCTCCAGCACCTGTTGTTTCCTGACTTTTTAATGATTGCCATTCTAACTGGTGTGAGATGGTATCTCATTGTGGTTTTGATTTGCATTTCTCTGATGGCCAGTGATGATGAGCATTTTTTCATGTGTTTTTTGGCTGCATAACTGTCTTCTTTTGAGAAGTGTCTGTTCATGTCCTTTGCCCACTTTTTGATGGGGTTTGTTTTTTTCTTGTAAATTTGTTTGAGTTCATTGTAGATTCTGGATATTAGCCCTTTGTCAGATGAGTAGGTTGCAAAAATTTTCTCCCATTTTGTGGGTTGCCTGTTCACTCTGATGGTAGTTTCTTTTGCTGTGCAGAAGCTCTTTAGTTCAATTAGATCCCATTTGTCAATTTTGGCTTTTGTTGCCATTGCTTTTGGTGTTTTAGACATGAAGTCCTTGCCTGTGCCTATGTCCTGAATGGTAATGCCTAGGTTTTCTTCTAGGGTTTTTATGATTTTAGGTCTAACGTTTAAGTCTTTAATCCATCTTGAATTGATTTTTGTATAAGGTGTAAGGAAGGGATACAGTTTCAGCTTTCTACATATGGCTAGCCAGCTTTCCTAGCACCATTTATTAAATAGGGAATCCTTTCCCCATTGCTTGTTTTTCTCAGCTTTGTCAAAGATCAGACAGTTGTAGACACGCGGCATTATTTCTGAGGGCTCTGTTCTGTCCCGTTGATCTATATCTCTGTTTTGGTACCAGTACCATGCTGTTTTGGTTACTGTACACATGGACACAGGAGGGGGAACATCACACTCCGGGGACTGTTGTGGGGTGGGGGGAGAGGGGAGGGATAGCATTGGGAGATACATCTAATGCTAGATCACGAGTTAGTGGGTGCAGCGCACCAGCATGTCAATGTATACATATGTAACTAACCTGTACATTGTGCACATGTACCCTAAAACTTAAAGTATAATAAAAAAAAATTAATAAAAGATCCCAGGTTACTCCCCAGATGCAAAGACCCTATAAAGCCTTCCTAAAATAACCAGTCTTATCATCTCAATTGGCTGATGCTTAACGTGCAGTCAACAATTTTTTTTTTTTTTTTTTTTTTTTTTAAGAGACTGAGTCTCGCTTTGTTGCCAGGCTGGAGTGCAGTGGCATGATCTCGGCTCACTGCAACCTCCACCTCCCAGGTTCAATTGATTCTCCTGCCTCAGCCTCCCAAGTAGCTGGGACTACAGGTGCGTGCCACCATGCCTGGCTAATTTTTCTATTTTTAGTAGCAACGGGGTTTCACCATGTTAGCCAGGATGGGCTCCATCTCCTGACCTCATGATCTGCCTGCCTCAGCCTCCCAAAGTGCTGGGATTACAGGCATGAGCCACCGCGCCTGGCCGCAGTCAACACTTATTTCATCTTTAGCTTTATTGGCAACATTAGGGACTGTCAAAAGTTTGAATATGTCTTAAATTGAAAGCTCCAAAGGGCAGGAAGTCTGACTTCCTGGTTCACTTGTCAATACCACAGAACTACCATAGGTAAGTTTTTCCAACAATGTATTTTCTGTCACTTTTTGTTTTTCAGTTTGTTTGTTCGTGGTATGTAGGTATGCATTTTGCAGACAATGAGAGCAAACATTTACTGAATGCTTGCTGTGTGCCAGGCACCATCCTAAATTCTGTGCACACATTACCTTATTTAACCCTCACAGTAACCTTCATGGGGAGGTACTATGACCACCTCCCTCTTTGCCAGCTGAAACGACTGAGGCACACAGAGGCTAGTAAGTCTGCCACTCCTCATCTCTATCAAGTTCCAATTCCAACTGCTGGCAGAAATTACACTCCTAGCTAACTCCAGGTACGTTAGCAGTTTCAAATTTAAAAACAGTTCAGCATTTCCTCCTCCTCCTCCTCTTCTCAAGGTCGTTTCTAAGCTCTTGGGGACTTGTGTAGCACTGTGACACCCGGAAAAGGCATCTCCTCCCTTGTGGCCATCATCTGCCTTACACTGGCAACTGCTGAGATGTTCTGCTCAGTTTGGTCCTCAGATCTGATGACCCTCCAGAGCCAGCATGTGCTGGGGGAGCTGAATTCCTATCTCGTCTCCAGCCACAAAGTGAGCACTCAAAATGCTGGTCTTTCTACCAAGGGACACCTTCAGGCCCACCTGCCCTCACGCTTCCTCTTGGCTAATTCGCAAGCCCTTCTTGAGTGATATGAAACTGTGCTCTTCCAAGGGCAGGAAACCAGGTAGGTTGTTGGCTGTGTTGATACCTACGCTCCTTGTCTTTACTTGTATGAGGCATCCCACCAGTGTGGGAGGGAAGCCCCAGAGCATGGCATGCTGTCCCAGAACTCATCCTGGACATCATCTCAAGCTCCCTCTGCCCTTGTGTGCCCATGTGGATCTCAATGTCCCAGTGTTACACAGTTTGTTACCTCTTGGCTTTCAGCCAAAGCACCACAATGTAGCAGTCTCTTTGTGAGGTATCACCCAGAGTTCTTTGTCTCACAACCAAGAAAATTAAGGAGTGTGGACACAAAGGGCGAGGTTGGAGTGCAAGTTTAATAAGTGAAAGAAGAGAGGGCCCAAAAGAGGTGTTGCCATGGAAAGAGGGCCCAAAAGAGGAGTTGCCGTTTTTACAGTTGAATCCAAAAGCTTTTATGAGAAACTCTCCTCATCTCTGCAGCTGTTTGTGTAACTTCCCTTATCTGTGGAGCTGTCTGTGTAACTCTCCTAATCTTTGCAGCTGTGGGCATGTCTTTTTAGGAAAGCACAAAGTGCAGCTTCTCTTGTTTGTGCAACTGTGGGTATGTTTGGGTAAGGCCCCACCCCCTCCCCATGCAAGTTCCCATGGAGCCTCCCATGTACATACCTGAAAAGGGGAAGAAACTTTTTCCTGGGAGCCTGCTGATTACACCAAGAACAAAGGCTGCTGTGTTGGGTCTTGCTTTCTTATCTGTGCAGCTGCAGCCTGAGTTTTCCCCAGGCTGCTGTTTGTGCCTATAGCTTTGATTTTTCAGGCTGTTTCTCTGTTTGAAGGAGTTTTACCAAGGACCCATCTTTAGCTGTCTGCCCAACTCATTTTTCCTTTTCTCCCTCACCAGCACACTGCTCCTTCCCCAGCGCTGCTCTCTAGGATGGGTGTGAGTAGCAGAAGGTTCTGCTTTCTCAGAGATCACTTACTCCTGCCTCTATCTCACCTCTCCAGCCCACAGTTTTCTTCTTCTCTTCTGTGTCTTATGGGGGAAAAATAATCCCGACTCCTAAAGTGTTCTTCACAAATCTTGCTTATACCCATGAAATGGCTTTGGAATTTAAAATGAAGATTCAGAAGTTGTGTTCACCGATTTCACACCAAAGATCTTTCCTTAAAGTGATGGTGACTAACATTGAGTGTTCAGGCTTAGGGCAAGGCGTCAATGTAAAAATGAGTAAATTTGATAAAGCATAGAGCAGGAGGGTACACATAAGTTATAAGTCCACAATATCATGCCACCACAAAACCATGAGAAAAAAAAGTTTAGTAAATGATAGGGAAGGTATCCACACACTCTAAAAGCACAGATCAAAACATCTCATTGGATTCAAAAGCTGATAGATGATATAATTGCATTTTATATGACACTCTTGCAAAGGCAAAATTATAGGGACAAAAAATATAGATTATATACATACAGTGGAATATTATTCAGCCATGAAAAAGAATGAAGTACTGATGCTTGCTACAATGTGGATGAACCTTGAAAACATTATGCTAAGTTAAAGCCAGATACAAAAGGTCATATATGATTCCATCTGTATAAAATATCCAGACTAGATAATCCACAGAGACAGAATACAGATTGATAGTTACCAGGGACTGGGGAGCAAGAAAGAGGGAGATAACTGTAAGGAATTTTACTTTGAAGTTATGGAAATGTTTTCAAACTAGACAGGGGTAGTGTTGCACAACATTGTGAATGTATTAAATGTCACAGAATTGTTCACTTTAAAATGGTTAGTTTTATGTTATATGAGTTTCACTTCAGTAAATTATTTTTTTTAAATCAGTGGTAGCCAGGGGTTGGGAAGAGACTTGACTATAAAGGGGCACAGGACTACTTTGGAAGATGATGGAATTATTCTGTATCTTGATTGTGGCAGTAGTTACACAGCTATCTAATTAGTCAAATGTAGAAACTATACATTTGAATAGTTTCGCATCTATTTTATAAAACTATATACAAATAAGCATGATTTTACTGTGTGTAAATTATAGTTTAATTTCTAAATGGAGGGAGAGAACCATCCAACAGATAGAAGTGAAATAAATATTACTAAATCCTGCGACAGGTTATTTTACTAGAGAATGACTAATAGGGTCATTAAAAGATTTTTTTTAGTTTCAATCTAATAAAATAAAAATTTACTGGCTACTATAGGATGGAATTTATACTGTCATTTTTCATCATCCTGTTAGTCACTGTTTAAAAATTTGGTGTGTATCAATGTGTTAGAGAACTTAACTAAGATTTTTAAAGATAACTATGTAAATATATCAATACTAACTCTCTAAATAAAGGAAACTGTACACTTAAAAGCAATCATTGAGGCATGAGGTCAAGTAGGTTATTTGTGAAATAATGTAGCGCAGAACTCCAAAGTCAATCATAGCAAGACAATTTAAACTATCCTGACCTAATAATTTCAAACATATTTTATTCATTTCAAAGGTGTTCTGGCTATCCATTGCTGCTTAACCAGTCCAAAACTTATTGGCTTAAAACAATTTTAGTATTATCTCCCACAATTCTGAAGGTTGAATGGGCTCAGCTGGACAGTTCTCATCCAGGGACGTCATGTTGCAGTCAAATGGAGGAGTGAGTTTCAATCTGTAAGCTCAGTGGGCCTGACGTTCACTGTGCCTCACTCCTGTGATGGCAGTTGAAGCTAGTTGTTGGCCAAGAGCCCAGCAGTGGTCTGGGAAAGCACATCACATAGCCTATATGTGGCCTCTTCATGTAACCTGAGCTCCACCCAGCACAGTAGCTGGGATCCCGGAGGAAGTATCCCAAGAGCAAGCATTCCAAGAGGCTTGGATAGAGGCTGTAAGACCTGACCCAGCCTTGGAAGTCACACAGTATCATTTCCACCTCACTTTATTGGTCAAAAAGCAAGTCACAGGGCCAGCCCAGACTCAAGGGTAGGGAACTACACAAGAGTACTAGGAGGCATGTTTCACTGGGGACCATCACTGGAAACTAGCTTCCAAAAGAACCATCAATATTTATGAGGATCTTGGAATGATATTAAGTTTTCAGCTGTATCATTTTGGCAATTTTTTAATAAAAATTAGTCCCAATTTTAGAAAGCATACATCTTGGCAACTAACTACTGTCTAGTTTATTCATTCAACAAAAATTTACTGAGTGCCTACTATGTGCCAATCACTGTGCTAGGTCTGGAGGATAAGTGGATAATTAAGACGTGAAATCTGTCTTCTTGGAGCTTAGAGTCTTAGAGTGTGCATCATGGAAAGAAAAATTCCACAGACTCTGTTGGAGTGCAAAGGAAAGAGTTGGTTCTCCCTAAAGTGGAGTAAAGGAATGTTAGGAAATGCTTTAGAGAGAAGGGATTCATGGGGGAAAGTTTTTAAAAAAAAAATTTTAAGTTGACAGGTAAAATTATTTGTATTTACCATGTAAAACACATTGTTTTGAGGTATATGTACATTGTAGAATGCTACCTTTAGTTAAGTAACATGCATTATCTCACATAGGTATAAGTTTTGTGGTGAAAACACTTTAAATCCACTCTCTTAGCATTATTCAAGAATATATTAACTATAGACACCACGTCATACAATGGATATCTTAAACTTATTCATCCTTTCTAACTGAAATTTTGTATCCCCTGCTCCTCCAACCAGCTCAGATCCTGGTAACCACCATTATATTCTCTACCTCTACGAGACCACCTTTCTCACATTTCACATATGAATGAGATCATGTAGTATTTGTATTTCTGTGCCTGGCTTATTTAACATAATGTTCTCCAGATTCATCCATGTTGTTGCAAATGACAGGGTTTCTTCTATGATGAATAGATTTCCATTGTGTATATATACCATATTTTTAAATCCTTCATTCATTGACAGATACTTAGGTTGATTCCGTATCTTGGCTACTGTGAATAATGCTGCAATAAACATGGGAGTGCAGATGTCTGTTCGACAAGTTGATTTGATTTTCTTTAAATATATATCCAGTAGTGGGATTGTTGGATCACATGATGGTTCTGTTTTTAATTTTTTGAGGAACCTCTATCCTGTTTTCCATAATGGCTATACTAATTTAAGATTTCCACCAATAGGGCATGAGGGTTCTCTTTTATCCACATTCTCACCAACACTTGTTACCTTTTGTCTCTTTGATAATAGCCATTCTAACAGGGTAAGGTAGTATCTCATTGTGGTTTTAATTTGCATTTCCCTGATAATTAGTGATATTGAGCATTTTTTTCACATACCTGTTGGTTATTTGTATATCTTCTTTTGAGAAATGTCTGTCCAGGTCCTTTGTCCATTTTTAAATAGGTTATTTCTTTTCTTGCTATTGAGTTGAGTTTCTATATATTTTGGATATTAACCCTTTATGAGATGTATATGCAAATTTTTCTCCCATTCTGTAGGTTGTCTCTTCACTGTTTCCTTTGTTGTGCAGAAGCTTTTTAATATAATGTAATTTGTCTATTTTTCCTTTGTCACCTGTGCTTTTGGGGGTCATATTTTAAAAATCATTGCCTAGACCAATGTCATGGAGATTTTCCCGTTTTCTTTTAGTAGTTTCATAGTTTCAGGTCTTACATTGAAGTCTTTAAACCATTTTGAGATTATTTTTGTCTGTGGTATTAAATAAAGGTCTAATGTCATTCTTCTGCATGTGGATATCCAGTTTTCCCAACACCCTTTATTGAAGAGACTGCCCTTTCCCCATTGTGTGTTCTTGGTGCATTTGTTAAAAATCAGTTGGCTGTAAAAGCATGTATTTCTTTCTGAACTTTCCACTCTATTCCATTTGTCTACATGTCTGTTTTTGTGCCAGAACTATGTTGTTTCGGTTTGTAGTATATTTTGAAGCCAGGTAGTGCAATGCCTTCAGCTTTGTTCTTTTTGCTCAAAATTGTTTTGGCTATTCAGGGTCTTTTGCGATTCTGTACAAATTTTAGGATTGTTTTTTCAATTTCTGTGAAAAATGTTATTTTGATAGAGATTATGCTGAATCTGTAGGTGATTTTGGGTAGTATGGACATTTTATCAACATTAATTTATTCAGTCCATGAACACAGATATCTTTCCATTTATTTGTGTCCTCTTGAATTTCTTTGAGTGATGTTTTATAGTTTTCAGAACTTTTACCTCCTTGGTTAAATTTACTCCTATGTATTTTTTTAGACAAATGGAATTACATAACATTAAAAAGCTTCTTCACAACGAAGGAAACAATAAACAGAGTGAAGAGACAACCTACAGAATGGGAGAAAAAATTGCAAACTATACATCTAATAAGGGGTTAATATCCAAAATATATAGAAACTCAAACAACTCAATAGCAAGAAAACAAATAACCCACTTAAAAATGGGCAAAGGACCTAAACAGACATTTCTCAAAAGATATACAAATAACAGATATATGAAAAAATGCTCAACATCTTATATACTGGGTTATTTTAAGCTGATAACAACTTTGATTCCACTTCAAAAAACTTTGCCCTTTTACTCAAGCTCCCCACTCCCACATTTTGAATTTTTGATGTCACAATTTGTATCATTTTAAATTGCATATTCCTTAACGAATTATTGTAGCTGTTATTTTTAATAGTTTTGTCTTTTAACCTTCATAATAATTTGTATACCACAATTATTCTAAATTTAGTACTTTTACCAGTCAGTTTTATACTTTCAGATGTTTTTGTGTTACTCATTAGCATCATTTTCCTTTAGCTTGAGGAACTCCTCTTTAGCATTTCTTGTAAGACAGGTCTGGTGATGATGAACTCCCTCAGCTCTTATTTGTCTGGAAGTCTTTATTTCTGCTTCATTTCTGAAGAACATATTTGCTGGGTATATTATTTTGGTTGACAATACTTTTCCTTCAGTACTTTGAATATATCATCCCGCTCTCTCCTGCCCTTTAAGGTTTCTGCTGAGAAGTCTGCTGCAAGTCATATTGCAACTCCCTTATATGTTATTTACTTATCTCTTGCTGCTTTCAGGATTCTCTTTGTCTTTGGTTTTTTTACAGTTTTAGTATAATGTCTTGGGGTAGTCTAATTTGGATTGAATCTGATTGGAGACCATCGACCTTCTTGTACCTGAATATTTGCACCTTTCTTTATTATGTATATATACCACATTTTGGTTTGGAAAATTTTCTGCTACCATCTCTTTAAACAGGCTTTCCACTCCCTTATTTTTCTCTTCTTCTTAAACTATTACTTGAGTATTTGCTCTTTTGATGCTGTTCCATAAATCCCATAAGCTTGCCGGAGGCGGTGGCTCATGCCTGTAATCCCGACACTTTGGAAGGCCAAGGCGGGTGGATTACCTGAGGTCGAGAGTTCAAGACTAGCCTGACCAACATGGAGAAACCCTGTCTCTACTAAAAATACAAAATTAGCCAGGGTGGTGCGCATGCCTGTAATCCCAGCTACTCAGGAGGCTGAGGCAGGAGAATCGCTTGAACCTGGGAGGCAGAGGTTGCAGTGAGCCAAGATCACGCCATTGCACTCTAGCCTGGGCAACAAGAGCAAAACTCCATCTCAAAAACAAAAAACAAAACAAACAAAAAAAAACAAAAACCAACCGTAAGCTTTCTTCATTCTTTTTTATTCTGTTTTCTCCTCTGATTGTATATTTTCAAATAACCTGTCTTTGAGTTCATAGATTCTTTCTTCTGCTTAATCAGTTCTGCTATTGATGCTCTCTATTGCATTTCTCATTCTGGTCACTTATTTTCTTCATTTCATTGAAATGTTTCTCTGTATTGTTTTGAAGTCAAAGAGTTTCATTAAGAGTTATTTTAAATTCTTTGTCAGGTTGTTCATACATCTTCATTTCTTTAACACCAGTCACTGGCATCTCATTTTGTCCATTTGGGATCTCACGTTTGCCTAATTGTTCTTGAGCCTTGTGGCTGTGCACCAATGTCAGCATATTTGAAGAAATAGGTACTTATTCTAGCTTTCAGAGACTGGCTTTGTTCGGAAAAGCCCTGCAGCAGGGACAGCACCAGGGTGCATCAGAATTCTAGTGCCTGCTATGGCCAGTGTGGCACAGCCAGAAGCCCAGGACCTGCTGTGACAAGCATTGCACTGCTATACACCAGACACCCAGGGACACTGAGGGCTGCCAGACATGATCAAAGCATGGAGCCACTGATGTTTGCTCAGCAGTGGTGTGGGCCAAAGATCAAGTCCACTACACAAGCCTGAAGCCTTGGGCTCTGTGGTCCTGCTTGGGACTGGGGTGGATCTCAAGGCTTCATTCTTGGGTACCAGCCTGGAGTCTGGAGCCATGAGGGGCCTTCTCAGTGCTGAGTTTTATTGTTATGGGCCTGGTGTTGGAGTCCAGCCAAAGTCCTGTGCTCAATTCCCTCTCTTTCTCCCAAGCGAATTATATCTGTCTCTGCACTATGCTGCCTGGGCTTGGAGAAAGAATAACACATGTAAAACTGTTCTTCCTGCCCACTTCAATGCATCTTTTCTTGTTATTGTGCTACAACAAGGTACTATAATCTCTCAACTGGTTTCCTTACTCTTGTGAAGGTATTTTCATGTGTAGGTGGTTGTTCAAATTGATGTTTCTCTGGGGTGAAAATCACTGAACAGTTCTCCACCATCTTGCTGCAACCTCCCTCCCATGAGAGGAGTCTTGACAAATAAGGATATATTTCAAAATCCTTACCATATGTTTGGGATAAGAGTTAGAGTGGGATGGAAGGAGTGTGAGGAAGAGAGAGGGCATTCCAAACAGAGAAAGCCAGCAAAAACAAAGGTGAGGAGGCACAGTACATATTTAGGGTACCAGAAGCAATTCCACATGATTAAGAATCAGAATTCAGGAAGAACTTATAGACATGGGCATCAATCTTGCAGTCTTACACAGATGTGTTTAATTTGGTACAAAGGTTATATTTTTTTTTTTCACTTTAATAATGAACATTTAAAAACGCAATGATTGGCTGGGCACGGTGGCTCACACCTGTAATCCCAGCACTTTGGGAGGCCAAGACAGGTGCGTCACAAAGTCAGGAGTTTGAGACCAGCCTGGTCAACACGGTGAAACCCCGTTACTACTAAAAATACAAAAATTAGCCAGGCGTGGCGGCAGGCACCTGTAATCCCAGCTATGTGGGAGGCTGAGGCAGGAGAATCACTTGAACCCAGGAGGCAGAGGTTGCAGTGAGCCGAGATTGCACCACTGCACTCCAGCCTGGGTGACACAGTGAGACTCAAAATAAAAAATGAGTTTTAATGTTTTAAAATTAGTTTCTAACACTTAGTAAACTTAGTAAACTTAGTTTGATGTAAAAATCCAGCTTCTCATGAAAAAAGAAGTTGTTACTTTGGCCACGCTAAGCCCAAATTCCCACTCACCAGTAATTGGCTGGAGCCAAAGAGTGGCTGTCTTGGTTCATTCAGGCTGCTGTAACAAAACACTGTAGACTGTAGCTTAAACAACAGACATTTATTTCTCACAGTTCTGGAGGATGAGAAGTCCGAGATCAAGGCACTCCGATTCAGTGTCTGGTGGGGGCTCATTTCCTTATTCATAGAGGGCCGTGTTCTTGCTGTGCCTCACATGGTGGAAGGGACAAAGGGACTCTAGGGTCTCTTTTGTAATGGTAAAAACCCCATTTGTAAGAGCGCCATCCTTATGACTTAATCACCTGCCAAAAGCCCTACTTCCTAATGCCATCAAATCAAGGATTGGGATTTCAACATGTGAATGTTGAAGAGAAAATCTGGTCTGTAGCAACCGTTCACCCTTTTCAATGGGATTATGAATCCTCTAGTTCACAGTAGCCCTACCTAGTCACCACTATACCCTCCACTGTAGACCTTTGAGTCTGAGACCCCTGAGAAAGCTAAGATGTATAGTTGAGGAAGGGAGAACAAGTAACAAACTTTAATCTTTTATGCTATGCTAAAGATTTTAGCTTTATCCTCTGGGCATTGGGGAGCTAGTAAGGAGTATTCAACAGGGAAGTGAGATGATCAGATATGCATTTTAAAGTGATTCCTTCAACATCATCAAAATATTCACATGGAGAAGGCATTGGAGAAGTGTATGACCAGGAGGAAGCAGGCAGGTGGAAAACTCAAAGGATGAAAAATAATAAGGTCTGAACTGGAGCCGTCAGCATGGGAATGGACAGAAGGAGGCCAAAACAGGAAGTATTAAAAAGCTGAAAAGGCAATACTAAATCACCAGTTAAATACACAGTGACAGGGAAGGAAGAGCTACGATGACTCTCAGGTGTGAGGTTACAGAGATATGGAGGAGAGGCAAATTTAAGAAAGAGACACTAAGTTCAGTCTTGTACATGTTGATTTTTACCGCTCAGGGACCATCAGGATGGAGGTGTTTGTATACATGAATCTGAAACTCAGAAGACAGAGAACGGCCAGAGGTGGTGATTAGGAATTCACTGGATGGCTGGCAGCTGAAACCACAGGAGCAATAAGACAGCTAAAGACAAGCATGTGGAGTTAGGAGACAGCCCAGCAAAGGATCTGCAGGACAGTCAGAGGACCGTCTGAGGAAAGGAGCTAGGACAGGAAATCACATGGAATTGCATCCAGTGCTTCTTAGATTATAAACAAGTCTTATAATGATAAGATTGTTCTTGTGCTTTTCTCCTTTGTTGTCAAAACAAAATGCAATCTGATTTGGGATTTATATTCTTACCCTAAGAAATCTAGCTAGCAAGGGAAAAAAATTGTTTCTATTCTTAAAGGAGAAACATAGTTCTGATTTTCTAATTTTATATTTACCTTCTGGAAAAAAAAAACCTTTTTCTTATTTAATTTTACAGAGGATAAAAAAGAAGTAAGAAAATAGAGTCTCTGAATATAGATCTTTCAACTGAAAAACTGGGCTGTGAAGGTAAAAGTGATATGGGACTAGGTGGATTTTTTTTGGTTTGGGGGTGTGGCAGTTGTTTTGTTTTGTTTTTGTGCTTTTGTGTTTGTTTTTGTTTTAATATTGGAGAGACTTGAGCTCTTCTATGGACTCTGAAAAGCCAATACTGAAGAAAAGGCAGAGGAGAGAGGAGTAACCAATGCTGCAAGGTTCCACAGAAGAGAAGGGGTTTTCATTATAGAAGAGATGCCTCATTTGGACTAGAGGAAAAAACACATGAGTGTTGTTAGGGGCAGATAGAAGGCCAGATCACCAGCTGAGAAAGCAGGGGAGTGGGGCTACTTCTTGAAGACAATGGCAAAGCTCATGGGAGGAAGTGGGGGATAAGCAAAAAGACAAGTGGGCACAGGACTCTAGTCAAGGCGTTTTCACTTTCCATTTGCCTATTTCATAGAGAAAGGCTTTTAACTGCCTTCTATCTAAATTGAATAAAAAGAAAGTGACAAACTTAAAAGGAAATAAGAAATGGACAAGATGATATATACTATGTAATTAAGAAGAGGGTAAGTTTATAATTATCCATTTGCTTATTTATTTTTCATCACTATTTTTTAAGACAGGGGTCTTGCTGTGTTGCCTGGGCTGGTCTTGAACTCCTGTGCTCAAGCCATCCTTCTGCCTCAGCCTCACAAGCTCGTTCACTTATTCATTCAACAGATGGTAAACAGACCAAATTCCCACCTCATTGAGCATACATTTTAGTCCTCTCCATATACAGTCATCCCTTGGTATCTCAAAGGGATTGGTTCCAAGATACCCTATCCCCACCTCTGCCACCCTCACCCCCCAGCAGATACTAAAGTGCTCAAGTCCCATAGCCGGCCCTGTAGAACCCAATGATAGGAAAAGTTGGCCCCCCATATATGTGGGTTCTGTATCCCGTGAATACTATATTTTCAATCCATGGCTGGTTGACTCTGTGGATGCAAAACCAGTGGAGACAGAGAGCCAATTGTATACCAAGACAGTCCTTGCTAAATTTCATTAAAACTGTTTGGTTTTACCAGGACCCACTGCTGTACAGGGCATGCCAAGAGATAGACTCTCTTTCTAATCCAGGGCTGTTTTCTGAAGCGCAAACAAGTGTGAATCAGCTACAGTTTGGACAGGTTGGCTAATACTCATGCAAATAAAGCTGGAAGGGCATTTCAGAAAAACAATGCCATCACTCAGTTGGAATTTCACCAGGCTTCCAGACTTAGTCTCTGAAAGAATTAGTGTTTTCTAATAATCCACCTGACAGATTATGTTCAGAATGTGATTTTCTGATTAAGGCACTAAGCACAAAACTACTTCTGGACTAAGCAGCCGCCAGACACTGCAAAATCAATGCAAGTTCCCCCAGGTGTTTGCTGCGGAAGCTGAAAGGGGCAAAGGGATGTGGCCATATCCTTTCTGGCCAAGTTTCAGGATACATAGATTTAAAGGACAGAACTGTAACCAGGATTTGGCCACCTCGGGAAGGAACGTGATGTTTGGACAACATCCTTCCCAGACTGAAAGCTGCTCAGACATGGATCGTCATTCCAGGCATTTGGCATGCTGGTTTGCACTAGCAGCCAAGTGCATAATTGCCAGGAAGTGGCCAAATCCACAGAGACACCACTCACTCCTGAATGCTGAAAAATGTTTGTAATATACGGTAATAAATGCAAGCCTGACTCACTTAATCAGATTTGAATCCCGGACTGGGGATTTCTGCACAAGAGGGAGATGTTTACTGAAATCCTGCTTTTCTCGGCTGCCATCTCCCATTCCAGGAAGAACAGAACTACTGGATGGCCTTGCCATTTCTGTTTTATATTTTTGGTCATTAATATGGATTCTTATAAGACATGGGTTCTCAACTCATTCTGAATGTACTTCAGTATGAAGTGATTAAAATAAGGCTCTTTCTCCTTATTTTAGATTATATTTAAGCAGAACTAAGTGCTGGGCACAGTGGCTCACGCCTGTAAATGCAGGCCTTTAGGAGGCCAAAGCGGGCAGATTGCCTGAGCCCAGAAGTTCAAGACCAGCCTGGGCAACATGGTGAAACCTTGTCTCTACAAAAAACACCAAAAAAAAGAAATTAGCTGTGCGTAGTGGCACGTGCCTGTGTCCCACCTACTCGGAAGACTGAGGTGGGAGGATCGCTTGAGATTGGGAGGTTGAAGCTGCAGTCAGTCATGATTGTGCCACTGCACTCCAGCCTGGATGACAGAGCAAGACCCTGTCTCAAAAAATAAATAATAAAATAAGATAAAATGAACTAAGTATTCCTGAAAGATAGAGATTTAAGAGTATCACGCCATTCTCCATTCCTGGCAAATTTAACTACCCAATCTCATCTCATTACCAAAACCAACAAGATGAGATGGGGAAAAGATGCCAGTTACACTCTCCTGTGAGAGTTGTCTGATTCAAGACCTGTCTGGGCTTGGAGCAGTTGGGTAGGTGAATAGCCCAGCTTCCGAAGCTGGCTGAACTTTCCCCTAAAATTAAGTTGGGAATCATGTTGGTTCCAAGCTGATTATCCCAGCATCCTTGACATACAGCCTTAGTTCCTCAAGTTCAGAAATCTGACTTCCCCAAAGATTAACCCAGCCCCAGTCAACTGATTGATACCAAACTCAGCAGGAAATCCTCTGAGTTCAGAAGTCAGTTCATCCATTTTCAAGTGGCAATTTCATTCTACCTGCCACAGATGAGGGAATTATCATTCAGGTTAAGTATCTCGGTGATTTATCCAAGGACACGTGGCTAATTGCTGAAATAGGACTTGAATCCGGTCTTTTGAGTTCAGAGCCCTTTTCCTTTCTGCTAGAGCACCTTGCCTTCCTGGTGGAAACCCCACATGCAAGTACGAGAGATTACAGCGTGGCTTCCAAGAAGAGCAAACTGCACTTTGGGGAAGGGGGAGAGACAACAGGGTAAGGCAGGCCATGTGAAGAGAGACGCAGTGGATGGCAGATCCTGTGTCACTGAGGTCAGGAGCCAGAGTCCAGGTCCAAGGCAGGCCAAGGATTGGAGGAAATAGCAAGAGACTGTTAGGGCCCATTAGGAACTAGGAAACAAATGAAATAGAAACTGTCTCAGGAATACAGCCAAAGCCAGGTTAGGAAAACTGGGCACGAGGGTATGGGGAGGACCCACCACCACAATGATTAACCTCTGGCTGGGTTTCAGAGCATCCTACCCCAGCTCCTTCAATCCCCCCTTGTGATATCTTGTGATCTCTTTCAACCACAGGAGAAAGGAAGAAATAGTCTTCAGCCAGAGCAGAGCAGAGCCTGTAGATGGAGCCAAGTAGCTGCCAGCTAGGGGCTGAGAGGCAAGGCAAGACCCACAGGCTAGGAGATTACTGCAATGCTCACTCCAGCCATCGGAGGTCAAAATTCTTCTCTACATAGTGTATTTCTTGACTATTTTAAAACGTGTTGTTGATTGTTTTACTTCTGTAACATTTTCCTAAAGATGGCTTGAGAGAGGGTGACCCTGTATAATTAACCATTCAAAGCAGGAGGCTTGCAAGAGTGAAAGGGAGAGCTGTTAATAATTATGCCAGTACGACAGTCACAAACCAGGACTAACCTATGCCGATGAGGACACACGGTCAGCCTCAGCTTGAGACCAAGCTCTCAGGACTCACCCAGGCCTGAGCACAGCTAGCAGAGGGTGAGGTAATCTTGCTAGGATTGTTTACAGGAGAGGCCAGAGGACTCCTGGGAAGTAACTCACCCTAAGGGAAGAGAAAGTCAAAGCACACAAATTGAGTTCAGTGACATCAAGACAGGGCCAGAGGGGAGGGACGAGTCTTGGTGCCTCCCAGTGGTGGTCAGCCCCAGCGCCCTCTGATCCAGGTGCCATGGATCTTAAAAGCAGATGAAACTAAAAAGAGCTGTTTTGTTAAAATTTCCGCAGGACCTTGAAGTTGCAAGGATTAGCAAAATCCTGTGCCAGCAATATCAGCAGCAACAGAGAAGGTGCAGCTGGCATTGCAGTAAAGTGGGACATTGGTGGGCTTGGGCAGTGATCTGAGACTTTACCCCAGCAAAGGAGAGCCAGAAGATGGTGGGTGCCTTGCTCTTATATCTTAGAGGATACAGAGGCCATCCTGGAGGACTCACTGAACTATTATGAGGAGTAGAGAGACTGCAGTTTCACACAGTGAAGAGAGGAAGAACCAGAGAAATAATATTTTGTAAAGGATAATAACTGTGACTTTAATTTCATTCCCAATCTGTGATGTTTGGAAAACTCAGGTAATATTTCTTTCATCAGAGTGTGAGGTACTCACATCAGAGTGTGAGGTACTCACTGATGTTATGTCTAAATTAGAGAACCTTCTTAATTTGGAGCCACTCAGTTTATATTAGTATGGTCTAGAGTAGGCACATACTCCCAAAATATATACATTGCAATTATATGTGCATTTATAAAATAATGCAGCAAAATATTTACACATGGTTAATTAACATGTAATATAGAAACATTTTCTAAAAGGTCCTAAAAATTATGGGCTTTTGCTATCTCTTAAAGAATGTCATCTACTGATTCTAATATTCAACTGGTTAGTCTTTCAACCATTTGAAATTAAATGCTGCTTTGAAATAGCTCACTCACTAAATAGCTAAAGTGATAACACAGACACTACACAGGCAAAGATGTTGAGCTAGAATTATAACACAGTGCTAGTGGGAATGTGAATTCATATAAGCTCTTTGGAAAACTGTTTGGCAGTATCGACTAAAAGATGAACATACGCACTTCCACTCCTGTTATATACCCAACAGCAATGTATACAACATGTTTACCAAAAGACATAGAAAAGAATGTTTATAGCAGCACTTCATAATAGCCCCAAACTGGAAATGACCCAACAGTAGATTGGATGAATAACTTATGATATATTCATACAATGGAATACTGCCATGAGAACAAACAAGTACAACCACACACAATAACATGAATGAATCTCACAAACAAAGTCAAGCAAAAGAAGCCAGACACAAAAGATTCCATTTAGATAGAATTCGCAAACAAGCGAAATTAAGCCATGGCATCAGGAGAGAAAAGAGATGTTACCCTGGGAAGGGGCTAGTGGATGGGGACACAAAGGAGGCTCTGGGTGCTGGGAATGTTCCATTTCTTGATCTGGGTGCTGGTTACGCGGGTATGAAAATTTATCGATCCTATTATTAATTGTCCTTTGTGCTGCATTCTACTAGGTGAACTAGTCACTAGGGCCAGCCCATGTTTAGGAAGAGAGTATTGGACTCCACCTCTTTATGGGGAGTGGCAAGCTACATCACAGCAGAGTAAGTGGGATGAATGATACTGTTATGAAAACACAATTTATTCCTATTATAAAATACAATAGAATTTTTCAAATTTAATGAATATTTTAAATAAATTTTACAATCTACGCCAATTATCCAGTGCAAATTAGAACTCAGCATCATCTTGGGGTAAAGCAGAAAGCTTGGGAAGGTAAAGAAGAAAGTGAGAGCACCAGCCACTAAAGCACATGCTGCAGCTTGGGTCATATGCCTTCCCTGGACCCACAACTATGACCAGACAAATAGGGTAGAAATAGGGTACATTTACGAGTGAGTCCTAACCATGTGCCCAACAAGACCACATGAAATAAGAGAGGGGCAATTCTCCAAAGGGAGAAGCAATGGGGATACCAGATGTCTACTGCAGACCTCATGTACTGCATCTGATGGTCATACAAGAGAAATTCTTGTATTTTTTTAGAGATGGTCTTACTCTGTTCACCCAGGCTGGAGGGCCCTGGTGCCATCATAGCTCACTGTCACTTCAAACTCCTGGATTCTAGCAATCCTCCTGGCTCTGCCTCCCAAGTAGCTGGGGCTATGGAGCGCACCACCATGCCCAGCATCATGTGAGAAATCTTAAACTTGGTATGTCAAGAATGAGGAAGTATGTTCCTTCCAAATTACATTCAACTCTGAAACTCCAGCCTTCTCTACCTAACACATGTCAAATCCATTCGCATTAATATTAAAATATTTTTAAAATATGGATCTAGTGGTAAAACACCCATCCAAGTGCAACTATGGATAGGAATGATGTTTAATTTCTCCTTGAGCACTTCTCAACAGACTCACTTGTCTATGAACATGTGTTAACACTTTCCTCTCTGGTAGTTTGAAAAATCTTCCACATTGTTTTGCACACATACATTTCTGTTAACAGCCATGAGTCAGTCATACACCAAAAATTTAACTGAAGACTACAGGTGTGGCAGGCTGAACTTAACCCTCCCCTCTTCCTCTCAGGAGAGAATCTTGGGGAGTAGAGGCAAACCAGGTGACTCTGATGCCATCCAATCAGATGGCTCAGCCAGAGGCCTTGTCTGTTTATGTGGGACCCTCCATGATGAAGGGACCAAGCCGAGCAGAAGAGAGCGCATTAGCATTATAAGGCCAGAATCATTGCTTTGCAAGTAGACTTAAAAAATATATTAGAAGAAACACATACTTCTCTCAGAGACTAGCCCAGGGGTAGGCAAAATTTTTCTGTAAAGAGCCAGATAGTAAGTACTTCAGGCTTCCCAGCCATAAGGTCTCTGTTGCAACTACTCATCACTATTGTTGTAGTGCAAAAGCAGCCATAGATAATATCAGCAGAAAGGAGTGTGAAGCTTGACAAAACAGGCCTGTGGGTTTTGTCTCATCAGCCAACGTTTGCCAACCCCTGGACTACACGGGGGGAAGAAAAACACAGCTACAACACAGAGGTGAATTGTGTTTGTCACGGGCTAAAGAGAAAACCTGGGCAAACCCTGCCTGCAGAGAGAACAAATGGAAGCTGAAACACCCCTGATTTACCCTAGCCCCCCACCTCCTTCCTACTGTGGGACCAGAGCTGGTCCTCCCCTCTCTGCAGAGTCAGCAGGAGCTAGAACAGATTGGGGCTCTGCTCACATCCTGCTGACGCCAGAGGTGGCAGAATTTGCACGACACTCTAAGGGACTGGGATTTCCTTCATCACCGGGAGTGGGGTAGGGGAGACAATAGATTCTGAGGAAATGAGCAGACACCTAATGCTCAAGAATGAAAAGAAAATCTGGGGAGCTAACTCTGGGAGAATGGGGAGAAGGTGAGAGTTAGAGAGTGAGGGAGTACCCAACATCCTGAAGCCCACCCAGAAAGGACTTGTCCCCTGTGTCACACAGAGGTGTGAATTCGTTTACCTGGACCCTCTTCTTGGATCCTTCAACGTAGGAACTTCTTAAGCCCTCACAAGGTCCTGTTTCCCCTCCTCCCCCCCGTCCTCCTCCCCCAGTCAGCTCCTCCCACACTGGCCTCCTTGCTGTTCCTCAGACACACCCAGCCTTTGCATCTCCTTACTCTTGAAACTGAAAACTCTTCCCCTAAATATTCACATGGCTTACTCCCTCTCTTCATTCGGGTGCTTCTCAAATGACATCGCAGAGATGCCTTCTCTGACTTTTCTATCTAGAATAACATTCTCATGAGGCCCCACTCTTTTAATTTTTTCCCATAACATATATCACCACCTGACTATCACTCCCAAGAGCATGTGAACCCAAACGAAAGCAGCGATCTTGTCTATTTTATTCACTACAGTATTCCCAGCACCTTGAATAGTACCTGGGGTATAGATGGTGCTCATAAATATTTACTGAGTGAAGCCAGGCGTGGTGGCTCATGCCTGTAATCTCAGCACTTTGGGAGGCTGAGACAGGCAGATCACCTGAGGTCAGGAGTTTGAGACCAGCCTGGACAACATCATGAAATCCCATCTCTACTAAAAATAAAAAATTATCTGGGTATGGTGGCGGGCACCTGTAATCCCAGCTACTCGGGAGGCTGAGGCAGGAGAATCTCTTGTACCTGGGAAGCAACTGTTGCCATGAACCGAGGTTGCGCCACTGCACTCCAGCCTGGGGGACAAAGTGAGACTCTGTCTCAAAAAAAAAAAAAAAATTTCTGAGTGAATAGATGAAGTAAAATTTAACATGCCTGTGACGCTCAATTTTATGTGTGGTCTTGGCTGGGCCATGGGGCCCAGATATTTGGTCAAACATTATTCTAAATGTTTCTGTGAGACTGTTTTGTATGAGATTTACATGTAAATCAGTGGACTTTGATTAAAGACAATTGCTCTGCATATGTAGTTGGGCCTCATCCAATCAGTTGAAGGCCTGGATAGAACAAAAGACTGACCAGGCAAAAGGGAATTCTGCAGCAGACAGCCTTTGGACTTGAACTGCAGTGCCAGCTATTATGGGTCTCCAGCCTGCCAGCCCTGCAGAATGTGGACCTCCAAGCTTCCATAATTATATTAGCCAATTCCTTAATCTAAATATCTTGATCAATTGATAGATGATAGATAATGTGTATGTGTATGTGTGTGTATCTGCTACTGGTTCTGTTTCCTAGAGAACCCTAATACAATTTGTATCTGGCCTGAAGATGTATAAGAAGGTATTCAGAAAGTGGTGGGCCCTCTGCTCCATAATAATCCCATGGCCACCGGCCACCCACTGTGGAGAACTAACAGAACCAGCCCGTAGCCCATTAGACCAATCCCTGCCTCCTTTCCTATAACCCCAACTCACAAGAGTAACGAGATGTGACTATGCCACATAAAAAGAGGGCTTGCATGATTAACTATAGTGTTGCCTTCAGTTTTGGTTTTATTTTCTTCTATCAGTTGTTTTGTTGGAGGGTGGCTGTTTTTGCAGAGAAGGAATTCCCTTTGTTAATTTAAAAAGTGAAGATTATACAATTTTATTTCAAAAGCCTCAAACTTCAATGCCCATGGGACATTGAAGACAACAGAATTAAGCGAGATAAGGTTGTATATGGCAACAGGGAGTGATGAAGCTTATGGACAAATAATTTGGCCTAAAAGAGGTCTAATGGCCTTTCAAGGAATGGAAGAGAGAATTAAGGAAAGTAGTTCTGGCTTATTGTTTCCATGTGGGAAAACAGACCCTTTGCTGTGACATCAGATTTTTTTAGAGAAATCTACCCCACCCCACCCGCATGTTCCCTGCTTTTTTTTTTTTTTTTTTTTTTTTTTTTTTTTTTTTTTGTTAAGAGAGACAGGGTATGACTCTGTCGCCCAGGCTGGAGTGTTATGACTATAGCTCATGGCAGCATCAAACTCCTGGGCTCAAGTGATCCTCCCACATTGACCTCCTGAGTAAGCTGGGACTGCAGGTGCATGCCACCATGTCTGGCTAATATATATATATATATATATATATATATTTTTTTTTTTTTTTAGGGTAGAGATAGGATCTTGCTTTGTTCAGGCTGGTCTTGAACTCCTGGCTTCAAGCAATCCTCCTCCCTCGGCCTCCCAAAGTTCTGGGACTACAGGCATAATCCAACAAACCCAGCCATCTCCCCCTTTTTAATGTAGACTTTTCCAATGATTAGAACACTGTACAAGCTCCCAAGATGTCCTGACCAGATTCAGCCTGTTGGCCATCAATTTACCACCCATGCTTTGGTCTTTATTTCAATCCCATATTTGAAGCAATTAAGCAGAGAAAGGAAAGGTGAAAAGGGAGGGAGACAGAAAGAGAATGAGGAAAAGGACAAAAAATTCGAAAAAAAGGAGGAAAATAGAACAAGATTGATGAAAAAGGAATGAATAAATGATTACGTTTTTCTTAACTGCTAAGTTTTCAGGTAACTTGTTACACAGTAATAAATAACTAATACAGCATCTGTCTCAAGAAATTAAAGAATAAAAAATTAAAACCATCTGGGTATGGTGGCTGACGCCTATAATCCCGCACTTTGGGAGGCCAAGGCAGGCAGATTGCTTGAGCTCAAGTGTTCAAAGACCAGCCTGGGCAACATGGCGAGACCCCATCTCTACTAAAAATACAGAAAAATAGCTAGGTGTGGTGGTGCACACCTGTGGTCCCAGCTACTTAGGAGGCTGAGGTGGGAGGATCATTTGAGCCCAGGTCAAGGCTGCTTGCAGTGAACCAAGATCGTGCCACTGCACTCCAGCCTGGGTGATAGAACAAGTCTCTGTCTTAAAAAAAAAAAAATTAAAACAAAGCAAAAAGAAATGAAATAATAAACAGAAATTCACCTGAGATCAGAAGTTCAAGACCAGCCTGACCAACATGGTGAAACCCCGTCTCTACTAAAAATACAAAAAATTAGCTGGGCGTGGTGGCAAGCGCCTGTAATCCCAGCAACTTCGGAGGCTGAGGCAGGAGAATCACTTGAACCCGGGAGGCGGAGGTTGCAGTGAGCCGAGATCATGCCATTGCGCTCCAGCCTGGCAACAAGAGCGAAATTCTGTCTCAAAAAAAAAAAAAAAAAAAAAAAAATTAATAAAATAGCAGCAAACCACCACAAAACAGAGAGGGTCAACAATCCAAAAGTTCTTTGAAATGAATAATTTACAGGTAATAATAAAAGGTACAAATACTCCTCACTGTAAATTTCATATAGCCAATTGATTCTCATAAAATGTTTTTGTTGATTTTTGCCAACTTTTGTATGCTTTTAAGTGACGGACGGGTGTAGTTGTAGCATGAATGTTGATTGGCACATTCATTTACATTAATGAGCAAGACAAAAGTGAAACAACAAAGAATTGCATTCATTCATCAATGACATGAGCAAAGTCCACTGAATAGGATAACACTTGTCAAATACTAACAGAACATTTCCTCAACATTTTGGTGCTACTCACAACGTAACAGCTAGAGGTATAGCACACTATAAACTGAATCTGCCGTTTGCCCTCCTGGGGACTTTTGGCAATGGCCATTTTTATTGTTATGACTGAGAAGGTTCTACTGGAATCTGGTGGGTAAAGGCCAGGGATGCTAATAAGCCTCCTACAATACACAGGTCAGCCCCTCACAGCAAATAATTACCTGGTCCAGAATGTCAATACTGCTGAGATTCAGAAATCCAGATCTAGACTACCAACAAAATAATAAATCAAGGCTGATTTGTGGTGTTTTAGCCGTTTCAGATTATCTTAAGGCAAACAGGGACTGAGATGATTCACAGCTGGCTTCAGATCATCTGGAAACTGGCCTATTTTCATTCACTCTTACTCCTAGGGTATGGCCCTTTAGAGTCCCAGTTGAAAGCCTTGGGTTCTTATCAAGACCCTCCTTTTCGACAAGCCCTGAACCCGATTTTTTATCTACTGGCTCTTTGAGTCCATAGACAGCTCCACTTTCAGAATTAAAAGCAGCCATTAGGGGCAAATAGCCCCAAATGCCAGACCCACATCTCTGCATTCCTCTCC
Organism: Homo sapiens; assembly: GCF_000001405.40. Classification (NCBI taxonomy): domain Eukaryota; kingdom Metazoa; phylum Chordata; class Mammalia; order Primates; family Hominidae; genus Homo; species Homo sapiens. The sequence goes on from NC_000014.9 coordinate 54,374,923, forward strand.
CCTCCCAGATCTTTGCCCTATAATTTCTCACCTCCTTAGTAGCTCTCTGATGCCTTGAAACATTTTTTAAAATATTTTTATCCAGCTTCCCTAGTTGTATTAAATGGGAAGACCTGTCTAAACTATGTAGCCAATCATTGCCAGAAATGAGATCCTGCAATCATCTATTATAACTCTTAAAAGATGTCTCTGACTAATGAGAACAGTCTATAAGAGGCAGGAATGTCATCAGAAAGGCCATCAGGAGACCAGGCGCAGTGGCTCACGCCTGTAATCCCAGCACTTTGGGAGGCTGAGGCTCAGGAGTTCCAGACCAGCCTGACCAACATGGTGAAACCCCATCTCTACTAAAAATACAAAAATTAGCCAGGCATGGTGGTACATGCCTGTAATCCCAACTACTTAGGAGGCTGAGCCAGGAGACTCACTTGAACCTGGGCAGCAGAGGTTGCGGTGAGCTGAGATTCAAGCCACTGCATTCCAGCCCGGGCAACAGAGCAAAACTCCTCCTCAAAAAAAAAAAAAAAAAAAAAAAGAAAGGCTATCAGGAGCTGTGACAGTAGTCTAAGAGAGATATGATGATGATATGGAGTATGGTGGTGTTCATGTGTTTTAAATTATCTGATTCAGGATACATTTCAAAAGGAGGGTATAATATCTTATAGGGCAATTGTGTGGATTAAATGTCTGTAAAGTGCTATGTCAGTCAGGATAGTCTAGGTATGCCTCAGTAATAAAAAGAAAAGTCTCAGTGATTTAAAATTCCAATAATGTTATGCCGTTATCATACTGCATGTCCACAGCAGGTCAGGTAAAGGCTCCACCTACACTATCCTCACTCCAGACTGAGATCCTCTCTCTGTAACTAGGACAGAAGAAAAGAGAAAGTAGAAAAATCATATGCTGGCCCTTAAAAGCTTCCACATGGATGTGACACGTGCCACCTCCATTATCAGTGTATTGACTAGAACACGGATTAACAAACTTTCTCTGTAAAGGGCCAGATAGTAAAAAGTTTCAGCTTTGTAACCACATGTGGTCTCTTTCACATACTTTATTTTTTTTTAATGCTATAAAAAAAGGTAGAAACCATTCTTAGCTTACAGGCTGAAGAATGTAGTTTGCTGACCCTAGAGTAAAGTTATCAGTTGGCCATCTCTACTTCCAGAAAGCAAGAAAGTGAAATTCTACTGTGGGCCCTGGAGAAAAAACTGAAGGTATTTTTGGACAGCACCAATGATTACTACAAGCGCTTAGCAGTATCCACCACTTAGCAGATGCCCAATCTCTATTAATCATCATCATCATCGAGGTTTTCTGAACATGATTCTGAGGTTTCTTTTCCATTTTTCCCCTGAGATCTCAAAACTTGCCTTCACAACATTACATTCAAAACAAAGGTAGGAGAGGAAGGTTCTAACATGATTCTTCATGATTCCCTAACACAATGATTTCCCTTCTCGCTTGCTGGCCTCCCAACTGCTTTCCTTACAAGATGTGCCTATTCTTACCTGAGGCTTTGCCCTTCTCCCAGTTCCAGCTGAAGCTCCAAGATGGCATCAAGCAATTGTTAGGCATGCAGGCTCTGGAGCCGAAATTCTGCCTTCAGATCCTGGCCCTTCCACTTATAAGTTGTGGGACTTTGGATAAACGGGACCTTAATTTCCCTCTTTGGTTTTCTGTTTCCTCATCTCTAAAATGAAGTTCATAATATTTACCTCGGCCACGCACCATGGCTCACGCCTGTAATCCCAGCACTTTGGGAGGCCAAGGCAGGCAGATCGCTTGAGCCCAGGAGTTCGAGACCAGCCTAGGCAACAATGGTGAAATCCCATCTCTGCAAGGAAAAAAATACAAAAATTAGCTGGGAGTGGTGGCACGTGCCTATAGGCCCAGCTACTCAGGAGAATAAGGCAGGAGAATCACTTGCACCCAGAAGGCAGAAGTTGCAGTGAGCTGAGATCATGCCACTGCACTCCAGCCTGGGTAACAGAGTAAGAACCCGTCTCCAAAATAATAATAATATTTACCTCATAGTGCTATTGGGAGTGTTAAATTAGTGTATCATTTAGCTACTGCCACAAACCACCCCAAAACACAGTGGCTTAAAACAATTATTCTCACAGATGTAAGGGTCAGCTAAGGATTGACTGAGGGTCAGCTTACCTAAGCTGGACTCAGCTGGACAGCTCTACCTGCCTCAGCTGAGCTCCTCACGTACAGAGAATGCCTAGGGTTATTGGTTGATTTTGACTGAGGTCTGCTGGAGACCCAGCTTTATTTCCTATATGTCATATATTCCTCCTCAGATAAGTGGTCTACATCAATCATGTTTTTCTCATCGTAACAGAAGAGGGAAACAAGGACAAGCTTGACTGGGCAAAAACTTTTTGAACTTTTTGCCACATCATGCTGTGCAGAAAAGAGCATAGCAAGCCTGATACTGCTGTCCTTAGAAAAACCTGCTTGCAAGATTGCCCTTGGCTAGTATCTGGAAACTTGAATTTGTGGAGAGAGAACACTATCTCTGATAAGAAAGCCTCACTGTACCTAAATATTTTGTGCAAACAATACTTTTATCCTGAAGATCTGCTTTCCTTCTGGGAGTCTGAAATTTTAGTACCTGCCAGGCAAAGGTGCCTGCATGATCAGCCCCCACTAGAAACCCTGGTCACCGAGTCTCTAATGAGTTTCCCTGACAGACAACGTTTTGAGATGGGAGAGTTCCCTGACCCCCCTTGCAGATGGCAACAGGGGTGTGGCTTGTCTGTTCGGTCACCACCGCTGCTCAAACCCCTGACAGGAGGGGGAGCACGCAGACGGACAGGTACAGGAGCCCAAGTGGGTGTGTGTTACGGTGCACTCTTTTAGCCTTGCTGTCCATGGATAGCTTAAGAGTTAATCAGCTCAGTAGACCCTCTGCCTTTTTGCAAGGGCAGAGGGCCAATGTGACAGCTTTCTATATCCTGAGATCTTGTCCAGCATCCTGGAAGAACTGGGTCACACACAGACTTGAAGGATGGTGAAAGCAGAGGTTTTATTGAGTGGTGGAGGTGGGCTCTCAGTGGGATGGATGGGGAGCTACAAGGGGGATGAAGTGGGAAGATGATCTTCCCCTGGAGTTTCGCCACCCGGTAGCCGATCTCCTCTCCCACCAACCCCAGTTGAACTCCTCTCGGCATTCAGATGCTCTTTCTTTTCTCTCTGCTGCACCATTCTGCCATCCTTCTGGCTCTCTGATCATCTCCTGGTCTCCTTCTGGAGCTGGGGATTTGGGGTTTATATGGGTACAGGATAGGGGGGCGTGGAGGGCCAAAAGGCAACTTTTGGGTGCAAAAACAGGAATGCCTGTTCCCATTTAGGGCTGTGGGTATTCAGGCTTGAGGATGGGGCCTTTGCCAGGGAACTGCCCTCTTCTACCCAGTATTTCCCTGTCTCCTGTTGGCATCAGTTTCACACGTGTTGTCACAACCCGTTGTTTAGGGAATTAAGCACATCCTGTGTGACTCCCCAGGGAGAGGATGCGTGGATGCTTGAACCTAGTTTCCTCCAGACTTTGTCCCATGCCCCTTTCTTTTTGCTGATTTGCTCAGTATCCTTTCACTCTAACAATTCCTAGCCATGCGTGCAACTGCATACTGAATCCTGACAATCCTAGTGAATCCTCAAATCTGGAAGTAGTCTTAGGGACCTCCCTGACATATATTTCATGTCAAAAGTGGGATTCCCTAGACCAACTCTGACTCAATGAAATATGACAGATGCATTCTTTGGTTAAAGGAAGGATTAAGGGACAGGAGGTGACAAACCCTTAATGGCTGGAAGGTTGTAAAGTTGCCCATGATATTAAACAGCAGCTGGCTGCTGAGTGTTGTGAGTTAAAAGTTACCCATGGAATTTTTAAATAACAGATCCTTCCCCCCAAGAAAGGAGACCCACTCACTGGATCACCTGGCTATTTTCAGTGGCTAAAGTGAGAAGGGAAAATAGTACAGCTTGGGTGATACCTTTGGTTTTCATTTTTTCCTCCAGCTCGGAGGAAAAAAGGACCAAAAATACCCAAAGGTGGGTTTTGGATGAGTTAAAAATATTAACTATTCCAAATGCCAAATCCAGTAACACATCAAAAAGCTTATCCACCACGATCAAGTCAGCTTCACCCCTGGGATGCACGCTTGGTTCAACATATGCAAATCAATAAACGTAATTCATCACATAAACAGAACCAACGACAAAAACCACATGATTATCTCAATAGATGCAGAAAATGCCTTCAATAAAATTCAACACCCCTTTATGCTAAAAACTCAATAAACTATACACTGATAGAATGTATCTGACAATAATAAGAGCTATTTATGACAAACCCACAGCCAATATCACTGGGTGGGTAAAAGTTGGAAGCATTTTCTTTGAAAATCAGCACAAGATAAGGATGTCCCCTCTCTTACCACTCCTATTCAACATAGTATTGGAACTCCTGGCCAGGGCAATCAGGCACAAGAAGGAAATAAATGGTATTCAAATAGGAAGAGAGGAAGTCAAATTGTCTCTGTTTGCAGATGACATGATTGTATATTTAGAAAACCCCATCATCTCAGCCCAAAAACTCCTTAAGCTGATAAGCAACTTCAGCAAAGTCTCAGGATATAAAATCAATGTGCAAAAATCACAAGCATTCCTATACACCAATAATAGACAAACAGAGAGCCAAATCGTGAGTGAATTCCCATTCACAATTACTACTAAGAGAATAAAATACCTAGGAATACAACTTACAAGGGATGTGAAGGACCTCTTCAAGGAGAACTACAAACCACTGCTCAAGGAAATAAGAGAGAACACAAACAAATGGAAAAACATTCCATGCTCATGGATAGGAAAAAATCAATGTCGTGAAAATGGCCATACTGCCCAAAGTCATTTATAGATTCAATGCTATCCCCATCAAGCTACCAGTGACTTTCTTCACAGAATTAGAAAAAACTACTTTAAATTTCATATGAAACCAAAACAGAGCCCACATAGCCAAGACAATCCTAAGCAAAAAGAACAAAGCTGGAGGCATCACACTACCTGATTTCAAACTATACCACAAGACTACAGTAACCAAAACAGCATGGTACTGGTGCCAAAACAGATATATAGACCAATGGAACAGAACAGAGGCCTCAGAAATAACACCATACATCTACAACCATCTGATCTTTGACAAACCTGACAAAAACAAGCAATGGGGAAAGGATTTTCTATTTAATAAATGGTGTTGGGAAAACTAGCTAGTCATATACAGAAAACTGAAAGTGGACCCCTTCCTTAAACCTTATACAAAAATTAACTCAAGATGGATAAAAACTTAAATGTAAAACCTAAAACCATAAAAACCCTACAAGAAAACCTAGGCAATACCATTCAGGACATAGGCATGGGCAAAGGCTTCATGACTAAAACACCAAAAGCAATTCCAACAAAAGCCAAAATTGATAAATGGGATCTAATTAAACTAAAGAGCTTCTGCAAAGCAAAAGAAACTATCATCAGAGTGAACAGGCAACCTACAGAATGGGATAAAATTTTTTGCAATCTATCCATCTGACAAAAGGCTAATATCCAGAATGTACAAAGAACTTAAATTTACAAGAAAAAAACAACTCCATCAAAAAGTGGGCAAAGGATATGAACAAACACTTCTCAAAAGAAGACATTTATGCAGCCAAAAAGTATGAAAAAGGTTCATCATCACTGGTCATTAGGGAAATGCAAATCAAAACCACAATGAGATCTCACGCCAGTTAGAATGGCGATCATTAAAAAATCAGGAAACAGCAGATGCCAGAAAGGATGTGGAGAAATACAAACACTTTTAAGCTGTTGGTGGGAAAGTAAATTAGTTCAACCATTGTGGAAGACAGTGTGGCAATTCCTGAAGGACCAAGAAGCAGAAATACCATTTGACCTAGCAATCCCATTACTGGATATATACCCAAAGGATTATAAATCATTCTACTATAAAGACTCATACAGACGTATGTTTATTGCAGCACTGTTCACAACAGTGAAGACTTGGAACCAACCCAAATGTCCATCAATGATAGACTAGATAAAGAAAATGTGGCACGTATACACCATGGAATACTATGCAGCCATAACAAATGATGTCCTTTGCAGGACATGGATGAAGCTGGAAACCATCATTCTCAGCAAACACAAGAACAGAAAGCCAAACACCGCATGTTCTCACTCATAGGTGCGTGTAGAACAATGAGAACACATGGACACAGGAAGGGGAACATCACACACTGGGGCCTGTCCGGTGGTGGGGGACTAGGGGAGGAATAACATTAGGAGAAATACCTAATGTAGATGACGGGTTGATGGGTGCAGCAAACCACCATGGCACATGTATACCTACGTAACAAACCTGCATGTTCTGCACATGTATCCCATAACTTAAAGTATAATAAATTTTTAAAAAATTTTTTAAAAATCAACTAAATTTCTAACATAATAAATGAAAAAAAAAAGATTTAGACCTAAAGAACAAAAATGTTATAAAGAGCTTGGTGCAGTGACTCTCATGCCTGTAATACTAGAGGTTTGGGAGGCTGAGGTGGGAGGATCACTTGAGGCCAGAAGTTCAAGACCAGCTTAAGCAACATAACAGGATTTCATCTTTACAAAAAATAAATAAATAAATAAATAGCCAGGCATGGTGGTGCTTGTCTATAGTCCTAGCTACTGGAAAGGCTGAGGCAGGAGGCTCCCTTGAGCCCAGGAGTTCAAGGCTACAGTAAACTATGATTGTGCCACTGCCCTCCAGCCTAGATGCCAGAAGGAGACCCTGTCTCTAAGAAATTAAAATTAAGAGTTCAAAAGTTTATATTGCTCTTTCCTCCAATAAGTGGGGAAAACATTAAATCAATTCCAGGGCTAGACAAAGCTTTAGATAAATCAGAAAGTAGAGAAGGGCAGGGGAAGAAAAAGACACTCTGGCTGTCCAGTCTTCAGCCTAGCTGCTGCTGCCACTGCTACAGGAACCATTCCCATTCCCATGCATCCTAGCAAGAATCTTCCCTGACAGCTGAATGTTAACCCTATAAATGCTGGATTATGGCTAGAGATTTGAGTAAATTTGCAATGAGAAAAAAAATAAATTTCTTTAAAATATCTTGTTTTGTGACTATTGCATCTGGATGTATGAAATAATTGATGCAAAATATTATATGCTTGTAATTTCATAATTACTACTGGGATAATTTCAATCAGGGACAGTTGCAAAGAAAGAGTGTTAATGAGAAACAAGCTTCTTGCTTTTTGCCACCAGTGGGTGGATTCAAATGTGAACTCTTTGAACACAGGCATACCTCATTTTGTTGCACTTTGCTTTGTTGCACTTTGCAAATATTGTGGGTTTTTTACAAACTGAAGGTTTGTGGCAACCCTGCCCCAAGCAAGTCTATCAGTGCCATTTTTTCAACAGCATGTGCTCATTTCATATCTCTGTGTCATATTTTGCTAATTCCCACAATATTTCAAACTTGTTTATTATTACTATAGTGATCTACGGTCAGTGATCTTTGATGTTACTATCGTTAATTATTTTGGGACACTACAAACTATCCCTGTATAAGGCAGCGGCAAACCTAATTGATAAATGTTGTCTATGTTCTCACTACTCCACTGACCGGTCATTCCCCCATCTCTCTCCTTCTTCATAGGCCTCCCTATCCCCAAGAAACAATATTGAAATTAGGCCAATTAGGCAGGGCTCAGGGGTTCATGCCTATAATCCCAGCACTTTGGGAGGCTGAGGCAGGCAGATCCCCTGAGGTCAGGAGTTCAAGACCAGCCTGGCCAACATGGCAAAACCCTGTCTCTACTAAAAATACAAAAATTAGCCAGGCATGGTGGCAGACTCCTGTAATCCCAGCTACTTGGGAGGCTGAAGCAGTACAATCACTTGAACCTGGGAGGCAAAGGTTGCAGTGAGCCAAGATTGCACCACCGCATTCCAGCCTAGGCGACAGAGGGAGACTTCATCTCAAAAAAGAAAAGAGAAAGAAAAAAGAGATTAGGCCAATTAATAACCCTACAATGACCTCTCTAAGTGTTGAAGTGCAACAGTCACACATCTCTCACTGTAAGTCAAAAGTGAGATTAAGCTTAGTGAAGAAGGCATGTCGAAAACCAAGACAGACTGAAAGCTCGGCCTCTTGCACTAGTTAGCCAAGTTGTGAAAGGAAAGTTATTGAGGGACTTTGAAAATGCTGCTCCAGTGAACATATGAATGACAGAAAGGTGAAACAGACTTATTGCTGATATGAAGAAAGTGAGTATTCTGGGTAGCAGATCAAACCAGCCACAATATTCCCTTAAGCCAAAGCCTAATCCAGAATCCAGAGCAAGGCCCTAATGCTCTTCTTTTTTTTCTTTTTCCTTTGAGACAGAGTCTCACTCTGTCGCCCAGGCTGGAGTGCAGTGGCGTGATCTCGGCTCACTGCAACCTCCAACTTCTGGGTTCAAGCGATTCTCCTGCCTCAGCCTTCTGAGTAGCTGGGACTACAGGCATGCACCACCACACCTGGGTAATTTTATATTTTTAGTAGAGATGCGGTTTCACCATGTTGGCCAGGCTGGTCTCCAACTCCCGACCTCAAGCGATCTGCCCATCTCGGCCTCCCAAAGTGCTGGGATTACAGGTGTGAGCCATTGCGCCCAGCCTAACTCTATTCAATTCCATGAAGGCTGAGAGGAGTGATGAAGCTGCAAAAGAAAAATTAGGAGCTAGCAGAGGTTGGTTCATGAGGTTTAAGGAAAGAAGCTGTGTCCCAAATCTTCTTTCAAGGTATAGCAGCAAGTGCTGATGCAAAGCCACAGCAAGTTATTCAGAAGATCTAGCGAAGATCACTGATGAAGGTGGCTACACCAAACAACAGATTTTTAGGATAGATGAAGCAGCCTTTTATTGGCAGATGATATCTAGGATTCTCAGAGCTAGAGAAGTCAACGTCTGGCTTCAAAACTTCAAAGAACAGGCTGAATCTTTTGTTAGAGGCTAACGCAGTTGATGACTAAGTTGAAGTCAATGCTCCTTGACCACTCCAAAAATCTTAGGGCTCTTAAGAATTATGCTAAATTGATTCTGCTTGTGCTCCATAAATGAACAACAAAGCCTGGATGACAGCACATCTGTTCACAGCTTGGTTTACTGAATATGTTAAACTTACTATTGAGGCCTACTGTTCCGATAAAAGATTCCTTTCAAAATATTACTGCTCATTGACAATGCACTCGTCACCCAAGAGCTCTGATGGAGATGTACAAGGAGATGAATGTTGTTTCTATGCCTGCTAACACAACATCCATTCTGCGGCTCGTGGATCAAGGAGTAATTTTGACTTTCAAGTCTCATTGAGAAATACACTTTGTAAGGTTATAGCTGCCATGGGTAGTGATTCCTCTGAAGAATCTGAGGAAAGTAAGTTGAAAATCTCCAAAAAGGATTCACCATTCTAAATGCCATAAAGATCATTTGTGATTTTTGGAAGGAGGCCAAAATATCAACATTAACCAGAGTTTGGAAAAAGCTGATTTCAATCCTCATGGATGACTTTCAGGGGATCAAGTCTTCAATGGAGGAAGTAACTGCAGACGTGGTAGAAATAGCAAGAGAACTAGAATAAAAAGTGGAGCCTCAAGATGTGACTAAATTGCTGCAATCTCATGATAAAACTTGAATGAATAATGAGTTGCTTCTTATGGATGAGCAAAAGAAATTGGTTCTTTAGATGGAATCTGCTCCTAGTGAAGATGCTGTGAACATTGTTAGAACGACAACAAAGGAATAAGAATATTACATCAACAGTTGATAAAGCAGCAGCAGGGTTGAGAGGACTGACTCCAATTTTTAAATTCTACCACAGGCAAATTCCTGTCAAATGGCATCACATGCTACAGAGGAAACTTTCATAAAATGAAGAGACAATCTATGTGGCAAACTTCATTGCTCTCTTATTTTCAGAAATCACCAGGGCCACCTCAACCTTCAGCAACCAATCTTCAGCTGATCAGTCAGCAGCCATCAACATCAAGGCAAGACCTTCCACCAGCAAAAAGATGACAACTTGCTGAAGGCTCAGATGATAGTTAGCACTTTTTAGAAATGAAGTATTTTTAAATTAAGGTTGGACATGTTTAGATACCACGTATTGCACTATATAATGCTGTATATACCACTTTTCAGCAATGAAGTATTTTTAAATTAAGGTATGGACATTTTTAGACATGTATTGCACTACATGTAATGCTGCATAAAGCATAAATATAACTTCTTTATGCACTGGGACACTAAAAAATTTGTGTAACTCACTTTCTTGAGGCAGTCTGAAACTTGAATCTATAATGTCTGAAATAAGCCTGTAGTAAAAGCAGAGCCAGTCTCCATAACTGATGATTTTTACTATTTTTGCCAATTGGAGCCTCAGGAAAAAAGGAAATAATATGAAAAGAGAAGCAATCTCCAGATAAAGATACATTTTTAGAATTTTAAAGACCAGTTTTTAGTTTGCTAATGAACTCTCTCGAAATCAGATGTCTGACCCTTAGAAAGACTGATGAATTTCTGGCCTGATGTGCATATTTTAAGAAGGTCAGTTTGGAATGACATTTATCACAAGCCTCAGAAAAAGCCTTGCTTGTCACCTGGACTTGGAACACAGCTGTCTGCCCCTGCAAGACTTTGCCTTTGCTGCTGCCAAACCAAAGCCTCTGCTTTTTTTTGAATTTTTGAAATCACAGATCCTAATTCCTGGGACTTTAAGCTAAATGCTGACACTATCTGTTTTGAGCTGTTACAGCTTCCAGACAAGCTGTGCTCAACTGAAGGCAGGCATAGGTTAGGTGAATAGGACTTCAACTTGAGGACCAGTGCAGGTTTGAGACATTCCTCTGTGCAGACATACGAAAACATCAAAGACGCTGGCTGGACCACGGATGCTATGAAAACATCACGGATGCTGGCTGGACCATCTGGGTCACATACAGATACTCACAGAAGGTTTACTCTCTGATGGGACCACCTGAAATTGAGCTACTCAGTTCTGTGTTTCTAATACACCTGCGGACTGTGTTCCTAACTTGCAATTACTGCCAAAAGTTACACCCTGGGGGAAGCACATCACGGCAACTGGAATGGAAGAGATCAGTGACCCCTCCACCGCCCCGACAGACCAGACTATCAAGCCCCTCTGGGTCTTAACATCCGTTGACCTGTTGTGTTCTGGATTCGCTGCCGTTGACTATAATGAATTGACAACCTGATTCTACTTCCCTCGCCTTTCTCCTGGTACACACAATACAGAAGGCAGGTTAATTGTTAAATGCAACTGTTTCCAGAAAGGGGTTGATCTTTTCTAGGCTGCTCACTAGATACATGATCAGGACAAAAGAGGTGGGAGGTTATGTCAATCATTTTGAAACTTTTTGAAACTTCAGGATTCTGTCCTGATTCCTGAACATGACGTGCCTTTCTGCTTAAGTGGCATAAAACTGTTTTTCTGTGAAAATGCTTTTGTCCCCTTGCCTATAACCTTTCAGACAAAAGGTCTGATGAGAGAAGAAAAAAGTGACTAGGAAAAAACCATAATGATTACAAAATGGGAAATACTGATTTTGTAACAAAGAAGAAAAAACAAAACACTGGGGAGGTATGGGGCAGGGGCAGGGAGGCATTAATGACCTGTTTTTAGAACTGTTTCTGGAATGACCTGTTTTTAGAACTGTTTCTGGAAGCTTCCTCCTCTTCATGAGGGAAAACTCCCCATGCTGCCTTTCCAAGATTGAAGCGGGCACTTTGAATTCAAACTGACTCCTGAGCCAAAGCCACATGGGGCCAGCACTGACCGTGGCACCCACAGCTGGCTGGCTCCAGCCCCCTGCGCTCTGTACAGCACACTTATAAGTGTCCACACACATGAGGCAAATGAAGCCATGTCACTGACAAGCAGAGCTGTTTGGAACTGACTGTCTCAAAGTCTCCCTAAAGCCGAGGACTGAATTGAATTTATCTGGACTGGACTGAGAACCCTAGGGTGGGAGGACCCAGCATGAGAGGGCACATTGCGGCACTGCACTGCTCACCTATCCTGCCTGCCTGGCCCACGTATGTCCTGCTTGGGATACCCTAGAATTGTAAATTGTGTTTCAAGGGGTGGCATGCACACCCTGTACTTCTTAGGGGTTTGCCTTGACTACCATGGAACTGCCCCGGCCCTGGAGTCTCCAGCTTACTGGCCAGAGTGTGCTGTCCTGAACTGATGCCTCAGGCCAGAAACAAAACGTTTACACAGAAATTCAAGGAGAAAGCCACCTGGCTTTCTAAAATAGACCTTTATGGTTAATGAGGTTCATTTTAGCTGGCTAAGCCCACGACCCCTAACAGGGATAACTGCAAGTGAGTTCCACCCTACCGCATGGGATCCTACTGAGAATTTTTCTACACACCTCCCTATGACAACACTTCACATGTGTTGTCACAACTCACTGCTAAGAAAGTTAGCCATGTCCTGTGTGAGTTCCCGGGGAGAGAGCTCTGGACTTGGTTCCCTCTGGACTTTGCCCCATGCACCCTTCTCTTTGCTGATGTTGCTTGGTATTCCTTCTCTGTAAGAAATCATAGCGGTGACTACGAATGTCTCTGAGTCATGTGAGTCCATACTAGCAAGTCATTCAACCTTGAGGTGGTTTTCAGGACACCCCAACATATATGCTAACATTCCAATGGCCAAAGCAAGTTCCACAGCCAAATCTAAAGTTAAGGAGCTGGAAAATATACTTTACCATATTAGTGGGAGGAACCGCAAAATCTCATGGCAGACAGGCTACCAAGAGAGACAAAGGTCGGGACCATTAATTCTACCTACCACCATTCGTGTAAATATATGAAGAAATTAGAACAACCCTTGACAAATTGACAGTGTCGAATAAATTATTATTCTACAAAGCCATCCCAGATATTTCTCTTCTATGTTCATTTTTCCTTTCTCTTATCTTTTTTCAACAGTTGTTATTTACCTATATGACAGACCTTAGTTTTTCAAGTTCCTTACAAAAAAGATCGTATCCCCCAACAATGTTGTCAACCATTAAGGTAAAATATCCGACTCACTGAGTTTCTTGCCACCATCTGAGAGCCTTCCCACGGCTAAGTCCAAGGAGAGCTGACTAGTTTGTCAGACAAGGTGTCATGGAGCTACAGGCAGTCTCCAACTTTGTCTTCATTCCTCCAATAAATGTTTGTCCATGTGCAAGAGGTTTTTCAGATGCTAAACAGTAGAGAACAAAGCAGAAACAACTGAGCTAACATTCTAGTGGTATTGACCAAACCACATATTGATAAAACCCTTCAGGACTAAGGCATTCTAAATTCTAACCAAATCAACAAGAACTCAAGATATAAATCAAATGTTCATATATCATTTACAACAGAGATGTACCTTTCCAGTGATCAACATATCCCCATTAACATATTTAAGATTAAAGTACAGATCCAAGTTTTCCTAAGGATGCAGTATAGTGCTTAAAAGTATCAGCCTCTAGTGTCAACTTGCCTCAGTCAACTTCCAGCTCCACCCCTTACTAACTGGGCCAGTTAACCTTAGGCAAGTTGCTTTAATCTTTTTGAACCACCTCTCAGGAAAACTAAGCGAGTTAAAGGAAAAGATGCAGGCAAACATCTTAAAACAGCGCCTGGCACATAATAAGCCCTTTAAAAAAATGGCAGCTATTACTAATTATTGTTACTTAAAGACCACTTAGTTCTCAATAACGCCCAACCACTCAGCTCCATTCTGTGTCCAATGCAGATTCTTATTCCATCAGCTAGCCAAGAAGTATGTATTTTCTTTTTGAATTTTACACATTCCTACCTGTGGTTCAGAATAAGTTTTTCTTTTGATGACCTTTTCTGACCACCCAAGGAGGCAGCAATTGTCTCTCGGTTCTTTGGGTCCCCCCTGAATATAGAGAATGAGGGGCATCTGCTAACCCAGATGCTGTGGTTATCAGTCCCGGTCCTCAGTTCCCAGATGACCCCCCTCACCTCATTTATTCTTCCTTCTTTTCAGCCCTCCTGAACCTTCCACTCTCTTTTCAACTCAGCTATTTATTTTGCTAGGATCACTCAGTCTCTTCTAGCTTTCTTCCCCCACCAGTATCTAACAGAACAGCTCTATGCAGCACAGGCACACTAAGGCAATATACTTCATTTCAAAAAAACTTTTTTTTTGGAGACAAGGTCTTGCTGTCACCCATGCTGGAATGCAGTGGCAAAATCATAGCTAACTGTAGCCTTAGACTCCTGGGCTCAAGTGATCCTCCCACCTCAGCCTCCCAAGTAGCTAGAACTACAGGCACCTGCCACCATACCCAGCTAATTTTTTTAATTTTTGTAGAGACAGCATCTTGATATGTTGCCCAGGCTGGTCTTGAACTAATGACCTCCAGCAATACTTTTGTCTCTGCCTCCCAAAGTGCTGGGATTACAGGCATGAGCACTGCACCTGGCCTAATTTCTTAAATTTGGAATACATAAGCAAAACAAAAAGAAGTATAAACATATTAACAGTTTTGTACTAACCAAATAAAATGTACAGAGATAATCACATGCCTGGCAAAAGGGTACAAGCAATTAGGTGTTTATATAATTAACAACTTTATAAGAAATCAAAATAGCCAGGCACGTTGGCTCACGCCTGTAATCCCAACGCTTTGGGAGACTGAGACAGGCAGATAACCTGGGGTCGGGAGTTCAAGATCAGCCTCGCCAACATGGTGAAATCCCGTCTCTACTAAAAATTACAAAAATTAGTCCAGCATCATGGCAGGCACCTATAATCCCAGCTACTCGGGAGGCTGAGGCAAGAGAATCGCTTGAACCTAGGAGGCGGAGGTTGCAGTGAGTCGAGATTATGCCATTCACTCCAGCCTAGGTGACAAAGGGCAAAACTCTATCTCAAAAAAAAAAAAAAAAAAAAAAATCAAGCCGGGTGCGGTGGCTCACACCTCTAATCCCTGCACTTTGGGAGGCCGAGGCGGGGGATCACAAGATCAGGAGTTCGAGACCATCCTGGCCAACATGGTGAAACCCTGTTTCTACTAAAAACAGAAAGAAAAATTAGCCGGGTGTGGTGGTGCATGCCTGTAATCTGAGCTACTCCGGAGGCTGAGGCAGGAGAATTGCTTGAACCCGGGAGGCAGAGGTTGCAGTGAGCCAAGATCTCGCCACTGCACTCGAACCTGGGCGACAGAGCAAGACTCCATCTCAAAAAAAATAAAATTAAAAAATTTAAAGTGTTTTGTGCTAACCCCAAATGTGTGAAAGACATAGATATTCGTGGGATGATGGGGGCTCCATTCCAGAAAACTTAAAATACTATAAAATCTCTATAAGTACATCTTCATTTTTGGTCAAAATTTTCAATCATATTATTAATGATATTTTGTACGTTTTTCTTCTATTTATTTTCCTTAATTTCATGTGTGGTTGATGCATGCTAGGTTCATTAAACGTTGAATTGAAACAAAGCTTTGCTGCTTTGAATGTGCTGAATATTTCTATCTTAATTTTGATTCTAATGTTTATACTTAGCTTCCTATCACGTGTTAAGACTTTTTTTCAATTTCTCATATTTATTAAAAAAATAAAATGAGTTAAAAATTTCTTTAAATAACAAAGTTTTTTCCCCTTTGCCGTACTTTTAGTATCTATAAATAACACGTGTAGATTAGTCTTTCAAAATTGAATCCTCTACACACACAATTAAAAGATGAACTGATTGCATTTGCTGCCCCAACAGCCACTTCCTGTGCTTTACCCACTTGTACCATCCATCCATGTTCCTCCCTTCCATCCCTTGTCTCCATCCCAATCCCAGCAGCAGTATATCCAGCTGCTCTTATTTTTTTTTTTGAGATGCAGTCTCACTGCCACCCAGGCTGGAGTGCAGTAGCACGATTTTGGCTCACTGCAACCTCTGCCTTCCAGGTTCAAGCGATTCTCCTGTGTCAGCCTCCCGAGTAGCAAGGATTACAAACCACCACCACCACCACCCCCGCCCCCCACCACCACCACTACCCCCAACTAATTTTTGTATTTTTAGTAGAGATCGGGTTTCACCATGTTGCACAGGATGGTCTCGAACTCCTGATCTTAAATGATCCGCCTGCCCTCCGCCTCCCAAAGCGCTGGGATTACAGGCGTAAGCCACCGCGCCCAGCCCAGCTCTTCTTAAAATGAAGTGGCAATTCCAGGTTTGGGGTAACGTAAAAGTTGAAACAGCAGAAACTCAGGGACCTGAGGCAGTTAATGACAAGACCAGGAAGAAGAAGCACCACCATCACCCCGCAGACGCTGCAGTCAGGGCTGGAGTTGAGACAGAGAGAAGCAGCTGGCCAGAGACAGGCTGACAGGTGATAGGGCAGGGTTGGCATCCTCAAAATCCAGGAGTCAGATAAAGGAGAGTGGAAGGAAAAGGTCAGCTGATTATAAGATCTCGAGCTCAAAATACTGAGATTAGGATGGGAATAAGCCTGTGGGTAAAATGGTCCACTAACAAATGACACAGAAGACACCTATGGTTAAATGAGCTTATTCTACTGAATGTGAAGCTGAATGTTAGTTGCTTTTGTGGTCTGCTATCATTTTCAACTTTCCTGGGCCAGGCCCCCTTTTCCAAGGGTACAACCTGGTTCCCATCTTAGAACTCAATTTCCATTCAGGGGTACTGTTTTTAAGCATACTTAAACGCACACCTGAGTGTGCTTCACCATCCCACACACTCCACAGCCCACCCACTTTCTGGAACTATTCAGCCCTCAGTAGCCTTGTAGCAAACCAAGAATGGCAAATGTTTCCACCACTCCCTTTTCCTCCAATACACCAGCCCCACCTTAAGGATCCTCGCTTTGAGGGGAGGATCAAACATAAGGAATGATAGCCCGAAACACCAACAGCCAACCGTATTTCAGTGTTTCACCCAGAGCCAGCCCGGTTTACTTTCAAATATATGCAACTGCATTTAAAACTGTCCAACTCTGCTTAAGGAGTCTTCAGTCATAGCCATAAAATGTAACAGTGTGTGCACAGTCAGTGGGTTCTTGGTCTCACCGACTTCAAGAATGAAGCCACGGACCCTCGCAGTGAGTATTACAGTTCTTAAAGATGGCGTGTCCAGAATTTGTTCCTTCTGGTATTTGGACATGTTCAGAGTTTCCTCCTTGTGGTGGATTCGTACTCTAGTTAGCTTCAGGAGTGAAGCTACACACCTTCTCGGTGAGTGTTACAACTCTTACAGCAGCGCACCTGGAGTTATTCATCCCTCCCCGTGGCCTCAGGGGCCTCACTGACCTCAGCAGTGAAGCTGCAGACCTTTGCGGTGTTACAAGCTCTCTAAGGCAGTGCAGCTGGAGTTGTCCGTTCCTTCTAGCAGATTCACAGTCTCATTGGCTTGATGAGTAAAGCTGCAGACTTTCACGGGGAGTGTTGCAGTTCATAAGCGCAGTATAGACCCAAACGGCTAGCAACAACAGGATTTAGTTGAAAGAACAAACCACCGGCAGCCCCCTCACCACAGAAACAGACTCCAACAAGTTACGTGCTAGCTCGCTCAGCCTGCTTTTATTCCCTTCTCTGGCCCTACTCACATCCTGCTGATTGGTCCATTTTACAGAGAGCTGATTGGTCCGTTTTGACAGGGTGCTAATTGGTGCATGTACAAACCTTGAGCTAGACACAGAGTGCTGATTGGTGCATTTACAATCCTTTAGCTAGACACAAAAGTTCTCCAAGTCCCCACTAGATTAGCTAGACACAGAGCACTGATTGGTGTGTTTACAAACTTTGAGCTAGACACAAGAGTGCTGATTGATGTGCATTTACAAACCTTTAGCTAGACATAAAAGTTCTCCAAGTCCCCACCCGACTCAGTAGCCCAGGTGGCTTCCCCTAGTGGATCCTGCGCCCTGGCCGGAATTGCCCACCAGTCCCGTGCGGCGCGCCGCCACTGCTCAGCCCTTGGGCGGTGGATGGGACCGGGCTCCCTGGAGCAGGGAGCGGCGCCCATCGGGGAGGCTCGGGCCGCCCAGGAGCCCACGGAGAGTAGGGGGCGGGGGCTCGGGCATGGCAAGCTGCAGGTCCCGAGCCCTGCCCTGCGGGCAGGCAGCTGAGGCCCGGCGAGAATTCGAGCGCAGCGTGGGCGGGCCGGCAGTGCTAGGAGACCCAGCGCACCCTCCGCAGCTGTGGGCCCAGGTGCTAAGCTCCTCACTGCCCAGGGCTGGCGGTGCCAGTCGGCTGCTCCGAGTGAGAAATGACAGCGTGCTGGCAGTCCTCACAGCCCTCGCTCGCTCTCGGCGCCTCCTCTGCCTGGGCTCCCACTTTGGCGGCACTTGAGGAGCTCTTCAGCCCACCGCTGCACTGTGGGAGCTCCTTTCTGGGCTGGCCAAGGCTGGAGCCGGCTCCCTCAGCTTGCCGGGTGGTGTGGAGGGAGAGCGGGAATCGGGGCTGCGCATGGCGCTTGCGGGCCAGCTGGAGTTCCGGGTGGGCGTGGGCTGGGCGGGCCCCGCACTCCAAGCAGACAGGCCGGGCAATGAGGGGCTTAGCACCCAGGCCAGCGGCTGCGGAGGGTGTACTGGGTCCCCCAGCAGTGCCAGCCCACCGGCGCTGCACTCGATTTCTCGCCGGGCATTAGCTGCCTTCCTGCGGGCAGAGCTCGGGACCTGCAGCCCGCCATGCCTGAGCCTCCCACAGCCTCCGTGGGCTCCTGTGCGGCCCGAGTCTCCCCGATGAGCGCCGCCTCCTGCTCCAGGGCGCCCAGTCCCATCGACCACCCAAAAGCTGAGGAGTGCGGGTGCACGGCGGCGGACTGGCAGGCAGCTCCATCTGCAGCCCCGGTGCGGGATCCGCTGGGTGAAGCCAGCTGGGCTTCTGAGTCTGGTGGGGACGTGGAGAACCTTTACGTCTAGCTCAGGGATTGTAAATACACCAATCAGCACCCTGTGTCTAGCTCGGGGTTTGTGAGTGCACCAATCGACACTCTGTATCTAGCTACTCTGGTGGGGCCTTGCAGAACCTTTGTGTAGATATTCTGTATCTAACTAATCTGGTGGGGACGTGGGGAACCTTTGTGTCTAGCTCAGGGATTGTAAACGCACCAATCAGCGCCCTGTCAAAACAGACCACTGGGCTCTACCAATCAGCAGGATGTGAGTGGGGCCGGATAAGAGAATAAAAGCAGGCTGCCCGAGCCAACAGTGGTAACCCGCTGGGGTACCCTTCCACACTGGGGAAAATTTGGTCTTTTGCTCTTTGCCGTAAATATTGTTACTGCTCACTCTTTGGGTCCGCACTGCTTTTACGAGCTGTAACACTGTAACACTCACCATGAAGGTCTGCAGCTTCACTTGTGAAGCCAGCGAGACCATGAGCCCACCGGGAGGAATGAACAACTCCAGACTCGCTACCTTAAGAGCTGTAACACTCACTGAAGGTCTGTAGCTTCACTCCTGAGCCAGTGAGACCACGAACCCAGAAGGAAAAAACTCCGAACACCGGAAGGAACAAACTCCAGGCGTGCCACCTTAAGAGCTGTAACACTCACTGCGAGGGTCCGTGGCTTCATTCTTGAAGTCAGTGAGACGAAAAACCCACCAATTCAGGCCATACGAGTGCGGAGCCCACCCAGCTCGCGCCCACCCAGAACTCGCGCTGGCCCTCAAGGGCTGCGCGCAGCCTCGGTTCCCGCCCGCGCCTCCCTCTCTCTCCACACTGCCCCGCAAGCAGAGGGAGCCAGCTCTGGTCTCTGCCAGCACACAGAGGGGCTCCCACAGTGCAGCGGCGGGCCGAAGGGCTCCCGAAGCGTGGCTAGAGTGGACGCCAAGGCCGAGGAGGCACTGAGAGCGAGTGAGGGCTGCTAGCACGTTGTCACCTGTCGATAGGTGCACCTAAATACGGGTTCATTATTTGACCAAAGGCGGGATTCTACGTCTAGACATGCATACCCACCTACATTCTCTTGTACACAGTACCATGGCCGTTTCTAATATGAAATGGAAACCTACATATCAAAACAATAGCTATAAATACGTGGTGGGTGTGGTCTGTTCCTTAACCCTACTAAGGCCTTCATCTGAGGAAGCAGATCTATATTAAAAGAGAGCAGTATTTCCCAAGTAGCCCTTGAGTTCACACAAAAATTTTGTTTTCTAATTTGGCCTTTGATTTGATTTTGTTTTCTAATTTGGCCTGAGATAATCAGCCAATATGGTCACCATATTGAACAGCACAGATCTAAAAGGATTTCCCGAGTATGGAAAATCTCTGTGGGTGTCTAGGATGGTTAATTTTGTGCATCAGCTTGACTGGGCCATGGTGCCCAGTTATTTGGACAAACATTATTCTGGATGTTTCTGTGAAAGTGTTTTTGGATGAGATTTGCATTAAATTGGGAAACGTTGAGTAAAGCAGACTGCCATCCATAATATGGATGGGCCTCATCCAATCAGTTGACGAGCTGAATACAACAAAAGGCTGACCCTGCCCTGTGCAAGGGGTAATTCTGCCAGTAGACAGCCTTCAGACTTTACATGCAATATTGGCTCTTCTTTGTTCTACAACAGCTTTTGGACTCGAAGTACAGCCTTTCCTGAGTCTCCAGCGCACTGGCCTCCCCCCATCAGATTTTGGACTCTCCAAGCTTCCACAAGCACAGGAGCCAATTCCTTAAAATAAATCTGTTTCTATATCCATATATACACATCCTATTCATTCTTTATCTCTGGGCAACCATGACTAGCTAATACAGTCTCTAAATCAAACTGTGGTACCTTCTTTACTAAGGAATTCCTTCTAATAGCTCTATACCCATTGGCTTTCACAACATGAATCAGGGGTTGAAATTTCTGCATATTTTTCTCAGATCTGCTCCAGGCGACTTCCTTTCCCATGGCTAGTTAAATGGGGACTGGAGAAGGCGGAGAAATACTCACATTTTTAAAAGATTACAGCTAATTATGTAGACACACTGGCCCTTAGACCTATCTTACCTGGCATTTTATAATTTCCCTTTCACACAATATAATTTAATTCATATTTGGGGGACAGGAATATTGATCTACACTGTAACTTGTCTAGTTTCTGGAACGATAAACTAAAACTTCAAGCATATAAAATATGTTTATACTCTAAATTTTTAGTTTTTTCCCTAGTATTTGTATGTCTAGATATAATTACAAAGTCTATGTGATGTTTTTCATGTGACGATCCAATACAGTGCTTCCCTGAGCCCTTAAAAAATAAAAAATAAAAATACAACTTAAAGAAACAAAAACTCCCTACCGTAGCCGCTACAAGGGAGGCTAAGGCGGGAGGATTGCTTGAGGACAGGAGTTCGAGGCCAGCCTGGGCAACATAGTAAGACTTCCGTCACAAACACAAAAACTCCCAACCCGGGTTCGAGACCAGCCTGACCAACATGGAGAAACCCCGTCTCTACAAAAAATACAAAAATTAGTCAGGCTTGGTGGCACATCCTTGTAATCCCAGCTACTCGGGAGGGTGAGGCGGAGACTCGCTTGAATCCGGGAGGCGGAGGTGGCGGTGAGCCGAGATCGCGCCATTGCACTCCAGCCTGGGCAACAAGAGCGAACTCCGTCTCAAGAAAAAAAAAAAAATCACCTCCCAACCGTATGGACCACGCTGACATCCTGCCATCAAGAAGCAAAGCTTTCCAGCGTCCCCCAAGCGCTAGGGCCGCCTTCTGACTCTTCCGCCCCGCCTCCGCCCCCTGCACTCTCCCAACTGGCGGGAGGAGGGCGCCCTCCCAGCCAATCAACGTCCCACAGGGCCCGCCTCCCGCGCGTCTTTCAAAGGTCTTCTAGGAACCAGTCAGCGATTAGAGGCCGAGTCTTCGGCCACCCAAAGGCGGAGTAAGAAACCAGAAGCGGATCTGATTGGTTGCTGGAAGACGCCGCGCCCACCTCACAGAAGGACGAACCAGTGAGCTAAGCTGCGGGGCGCGGGCTCGGCCGGGGCACCGGTGAGTCGCCGGCGCTGCAGAGGGAGGCGGCACTGGTCTCGACGTGGGGCGGCCAGCGATGAAGCCGGTGAGTCGGACGTGCTGGGGTTTGGAGGAGCGAGGCGGCAGGGACGCAAGCGGTCCCGGGGACCCGATCCTGGGCCGGAGGGCAGCCCTAGCCTGGTAGCAGTGCGACTGGCGCCGTAACCGTTCTGCGGGTCGGGGAGGTGACTCGCACGGGCCCAGCACGGGCACGAGAGACGAAGGAGCAGGGTCGGTGGCCGACGAAGGAAAGACGGACATTCGCTGTGCACCTGCTGTGGGCTGTCACCTGTCCCCTGCGGGGTCTCATAAGCCTCCCAGCCGCCCAGCCAAAGAGGGCCGAGCCTCGTTGTACCGAGGAAACCGAGCCGAAGAGCTTGAGTGTCAGCGATGAGTGGGCGCGATACCCCAGCCCCGAAGGGTGGCCGGGCGCTACCTGCGCCCACAGGGCCTGGGGAAACCTTGAGTACGAATGCCACGCCGCGGCTTGTGGGCGACACCACCGCTGTCACCATGCCCCAGGGCCACCTGGCAATGCTGCTCTTTTCCCGTGACGTTCAGAATCACAGGGCCTGGGGAAGCAGAAACGTCCAGCTCTGTTAGGATTAATAAACCTGGTGAATGGGCCACACAAATTTGAAATATGAATCATCAAAGTTGCTTTAAAGAAAAAACAGATGCAGGCAAGGAGCTGAAGATCCCCCACCTAACCCATATTTCCTACTGCCCGGCTTGACAACCTACTGGAAGCCTTTCCTTTGGGTGCAGTTGATTATAATACTTCAGATAGAGCCAAAGCAACAGAAATCCATAGCCTAGGGCCGGGTGGTGTCTCGCGCCTGTAATCCCAACACTTTGGGAGGCCAAGGCGGGCGGATCACTTGAGGCCAGGAGTTGGAGACAAGCCTAGCCAACACGGTGAAACCCCGTCTCTACTAAAAATACAAACATTAGCTGAGCGTGGTAGTGCACGCCTGTAGTCCCAGCTACTCGGGAGGCTGAGCCACGCAAATAGCTTGAACCCAAGAGGCAGAGGTTGCAGTGAGCGGATATCACGCCACTGCCCTCCAGCCTGGGCGACAGAGCAAAACCCTATCTCAAGATAAAAGAAAGAAAGAAAAAAAAGTCCGTAGCCTAAATTAGCCGTCCTGTGATCTTCTAGTACCAAGACCGTTGTAGAATATAGCTTCAGAGCTAGAAAGAGCATTAGGTGCTTACAATTGCTAATCCCTATGTTGCCATGTGGAGGGACATCAGCTGTCCTTCACTCCTGGCCTCTTTCTCCACCTGTCCCCATTGAGTTATCTGATCCCCGAGTTTGGAAGGAACTGAACACCAGTATCTCAACTTTTTCTTTCCTTCTTTCTTGGGATCTACCTGCCTGCCTGCAGAAGGTGCTTTCTGGTCCACTCTCTGGCACACAGGAGCCCCAGACTGTCCATGGCCACCTGTGACTGGGTGGATACATTTGTCTAATTCTGGGGTGAACAAGGGGCAAGCCCACGTGGCAACAGCTTTAAGCTGCATACTCCATTTGATATACAATAATAAAACTCCATTTCTTTATCTTTCAATTGGTTTCAACTAGGGAGTGAGAAAAGGGTATGGGTTTTGTTCTGTTTTGTTTTTGTTTTTCTTTTTCTTTTGATTCCTTAAAATTTCAACAAGGAGTGTAGAAGTCTTCCATGTCAAAATGCTGCAGGATTAAGTTCCAACTGCTTAGATCAGCATACGAAGTCTATCTCAATCTCTCTAGTCTAGTGATTCATAAAGTTGGAGGCAGGTTATTTCACCTACACCACCCCCACCAAACTACTAGGCCATGTGGGGATGTTTTTTGAGAAAAGGGGTGGGCAAAACTACTTCATCTCCTCTACTCCATCTCTATTTTGATATCACAGTTCCTCAATACACAAGCCCTTGGCTTAACTTCTTTCCTTTCTTTTTTCTTCTTCCTTTTTTTTTTTTTTTTTTGGCAGAGTCATGCCCTGTCAGCCAGGCTGGAGTGCAGTGGTGTGTTCCTGGCTCACTGCAACCTCTGCCTCCTGGGTTCCAGGGATTCTCCTGCCTCAGCCTCCCGAGTAGCTGGGATTACAGGCATGTGCCACCATGCCTGGTTAATTTTTGTATTTTTGGTAGAGCCAGGTTTTGCCATGTTAGCCAGGCTGGTCTCAAACTCCTGACCTCAGGTGACCTGCCCAACTTCGCCTCCCAGAGTGCTGAGATTTACAGGCATAAGCCACCGCACCCTCCCTTTCCTATCTTCTTTAAAACCTGCTCTTCCTTCAAAACCCAGCTAAAGCGTTTCCTCTGTGAAGCCTTCTCCAGCTACCTACGTGGTCACTCTCTTCTCTGTTCCACAGTGTATAGTTCTGCTTCCATTTCAGCACTTATATAATACCTTTCTTCTGTAATCTATGCACACATCTGTCTCTCCAGCCATACTGAAGGCAGGCTATTTATCTTATAGATCTTTTGCATCTCCAGTGCTTGGCAAATGAAGGTGGCCAAGAAATATTTGTGAATGAATAAATCTCCTCACTTTATAGTTGAGGAAAATCGAGATCCAGAACCAACTGAAGTGGCTTGTCAGAGAGTATACAGTAAGTGGCAGAACCAAGATCAGAAGCCAGATTTCTTGGTTCCCAATCCAACTCTCTTTCCACTATGCAGTGCTATAATTATTAATAGGAAGGTAAATAGCAGTCATTTATTATTAATATTGCTGATCTCGTTAATATTCTGGATTGATGGCTGAATACATTGCAAATATGAATTCAGTGTGTGTTTAGACAAGGATTAGCTATCCTAAAACTACAAAAAAATTCTTTACAGTTATTTAACATAACATTTCTTTTGAAGCCCAGTTCAATACAAACAAGTGAGTTTGACTCATCAGATGAAGAGCCTATTGAAGATGAACAGACTCCAATTCATATATCATGGTATGTTAGCATTTCTGATCAATGATGAGCTAAAATCACAATCTACATCATAAATGTAAATTTAGTTACATCATAATCTTAGTAGAATGTAGTTCACATATTGAAAATGTTAAGGGATTATCCCCCTCTGATTATATAATTCTAATCATTAAAGGATCTTCTAACTCCATGATTCATTTACTATCTATAATACAGAATAAGACCCTTTTTTTTTTTTGGCCCTTCTTTATACATTCTAACTCCATGATTCATTTACTCTTTATAAGACCCTTTTTTTTTTTTTGGCCCTTCTACTAACTTAGTAGAAGGAAGTAAGTAGGAAATAGAGGTAGGATTGAAATAATCTCCCATTTAGTATCAAAATCTACTTATTCTTTTATGACAAAAGAATAATATACCAAATATGAGATGAGATATTTAATCATTTCTCATTAAATCAAATCCTAGGTAATACTTAGAAGTAATGTCACAGTAATGCATCTATCAACAGACTCTGTTTAAGATAAAAGCCACATCAATGCAATAACAAAAAGTTTCTACATAAAATCAGCCTTTTAATCTTGGCAAGTGACTTATGGTTATACCAGATTCTTTACAATGAGCAATCAAATGCTTTCTCTCATCACTGCAAATATAATAGTCTCTCTTCTTAAGAAAGCACTATCCCTACTGTCAGAAGAGAAAGAGTGTCCTAAAGGTCTTTTGTCCTGCCATCAAATAGCATTACTTTCCATTTCCACTTAAAACTCCCATTTAAACACAAAAATTCATCTAATTTTCAAAGTCAGGTGGTATTTAGATGATGCCTCCTGTTTTCCTTTAAATCATCTTCTGACATGCAGACAAGGTGAGCCTCTGTCCCTGAGTACTGCAAACTGGGAATATGATTTCTTCACATTATTTCTTTTTAACCAAAAACCTGTGGTTTTCATCATATGAAATTATATCTGTTAAGGAAGTTCTATTTAAAAATCTTAAAATAGTAATGTAGAATAAATGCTGGGGAGAAAATTGTCCAATAGTCATTTTCCAATTCATTTTCCTAAATCACTAATACAAATTATCTCAGGTAATATACCACAGGATAACATAAGTACACCGTATACTACCGGTTGGCAATCTAGGCATTATTATCTTTAAGGTAAATTTAAATTAACTTGGTTTTTTGTTTTCTTGTTTTTTGTAGAGACAGGATTTCACCTTGTTGTCCAGGCTGGTCTTGAACTCCTGGACTCAAACAGCCTGCCTGCCTTGGCCTCTCTAAGTGCTGGGATCATAGGCATGAGCCACTGCACCCAGCCTAACTTGTCATTTTTAAGACTTAAATAATAACAAAGCAAATAAGTCCCTGTTTTAAAACTTTGTCTTTCTATGTTTTTTTTTGTGACCAACATATTGATACTTAACTGTGAATTCTTACTTTGTGACTACTGTAAAACTTTAACACAACTTTATTTGGTGGCAAGCACCCATATTGATTAAACTGAATTTCCATTTATAACTTTTTAAAAACTTAACTAAACATGAAAAATTTTTCTTCTTTTCAGGCTATCTTTGTCACGAGTGAATTGTTCTCAGTTTCTCGGTTTATGTGCTCTTCCAGGTGGGTAACACAATAATGGGCTTCCTATCAATATGTATATATTTTTTAATATATTTTTATTGCAGTAGCTTTTGGGGGGACAGGTGGTGTTTGGTTACATAAATAAGTTCTTTAGTGGCAATTTCTGAAATTTTGGTGCACCCATCACCAGAGCAGTATACAATGTACCCAATGTGAAGTCTTTTATCCTTCATCCCCCTTCCACCTGTTCCCCACCAGCCCCCGAAGTCCAATGTATCATTCTTATGCCTTTGTGTCCTCAAAGTTTACCTCCTGTTTATGAGTGAGAACATATGATGTTTGGTTTTCCATTCCTGAGTTACTTCACTTAGAATAATAGTCTCCAGTGACCGGGTGCAGTCACTCACACCCGTAATCCCAGCACTTTGGGAGGCCGAGGCCGGCAGATCACGAAGTCAGAAGATAGAGACTATCCTGGACAACATGGTGAAACCCCGTCTCTACTAAAAATACAAAAATTAGCTGGGCATGGTGGCACGTGCCTATAGTCCCAGCTACTTGGGAGGCTGAGGTAGGAGAATTGCTTTGACAGGAGGCAGGGGTTGCAGTGAGCCGAGATCGCACCACTGCACTCCAGCCTGGCAACAGAGCGAGACTCTGTCTCAAAAAAAAAAAAAAAAGAATAATAGTCTCCAGTTCCACCCGGGTTGCTGTGAATGCCATTTTGTTCCTTTTCATGGCTGAGTAGTATTCCATGGCATGTGTGTGCGTGTGTGTGTGTGTGTGTGTGTGTGTATGTATATCTCACATTTTCTTTTTTTATTATACTTTACAACCCCACTTTTTGATGGGGATGTTTGTTTTTTTCTTGTAAATTTGTTTAAGTTCCTTGTAGATTCTGGATATTAGACCTTTGTCAGATGCATAGACGGCAAAAATTTTCTCCCATTCTGTAGGTTGCCTATTCACTCTGATGATAGTTTCTTTTGCTGTGCAGAAGCTCTTTAGTTTAATTAAATCCCATTTGTCAATTTTGGCTTTTGTTGCAATCGCCTTTGGTGTTTTAGTCATGAAGTCTTTGCCCATGCCTATGTCCTGAATGGTATTGCCTAGGTTTTCTTCTACAGTTTTTAGAGTTTTAGGTCTTAGGTTTAAGTCTTTAATCCATCCTAAGTTAATTTGTGTGTAAGGTGTAAGGAAGGGGTCCACTTTCAGTTTTCTACATATGGCTAGCCAGTTTTCCCAACACCATTTATTAAATAGGGAATCCTTTCCTAATTGCTTGTTTTTGTCAGTTTTGTCAAAGATCAGATGGTTATAGATGTATGGTGTTATTTCTGAGGCCTCTGTTCTGTTCCATTGGTCTATATATCTGTTTTGGCATGTGTACCATGCTGTTTTTGTTACTATAGCCTTGTAGTATAGTTTGAAGTCAGGTAGCGTGATGCCTCCAGCGTTGTTCTTTTTACTTAGGATTGTCTTGGCTATATGGGCTCTTTTTTTGTTCCATATGAAATTTAAAGTAGTTTTTTCTAATTCTGTGAAGAAAGTCAATGGTAGCTTGATGGGGATAGCATTGAATCTATAAATTACTTTGGGCAGTATGGCCATTTTCATGATATTGATTCTTCCTATCCATGAGCATGGAATGTTTTTCCATTTGTTTGTGTCCTCTCTTATTTCCTTGAGCAGTGGTTTGTAGTTCTCCTTAAAGAAATCCTTCACATACCTTGTAAGTTTTACTCCTAGGTATTTTATTCTCTTTGTAGCAATTGTGAATGGGAGTTCACTCATGATTTGGCTCTCCGTTTGTCTGTTATTGGTGTATAGGAATGCTTGTGATTTTTGCACATTGATTTTGTATCCTGAGACTTTGCTGAAGTTGCTTATCAGCTTTGGGCTGAGACAATGAGGTTTCTAAATATACAATCATGTCATCTGTAAAAAGAGACAATTTGACTTCCTCTCTTCCTATTTGAATACTCTTTATTTCTTTCTCTTGCCTGATTCCCCTAGCCAGAACTTCCAATACTCTGTTAAATAGGAGTGGTGAGAGAGGGCATTCTTGTCTTATGACGGTTTTCAAAGGGAATGCTTCCAGCTTTTGCCCATTCAGTATGATATTGGCTGTGGGTTTGTCATAAATAGCTCTTATTATTTTCAGATACGTTCCATCAATACCTAGTTTATTGAGTGTTTTTAGCATGAAGGGGTGTTGAATTTTATCAAAGGCCTTTTCCAGATCTGAGATAATCATGTGGTTTTTGTCACTGATTCTGTTTATGTGATGGATTATATTTAATGATTTGCATATGTTGAACCAACCTTGCGTCCCAGGGATGAAGCTGACTTGATCGTGGTGGATAAGCTTTTTAATGTGCTGCTGGATTCAGTTTGCCAGTATTTTACTGAGGATTTTCGCATCGATGTTCATCAAGGATATTGACCTGAAATTTTCCTTTTTGTTATGTCTCTGCCAGGTTTTGGTATCAGGATGATGCTGGCCTCATAAAATGAGTTAGGGAGGATTCCCTCTTTTTCTATTGTTTGGAATAGTTTCAGAAGGAATGGTACCAGCTCCTCTTTGCACCTCTGGTAGAATTCAGCTGTGAATCCATCTAGTCCTGGGCTTTTTTTGGTTGGTAGGCTATTAATTACTGCCTCAGTTTCAGAACTTGTTATTGGTCTATTCACGGATTCGACTTCTTCCTGGGAGGGAAGAAGTCCCTTTAGTCTTGGGAGGGTGTATGTGTCCAGGAATTTATCCATTTCTTCTAGATTTCTAGTTTATTTTTGTAGAGGTGTTTATAGTATTCTCTGATGGTAGTTTGTATTTCTGTGGGATCAGTGGTGATATCCCCTTTATCATTTTTTATTGTGTCTATTTGATTCTTCTCTCTTTTCTTCTTTATTAGTCTGGCTAGTGGTCTATCTATTTTGTTAATCATTTCAAAAAAACCAGCTCCTAGATTCATTGATTTTTTGAATGGCTTTTTATGTCTCTATCTCCTTCAGTTCTGCTCTGATCTTAGTTAGTTCTTTTTTTTTTCTTGAGACAGAGTCTCACTCTGTCGCCCAGGCTACAGTGCAATGGCACAATCTCGGCTCACTGCAAGCTCTGCCTCCCGGGTTCATGCCATTCTCCTGCGTCAGCCTCCCTAGTAGCTGGGACTACAGGCACCCACCACCACACCCAGCTAATTTTTTTGTATTTTTAGTAGAGACGGGGGTTTCACCGTGTTAGCCAGGATGGTCTCGATCTCCTGACCTCATGATCCATCCACCCGCCTTGGCCTCCCAAGGTGCTGGGATTATAGGCCTGAGCCACCGCACCCGGCTTGATCTTAGTTATTTCTTGTCTTCTGCTAGCTTTTGAATTTGTTTGCTCTTGCTTCTCTAGTTCTTTCAATTGTGATGTTAGGGTGTCAATTTTAGATCTTTCCCGCTTTCTCATGTGGGCATTTAGTGCTATAAATTTCCCTCTAAACACTGCAGATTCTGGTACATTGTGTCTCTGTTCTCATTGGTTTCAAATAACTTCTTTTTTTCTGCCTTAATTTACCCAGTAGTCAGGGGCAGGTTGTTCAGTTTCCATGTAGTTGTGCAGTTTTGAGTGAGTTTTTTAATCCTGAATTCTAATTTGATTGCACTGTGGTCTGAGGGACTGTTTGTTATGATTTCTGTTCTTTTGCATTTGCTGAGTAGTATTTTGCTTCCAATTATGTGGTCAATTTTAGAATAAGTGCGATGTGGTGCTGAGAAGAATGTATATTCTGATGATTTGGGGTGGAGAGTTCTGTAGATGTCAATTAGGTCTGCTTGGTCCAGAGCTGAGTTCAAGTTCTGGATATCCTTGTTAATTTTCTGTCTCGCTGATCTGTCTAATATTGACAGTGGGGTGTTAAAGTCTCCCACTATTATTGTGTGGGAGTCTAAGTCTCTTTGTAGGTCTCTAAGAACTTGCTTTATGAACCTGGGTGCTTTTATGTTGGGTGCATATGTATTTAGGATAGTTAGCTCTTCTTTTGCATTGATCCCTTTACCATTATGTAATCCCCTTCTTTTTCTTTTTTTATCTTTGTTGGTTTAAAGTCTGTTTTATCAGAAACTAGGACTGCAACCCTTGCTTTTTTTTGCATTCCATTTGTTTGGTAAATATTTCTCCATCCCTTTATTTTGAGCCTATGTGTGTCTCTGCACGTGAGATGGGTTTCCTGAATACAGCACACCAATGGGTCTTGACTCTATCCAATTTGCCAGTCTGTGTCTTTTAATTGGGGCATTTAGCCCATTTACATTTAAGGTCAATATTGTTATGTGTGAATTTTATCCTGTCATTATGATGCTAGCTGGTTATTTTGCCCATTAGTTGATGCAGTTTCTTCATAGCGTTGATGGTCTTTGCATTTTTGTATGTTTTTGCAGTGGCTCATACCAGTTGTTCCTTTCCAGGTTTAGTGCTTCCTTCAGGAGCTCTTGTAAGGCAGGCCTGGTGGGGACAAAATCCCTCAGCATGTGCTTGTCTGTAAAGGATTTTATTTCTCCTTCACTTAGGAAGCTTAGTTTGGCTGGATATGAAATTCTGGGTTGAAAATTATTTTCTTTAAGAATGTTGAATATTGGCCCCCACTCTCTTCTGGCTTGTAGGGTTTCTGCAGAGAGATATGCTGTTAATCTGATGGGCTTCCTTTTGTGGGTAACCCAGCCTTTCTCTCTGGCTGCTCTTTACATTTTTTTCCTTCATTTCAATCTTGGTGAATCTGATGATTATGTGTGTTGGGGTTGCTCTTCTCGTGGAGTATCTTTGTGGTGTTCTCTATATTTCCTGAATTTGAATGTTGGCCTGTCTTTCTAGGTTGGATAAGTTCTCCTGGATAATATCCTGAAGTGTGTTTTCCAACTTGGTTCCATTCTCCCCGTCACTTTCAGGTACACCAGTCAAACATAGGTTTGGTTGATTCACATTGTCCCATATTTTTGGAGGCCTTGTTCATTCCTTTTAATTCTTTTTTCTCTAATTTTGTCTTCACACTTTATTTCATTAAGTTGGTCTCCAATCTCTGATATCCTTTCTTCTGCTTGATCGATTCAGCTATTGATACTTGTGTATGCATCACGAAGTTCTCCTGCTGTGTTTTTCAGCTCCATCAGGTCATTTATGTTCTTCTCTAAACTGGTTATTATAGTTAGCAGTTCCTCTAACCTTTTATCAAGTTTCTTAGTTTCCTTGCATTGGGTTAGAACATGCTCCTTTAACTTGGAGGAGTTTGTTATTACCCACCTTCTGAAGCCTACTTCTGTCAGTTCATCAAACTCATTCTCTGTCCAGTTTTGTTCCCTTGCTGGCGAGGAGTTGTGATCCTTTGGAGGAGAAGAGGTATTCTGGTTTTTGGAATTTTCAGCCTTTTTGCTCTGGTTTTTCCTCATCTTCGCGGATTTATCTACGTTTGGTCTTTGATGTTGGTGACTTTTGAATGGGGGTTTCTGCGTGGGCGTCCTTTCCGTTGATGTTGATGCTATTGCTTTCTGTTTGTTAGTTTTCCTTGTAACAGTCAGGCCCCTCTTCTGCAGGTCTGCTGGAGTTTGCTCGAGGTCCACTCCAGACCCTGTTTTCCTGGGTATCACCAGTGGAGGCTGCAGAACAGCAAAGATTGCTGCCTGCTCCTTCCTCTGGAAGTTTCGTCCCAGAGGGGCACCTGCCGGATGCCAGCTGGAGTTCTCCTGTACGAAGTGTCTGTCGACCCCTGCTGGGAGGTGTCTCCCCGTTAGGAGGCGCGGGGTTCAGGGACCCACTTGAGGAGGCAGTCTGTCCCTTAGCAAAGCTCGAGCACTGTGCTGGGAGATCTGTTGCTCTCTTCGGAGCCAGCAGGCAGAAATGTTTAAGTCTGCTGAAGCTGTGCCCACAGCCATCCCTTCCGCCAGGTGCTCTCTCCTAGGGAGAAGGGAGTTTATCTATAAGCCCCTGACTGGAACTGCTGCCTTTCTTTCAGAGATGCCCTGCCCAGAGTGGAGGAATCTAGAGAGGCAGTCTGGCTACCATGGCTTTTCCACACTGTGGTGGGTTCCGCACCCAGTTCAAACTTCCGACTGGCTTTGTTTACACTGTGAGGGGAAAACTGCCCACTCAAGCCTCAATAATGGTGGATGCCCCTCCCCCCACCAAGCTGGAACATCCCAGGTTGACTTCAGACTGCTGTGCTGGCAGTGAGAATTTCAAGCCAGTGGATCTTAGCTTGTTGGGCTCCGTTGGGGGTGGGATCCACAGAGCAAGACCACTCAGCTCCCTGGCTTCAGCCCTCTTTCCAGGGGAGTGAATGGTTCTGTCTTGCTGGCATTCCAAGTACCACTCAGTTGGAAATGCAGAAATCACCCGTCTTCTTTCTGCATTGGTCTTGCTGGGAGCTGCAGACCAGAGCTGTTCCTATTCAGCCATCTTGCCCGGGAATCCCACATTTTCTTTATCTACTCATTAATTGATGGGCATTTGGGCTGGTTTTACATTTTTGCAGTTGGAAATTATGTTGCTATAAACATGTGTGTGCAAGTATCTTTTTCATATAATGACTTCTTTTCCTCTGGGTATATACCTAGTTGTAGGATTGCTGGTCAAATGGTAGTTCTACTTTTAGTTCTTTAAGGCATCTCCACACTGTTTTCCATAGTGGTTGTACTAGTTTACATTTCCACCAGCAGTGTAAAAGTGTTCCCTTTTCACCACATCCGTGCCAACAATATATTTAGAACAAGTATTTGGTCAACTAACACATCATTCTCTATACTGGGCAATAAGTAAATTTCACAGACCATCAGCACTGGGGAACACACTTTGCGAAGCCCTCATGGTGGACTATAGTTAAAGGAACATAGATCTACCTTTCAGCCCTTCCAGATCTGCAGTCACAGCCCTACACTTGTACTTTGCCAATCTTAATAAAGCTTAAAGCCTGGAGTACAAATGAGGCTGAGGACTACAACCAGGTACTTGTTACAGAAGAAACACAGAATACAGAATCCTTGCTTAGGATGAATCCCTGTAATTATATTCCTAGAAATATAAGAAATTGAAATTCATATTCAAAATATAATTGAAACATATAAATGATTACGTGAAATGACTTTATAAAGTAGCTATATAAGTGTTTAAACATACCTGTTACATATGACGAAAAACTGACTTTTTTACTTGCTTTATTATTACTTATAGGTTGTAAATTTAAAGATGTTAGAAGAAATGTCCAAAAAGATACAGGTAGGTATAATATCACGCAACCACACTCATGGGTTTTTTAAATGAATAGCATTGAAAAACTCTCTGTCAAAAAGAACAAATCAGTTTTTTTTTAATATAAAAATAAGTTTTCAATATTGTGTGAAGTTCCAAACTATAGACTTATTCTGATATGTAAAGAGGTATTTGTGAAGACCATCATTTACCTAACCATGGAGTTGCTTTTCACTGATTGTTGTAGTTATATTATACATATAAACTACATTTGAGGTTAGAATGTAGAAGTTGGCATGAAAAAAAGTATGTAAATAGGAAACTGACATATTGCTCCCCCCAGGTCTTTACTGTTCCTTGCAGACTTGACTGTGGTAGTAGAAATTAAACATGAGCTGGGAACTCCAAGTTAGCAGTGAAATTGTGAATCCTGGATGGAAAATTTTGAGAGCCAGCATCTAGATGGAAAAGACAGAATGGGAACTGGTTGTTGCCTGCTCAAGGATGTTCATACCATTATAGCCACAAGTCTAATAATCCTCATAATCTGCCCCAATTTGGAATTTACATATTGCATGATACTAACAAATGTGGATTTTCAAAAGATTTTATTCTGATTGGCCTGGAATGTCTCAAACCTACTAGTCCTACCGATATCCTTATAGTATGGCAAATTAAAATGTATATATTGCTTGATTCTAACTAGTATAGATTTTCTGAATCTTAAAAACTTTTCGTGGTTATTCTAGAACATCAGTTTGCTAATGTACTTTTAAAAATTTATTCCTGGTCAGGTGCAGTGGTTCACACCTGTAATCCCAGCATTTTGGTAGGCCGAGGCGGGTTGATCGCTTGAGCTCAGGAGTTCGAGACCAGCCTGGGCAACAAGGCAAAACCCTGTCTCTGCAAAAAATACAAAAATTAACTGGGCATGATGGCGCGTGCTTGTAGTCCCAGCAACTTGGGAGGCTGAGATGGGAGGATCACTTGAGCCCAGGAGGTCAAAGCTGCAGTGAGCTGAGATGGTGCTGAGATCACAAGGTCTTGCTCTGTCATCCAGGCTGGAGTGCAATGAGCTGAGATTGCATTACTGCACTCCAACCTGGTGGCAGAGCAAGACCCTGCCTCAAAAAAAAAAAAAAAGTATTCCTTACCTACCAAAAAAAGACTTAAAGACAGTAATAGATAGTTGACCCTTATAGTATTTATAAAACTTTTCTGCTTTAGACACACCCACCATGCTAGGAAATTTCTATTTGGAGAACATTTAGGTCATAAGCAAAATATATGTAATTTAAATCATTGGTTCAAAGTCAGTCTTGTACATTTTGGAATGTCATATTCATTTAGCATTTTCTATAAAAACAGTTTCCAATTTTTTTCAAAATACTTTTTTTTCTGCAATGAAATCTTAAATGGAATCCAGTACATAAAACAGGTCAATATGTTTGATTGGAGACCTAGAATCTCCCTGCAGCAGTTCCTGAGATACTTTCTTAGCCCTTTCTCAGAAAGTTGGAAAATCACTGGATAATAAAAATTACCAAATGTGTACAAAAGGCAAATAGATGTATAGTACTGTACATCTCAGGGATTAGTTCATGAGAAGGTACTTTGTACTTAAATAGCTACATGTCCTTGGATTTAAGGGACAGGGAGAGGGCTGGAGTTGGGAGCACTTAGATCATCCAGTTATTTATTTTAAACCAAATGCTCAATAGTTAATATTGCCATAAAGAAGTCCTAGTGTATAGAATGCCTATAGTATTCATATCATTATAATGAGAATAGCTAGGTCACAGAAGTTTAATACAGGTAATGTTTTATTTACTGGCGACCTAGTCTATAAAATTAAATACACAAGGATGTGTTACAGTGCAGATATGAGGGAGAATACTAGCACCTCTGACACCATGGCCATGCTGGAGATTTTATATACAATACTCAGAGTCAAGCAAACAGCTAAGTGATGAAGTAGCAGACATGGTTGATTTTGTGAGAAAAAGAAAAAAAGTGCTATCATCCTTAATTGAACATAGATCTATCATACCTTAATTGATAGCACTTTTTTTCTTTTTCTCACAAAATCAACCATATTTGCTACTCAATTTTAAGTGTTTTAAGAGTTATTTTATGCCAGGCATGGTGGCTCATGCCTGTAATCCCAGCACTTTGGGAGGCGGAGGCGGGCAGATCAACTGAGGTCGGGAGTTCAAGACCAGCCTGACAAACATGGTGAAACCCCGTCTCTACTAAAAATACAAAATTAGCTGGGCGTGGTGACACATGCTTGTAATCCCAGCTACTTGAGAGGCTGAGGCAGGAGAATCACTTGAACCTGGGAGGCAGAGGTTGCAGTGAGCTGAGATCGTGCCATTGCACTCCGGCCTGGTGACAGAGCAAGACTCCATCTCAAAAAAAAAAAAAAAAAAAAAGAGGGGGGGTTATTTTAAAGCAGTATTCATTGCAAAAAAAAATTTTTTGCAAGAACAGCAATTGACTTATTTTGAAATTCAGTAAAAGGCATTTTGACTTGTAATATGAGGTTTAATTCTAGACCCCTTTTGATTCAGACATATCAATAGGCACTTCAGATTTATAGATTGTCATTTGGTATTAGTTTGGCTTAAGAAATTTAATTTCATATTCTCCCTCTTGATGGTATTTAAATGTGTGATGTTTTCTATGTGTGTGTGTCTGTGTATCCTGGTCTATTGGCAGAAGAACTAAAGAGCTGTGGTATACAAGACATATTTGTTTTCTGCACCAGAGGGGAACTGTCAAAATATAGAGTCCCAAACCTTCTGGATCTCTACCAGCAATGTGGAATTATCACCCATCATCATCCAATCGCAGATGGAGGGACTCCTGACATAGCCAGCTGCTGTGAAATAATGGAAGAGCTTACAACCTGCCTTAAAAATTACCGAAAAACCTTAATACAGTACGTTCTTTTCTCCATACACTATGTGAGAAATGTCTCAGTCAAAATGATTTCTGGAATTATGGTAGCCCTATTCAGTTATCACCTACTTCATAGTTTGTTGTAAGGATTAAAAGGTAATAATGCACTAGGAAAGCACTGGCACAATGTCTGGTACAGGGTAAGTAGTCAAATACGTGCTGTTATTACTTTTCAAGAGTAGGGACAATAAATGAGTAGATTTGGAAATTGTTAGAACAAGGTTACAAGCTTTTCTTTTTTATTTCTTTCCTTTAGTCTTAGACCTTTAGTTGCAATTTTGGGACCCTCCTTTCCCCTCATCACCATCACTGCCTCACTTATTAGCTTTTCAATTGCTTAGTTGCTTTCAATAGCAAGAAAATCAATTTTTTGGCCAGGTGCAGTGGCTCGCGCCTGTAATCCCAGCATTTTGGGAGACTGTGGTGGGTGGCTCACTTGAGCTCAGGAGTTCAAGACCAGCCTGGGCAACATGGCAAAACCCCATCTCCGCAAAAAGTATACAAAAGAACATGCCAGGCATGGTGGTACGTGCCTGTAGTCCCAGCTACTCAGGAGGATGAGGTGGGGGAACTGCTTGAGCCTGGGAGACAGAGGTTGCAGTGAGCCAAGGTGACAGTACTGCACTCCAGCCTGGGTGACAGGGAGACCCCATCTAGAAAAAAAAAAATAAAGAAAGTCGATTTTTTCAAAATTAGCTACCAAAAAAGTTACCTCTAAGCAATAAGCAATCCTAAAAATATGACTTGAAAATTACATTTGATGATATGACTGCTAACAGATTGAAAGAGGGCCTCTCATTGTGTGTCAGTGGCTATAAAAACACAAGCTGCTGGTGTGAAAGTTTAAAACAAAAGAAGATGGGTTAAGGAAAGGGGACAAAATGAGGAGGAAAGAAAAGCAGCTTGGAGGAAGGCCAGAGAGAGTGGCAATGGGCAGTAGATAGTAGCATGGCAAAGATTCAAAGGGGCGATGTGGATAAAAAACAAGAGATGCTCTGCCGGAAGTGAAACACACAAAGCAACAGAGAGCCAGCCATGGGGAGGAAACTGGACTTTGCCGTGCATAATGTATATTTCATATTCTAATAACCTGCTTAATCCTTTCTCGAATAAGGTAGGGTATTAAATAGTTTACGACCTCAAAAGCCCCAAGTTCCTTAAGGACATTGCTTTGAGCTAGAAGTATAGAAATTATATCAAATAGCCATGGGGTTCTCAGGGCACCTAGTCATAGGACAAGCCCAGCCAACTTCTCCTCTTAAACCTATAGCCCAGGGGCCTCATGCCAACAGTGTCAGTTCTGAAGGCAAACCAACTAGTACGAGGGTCTTTGGGGACACACACCTGTTTGTGGCCAAACTGAACTCTGACATACAGAGAAATATAGTTTGCAGAATATGCAGTAGAGAACTAGAAGCCATTCTACATCCTATTGTTTCCCATCTTCCTCTATGGAAAAAGCATAGTCACTTAACCAGTACTAATTATAAAAGCTAAATTTCAAATAGATCCAGTTGATGATGTGAAAGTTTCTGATACATATAGGTAAAATAGTATTAGATAGTTAAATGTAGCTGGGGAAAAATATTTTCCAACATAGGGCCCTATTTTTCAAACCATTTTGAGATCTTTTTTTTTTTTTTCAAATAAATTTTTGAAAGCAGCCTCTACTGAAAAGTTTCCAGAAATCAAACTAGCTCTGTTTAGTGAAGTGAAGCTTAACAAATTCTACTGTAGCTGGTTCTGGCAACCCAAATGCTCTGATGTTTGTGCAGAGTACAAACAGGATAGACAGTAGATGGGTGACTTTGCATATGCTGAATGTTTCAGTCTCCCATAAAATAAAGCATCTGACAACTGGCATTTTTCATTGTCCTAGAGCTTTCGAAGGTGTCCTACGGTGACTAGTTTATTTTCTATCCATTCTGCCATCTTTGAGGACCCACACTTCTAGACAGCTATAGAGCTTATCCTTCAGCAACAGGATCTGGTAAACCTTTTTCACTGACCTGTTGTCTACCAGTGCTGTCTCACTGGTTCTGCCTGGACATTTGCAGCCCTTTATAAAATTAGTGAACAACACTGCTTGCCTACTGTATTTTGTAGTTTCTTGGGGCTATTGTAACAAAGTACCACAAACCAGGTAGCTGAAAACAACAGAAATTTCTTCTTTCCCATTTCTAGAGGATGTAAGTCCAAAATTAAGATGAGAGCAGAGCCATGCCCTCTGAGACTGAGGAGAGTCCTTCCATGCCTCTTCCTAGCTTCTGGTGGTGGCCATCAATCCATGGCAGGCCTTGGCTTGCAGCTGAATCCCTCCAGTCTGCCTCTGTCATCACACACTTCCTCGGATGTCTGTGTCTTTGCATGGTGTTGTCCTTGTGTAAGGACACTAGTCATCTAGGATGAGGGCCTGCTCTAATTCGTCTTAACTTGAATATACCTGCAAAGACTCAAATTCTGAATAAGGTCCCACTCACAGGTACAGGATAAGGACTTCAGCATGTCTTTTGGGGGGACATAATTCAACCAGTAACACCTACCGTGTACCACACGCCAAGACTACCAAACGAGGCACAGTCCCCACCTTCGAGGAACCTATAACTAACACTACCATTTAACTGCAATAAGACAGGAGAGGCAGCACACAGGAAAATGATCCTTTCTGTAGGAGCACAAAGGCATTTTAGGAAATGAAATTTGAGGTTTTAAAAGATAAGTAGGAATTCATCAAATAGAAGAAAAAAGATGAAAATAGCAAAAGGTATAAAATAGTATTAATCTTGCAAAAAGACACTGAAGTGTTCTATCTTGATCTTTTTTTTTTTTTTTAATAAGGCAGTTGTCTCTTCTCTGTCACCCAGGCTGGAGTGCAGTGGCACTGTCATAGCTCACTGTAGCCTTGAACTGCCGGGCTCAAGCGATCCTCCCACCTCAGGCTCCCGAGTAGCTAGGACTTCAGGTGTGCGCCACCGTGCCAGGCTTTTTTTTTTTTTTTTTTTTGGAGAGACAGGGTCTCACTTTATTGCCAAAGCTGGTCTTAAACTACTGGACTCAAGCAGTCCTCCCACCTTGGCCTCCCAAAGTGCTGGGATTATAGGCCTGAGCCATCATGCCCAGCCTCTCCCTTTATATGGTAGATCCAGATCTCTGAAACAGTTCTATGTCTGGAACACTTTGTGGAAAGCAAGTTCACGAGTAAGACTAGGGGTCAATACCTATTCAGTCCTCTATTTCACATCCTAAAGCAAAATATATATCTACAGCTTTACCTACAATACAATACAATACAATACAGTAATTGATGTCCATAACGATAAGTCATCCACACTAAATTAGGCTCAGTATACCCTCTAAGTACATTAGGAAGCATGTAATACATTTTTTAGGATCTTTGAAAATGACTTAAATGAATAGTTTTGCTACTGAGGATTAATCTCCATTTTTCTGGAAAATCCAGTTATACAAAACTGCTAATTTCTTTACAGTGCTAGATAACAGCAGCTAATGTTCATTTACTTCTTACTCTGCACAAAGCTGTGTTCTAAGTCCTTGGCAAATGCTCACTCATTTGTGAGCCTCATTTAATCCTCACTCTGATGTACATACTATTGCTATCACCATTTTAAAGGTGAAAAGGCTGAGTCCCAGAGAGATTAAATAACTTGCTTAGCTTTACACATCTAATAAGTGGCAGAGCCAGGACTGAAGCCCAGGCAGTGGTGCTCCAGAGCCCATGCTCCAGACTTCGGTGATACCCTATCTCTGGACTCCTTTAGATACATGAATGGTTATTATCTACATGGCATTTGTGCAGTAACCACTCAGATTTTGTTTAGACAGAGGAATAATCAAAGTGACAGTTGGTAAAAGTCTGATTTCTATCTATTGGTAACATGCTCCATTTCTCAGATGTGGATCTTGGAACCTAAAGAGGTCAATAAGAAGACTCTGCCTATCTTGATGCTTAGAGGTGTTCAGAATTCCTCCCAACAAAGAAATAAGCACACCTTGCTCTCAGTTGATTAAATCAAAAATATTTATTAATCTTCGTGTGCAAGGCACTGTGCTAGGCATTAGAGTTGTAAATAGAAGGCAGAAAGAGCAAGTCTTTAGTTGTAACTAGGGATGGAATGAAATGTACAAACTTCAAAACTGTATTTCCCTTTCAGCTGCTATGGAGGACTTGGGAGATCTTGTCTTGGTAAGAAATATATTTCTATTATTTTTTTAACCGCCAAATAGACAAACTTCTGTTTCCAGACCATATGTTCATTTTGTATTAAAATGGAACCAAGCAAAATATAAGTTTGCTAAGACTCAAAGGATTACTTAAGGCCCTAAACATGGTGTTCCCTGGAAAGCTTGGGTGGGAGTGGGAGGTATTTTCAGCATTGTTCTGGAGGATTCTGGCAAAACATCATTTACAAGTCTTAACACCTGCATTCTTATTTTTTAACATTTTTTGATGTTCTTCCTGTGGAGGTGTTATAATAGAGTAACTTCCAAATAGTTTCCATGGGTAACTATTTATGAATACCAAAGTTAATTACTATATGTTAATTTAAAAAATGTTTTAATGTACTAAGAAAAACAAAAAAGAGTTCGTGAAATGCCACACTGGAGTAGTAGTTATTTTTTTAGTGTTGGATGATATCAAAATTGAAAGCTTTTGTGTTTCAAAGAATACTATCAAAATGACAAGACTACCCATAGAATGGGAAAAAATATTTGCAATCTATATATTTGATAAGGGATTTGTATCCAGAATATAAAAAGAACTCTTACAACTCAGTAATAAAGATAGGCCGGGCGTCGTGGCTCATGCCTGTAATCTCAGCACTTTGGGAGGCCAAGGCAGAAAGATCACCTGAGTTTAGGAGTTTGAGAACAGCATGAGCAACATGGTGAAACCCCATCTCTACAAGAAATACAAAAATTAGCCAGGCATAGTGGTGCATGCCTGTAGTCCCAGCTCCTTGTGGGACTGAGGCTGGAGGACTGCCTGGGCCCAGGAGGTCAAGGCACCAGTGAACCGAGTTTACACCACTGCACTCCAGCCTAGATGACAAAGTGAGATCGTCTCTCTCAAAAGAAAAAATAATAATAATAAACAAACAACATAACTGAAAAATGGGCAAAGTATCCGAATAAACCTTTCTACATGCAAGATACACATATAGTCAGTAAGCACATGAGAAGATGCTCAACATCATCAGTCATCAGGAAATGCAAATCAGAACCACAGTGGATACCACTTGACACCAATTAGGAAGGGTATTATAAAAACATGAAAAATAACAAGTATTGGCAAGGATGTAGAGAAATTCGAACCCTCATACACTGTTGGTGGGAATGTAAAATGGTGCAGCGGCTTTGGAAAATAGTCTAGCAGTAGTTCTTCAAACAAGTAAACATTAACATATGACCCAGCAATTTCACTCCAAAGTATATACCCAAAGACTTGTATACAAATGTTTATAGCAGCATTAATCATAATAGCCAAAAAATGGAAACAGCCTAAATGTCCATCAGTTGACGAACAGATAAACACAATGTGGCATATCTATACAATGGAATATTATTTGATCATAAAAAGGAATTAAATACAGACATATGCTACAATATGTATGAACCCTGAACACATTATGCTAAGAGAAGTCAGACACACACAAAAAAATATTGTATGTTTCCGTTTATGTGATTGCTCAGAATAGGCAGATCTACAGAGACAAAGTACACTAGTGGTTGCCTATGGCAGGGGTTGATGGGGAATAGAGGATGACAGCAAAAGGGTACACTTCTTTCTGAGGTGATGAAGTGCTTTAAAATTGACTGTGGTGATGGTTGCACATATCTGTAAATATACTAAATCACTGAATGGATGAACACTTTAAATGGATGAAAGAATGAAGCCAGTGTTAAACTCTAATTCAACCATACGGTCATTTAAGATCATAATTTAACTGTCAAAAACACACACTAAAAGTCTCAGTCTTTTAATTCATTTGGAACAATTACACCAGTCTTCTGTATCAACAGAAGTCTTATTAAATA
This sequence comes from Homo sapiens, assembly GCF_000001405.40. Taxonomy (NCBI): domain Eukaryota; kingdom Metazoa; phylum Chordata; class Mammalia; order Primates; family Hominidae; genus Homo; species Homo sapiens. Next base: position 54,417,784 of record NC_000014.9, read on the forward strand.
TAAAATGCTGTACCCTGTCACTAGTTATTTAATAACATATTATTTTTCTGTCATGTTCCATTAGTAGCTGCTTGTCTCCTACTATACCTGTCTGACACAATATCACCAGAGCAAGCCATAGACAGCCTGCGAGACCTAAGAGGATCCGGGGCAATACAGACCATCAAGGTGAGGAGGTGGGCGGTGCTTGCTTGGTTGTGGTTGGGGTCGTTGTTACAAATACAGATTCATGTGTAACCAAAAGGTTACATATGAAAATCCAAAAGGGCAGTGAAATGAAAATCCAAAGCACTCTGTTATTCAAATACCACTTGCTTATGCTTTTAGTTTTTAAAAATTTACAAGTAAATATAATCCAGGTAGTCTAAAAAAGCACACAGGATTTCAAACAAGATAATGAAAATTTGAACTTCCTGGTTTACTTTTCCAGGATCTACCTACTTCTCAGTTTTTGCCCCAGTCCGTTTTGGGAATGGATCCTCTCACCTAGGACAATGAGATGGTTATTGTTAATACAAACTTGGTACGTTCTTGGGTAGATTCTTGGCCAAAAAAAATCTATGGAAGATCTTGTTATATCACCAAAACATTTAATAAAGACAGATGAATGACTATAATACAAAAAATGGAAAGCAGTGCTAATTATCCTTTGCAGTAGATAACTGGGGACATCTTCCACATGTACATTCCCCTAACACTTCAAAACACTGCACTAGCAATGCCAAGGATATTGCATTAATCATGTTACTGAAAAGATTCTGCAGATGTCACTTCATTTTGTAGATCTGTAAAGCTAATGTGCCTTCTTTTCAGAAGCGTGCCCTCTCAGCATTAGAATCCGCTCATCAGAGGAGTGGGCACCAAAGAATCCTGGCTGTTAGGCAGCTCCCTAGACTTGAGAGCCCATCTTCCCAGGGTTGGAGGTCTAATCCAGTGTCATTAACAGTGAATTATCATAATTACTGATAAATTCACCAAGCAACCTGATTCTTAGGGCTTAAATAAGGTCATTAACGGGACAATCCATACAAGATCCACTCCACTGTACAGGTCTGAAACAGACAACTCTCTTTATGTTAAAAATCAAACGATGCGGCCAGGCGCGGTGGCTCATGCCTATATCCTAGCACTTTGGGAGGCTGAGCTGGGTGGATCACTTAAGGCCAGGAGTTGGAGACCAGCCTGGCCAACATAACGAAACCTTGTCCCTACTAAAAATACAAAAATTAGCCAGGGTGGTTATGTGTGCCTGTAGTCCCAGCTACTTGGGAGCCTGAGGCACAAAAATCACTTGAACCTGGGAGGCAGAGGTTGCAGTGAACCGAGATCACACCACTGCACTCCAGCCTGGGCGACAAAGTGAGACCCTGTCTCAAAAAAAAAAAAAAATCAAATGATGCTTCAAATCCAAAAAGTTCACCTCTCTTCTCTTGAAAACAAACTACATGGCCATGGCCAGATGTATATATGAATATCCATATGTTTTACATCTTTAACATTGCAGATAATTAAGTCCATATTACTACAGACTCAGTTTATCACCTCAGCATTCTGTGGCAAACAGGCTTGCTGGTGTTAGCAATGCAGTTTCCACATCTCAATAAGGATATGAAATGAGATGATTGGCAGAGTAAGAATATCTTTTGGGAGGCTATTAAAACTCCAAATAAATTATTTAAAGCTTTTATTTTGCTTATCTGCTGAGATTAGCAATACAGTTTGTTTTTAAAAAATATTGTCTATGAAAATTATCCCTAGTGCATTATGTCATCACAAAAAAGCAGAAGACTAGGGCTTCTATAAATTGAGAAATGGATTTTGTTAAATATACCAGTTACTTGCTACAGAAAGTGCTCTGTCCTTCTTACCAGGGGGGAAAAATGTTAGCAAAAATAATGCCATTATGTACTGTTTTAATCTTATTTGGTCCTGTAAGTAAAGAGAGAAAGAATTTTAGACTTAAAACATATCCATCTACATTTCATTTCACCTTCTGATTTTTAGAGACTTGTAGAACAATAGTTTTTCACACTATATGGCTTTACTAAAAGATAAAACTTCCCCATGATGCAAATGCTTCCTTACCCAAAAAGATGTAGAATTGTGCTTAGCAAGTATTTTTTTTTATTCCTGATACCTGCTAATATTGTGCCCACACTGATAACTAGTTTTCTACAGTGTATTCCAATGTATCTTTACTTTTTTCAGCAATACAATTATCTTCATGAGTTTCGGGACAAATTAGCTGCACATCTATCATCAAGAGATTCACAATCAAGATCTGTATCAAGATAAAGGAATTCAAATAGCATATATATGACCATGTCTGAAATGTCAGTTCTCTAGCATAATTTGTATTGAAATGAAACCACCAGTGTTATCAACTTGAATGTAAATGTACATGTGCAGATATTCCTAAAGTTTTATTGACAAAACTCGTTGTGTCTCTTTCATTTCTTATAGGAATAGGAAAATTGGGATAGGAAAATTGGTATGCAATTTTCCTTTTAGAAATGAATTGGTTGTTCTGGTATATTCTACCTGGAGGTAATGCTGAAAACATGCATTTGGAAAAATATTTGAATGCCTATTTTTAATACTTAGTACTGCACTTTTACTTCATTTTACTGTTTGTAACCACTGGGTAGCATATGACAAAGTAGTAAGTATGAGAATTGGTATGAGTGCCCAAACTTACTTTTAAATGATGTCCCCCTCCCTCTCTATTCCTCCCAAAACTTCTTCCGCTTTTTACTTCATAGACCTCCGGAATTGAAAAGGATCCTGTGAGTCTTCCACTCGCCCCCTCCCAGTACTGGATCAGCCCCAAGGGTGTTTATTCACTATGGGCTGGAACATTTTCAGAGACAAGGAATTCACTGGTTCAGACAGCTGCTCCACCTTTTGTCCGCCCTAGGAACTACACGGAATGAGCTTAATCCTTTCACATTTATTTCATAAAGAATTTAGCTACAGATTAACAATTTCCAACTCTCTCACTCTTTCACTTCCCCCTATACTATGAAACCTATCTTTTTTCATCTTTAAATTCAACTTTGAGTTACCCAAAACAGTCATTTGGGCTGTAGACAAGGATCACACACAATGTGTCAAACAAACACACTTGTTTTAACAGTCAGTGGTTTCAGTAGGGCTTACAGTAGTCACATGGCTCTCTTGGCTACTGGTAATTACAAGTGTGAACCAATGGCAATTTGGCAATGACCACCAGGTTGCAGACTCATAGGCACTTCCACAAAAGACAAAGTTTCACTACATCAAAATTTCATTTTTAAATAATTATTCAATGACTGGCTGGGCGTCATGGCTCACGCCTGTAATCCCAGCACATTGGGAGACCAAGGTGAGCAAATCACTTTAGGTCAGGGGTTTGAGACCAGCCTGGCCAACATGACGAAACCCCATCTCTACTAAAAATACAAAAATTAGCCAGGCGTGGTGGTGCACGCCTGTAATCCCAGCTACTTGGGAGGCTGAAGTAGGAGAATCACTTGAACCCGGCGGGGCAGAGGTTGCAGTCAGCCGAACCCAGGGGACAGAGGTTGCAGTGAGCCGAGATCACACCACTGCACTCCAGCCTGGACGACAGAGAGACTCTGTCTCAAAAAAAAAAAAAATCATACAATGACTAAACATCTTATTTTGTCTCACACTACTCTTCTTGCTGCTGATTAACTGCTTGAATTTCATTACAAAATAATGCAAAACAATGACCAGCCTGTTTGGGAATTTCAGAGCACTAGTATGTATTGTAATATAAAATCAATATATTAATAGAGTCATCCCTTGTTATCCTCAGAGGATTGGTTACAGGACCCCCCACCCCACCCCCAACAGCAAAATAAATGGATGCTCAAGTCTCTGATATAAAATGGCATAGTATTTGTATACTTTAAATCATCTCTAGTTACTTATAATACCGAATACAATGTAAATGATGTGTAGTTATTATACTGTATTGGTTTTATTTGTAGTATTTATTTTTCAAATAGTTTTAATCTGAGGTTGAGTCAGCGGATTTAGAACCCATAGATACAGACGGCTGACTGTACTTTTATACATAACGCTGCTTCTAGAACTTAACATTTTATGAGGATACTAAGGAAGGTAGGAGGATCACATATCCCAGCAGTATCTAAATGGTTAACCTAGGGATTTCATTTTCTCATATAATTAATACCAAAAGTTATAGCAAGAAAAGTTTTTTTTTGTTGTTTTTTTTTTGAGATGGAGTCTCGCTCTGTCGCCCAGGCTGGAGTGCAGTGGCATGATCTCGGCTCACTGTAACCTCCGCCTCCTGGGTTCAAGCGATTCTCCTTCCTCTGTCTCCTGAGTACTGGGACTACAGGCGCGTACCACCATGCCTGGCTAATTTTTTGTATTTTTAGTAGAGGCAGGGTTTCACCGTGTTAGTCAGAATGGTCTCAATCTCCTGACGTCGTGATCTGCCCGCCTAGGCCTCCCAAAGTGCTGGGATTACAGGCGTGGGCACCCGTGCCCGGCCCAAGGAAGGCATGTTTTTTAAGTACACACTGTAATAACAGATTGGCCTTCTTCATGATTTTTGTATTATAACCATACACAATTTAAAAATCACAATTTCTATTAAACTTTAGACAGTCATTGATATTTACATTAGCCAATCTTTTACAGTCCCCAATCTACAATGGTTCAACTTGGGATTTCTCAACTTTACAATGCTATGAAAGAAATATGTATTCAGTAGAAACTATAGTTCAAGTATTCACACAACCATTCTGTTTTCACTTTCAGTACAGTACAATGTTTGAGATATTCAACACCTTATTATAAAATAGGCTTTGTGTTAGATTATTTTGCCCAACTGTAGGCTGATGTAAATGTTATGAGTACGTTTAAGGTTGGCTAAGCTATGATGCTTGGTAGGTTAGGTGCATTAAATGCATTTGCAACTTACATTTTCAACTTATGATGTCCGGAGATAATTCCATTGCAAGTTGAGAAGCATATATATTATCATTCTCTCAACATAAATACATAACTTATTCATGAATACTTAGAAAATTGAGAGAAAATATTGGCATGGATTAATCAAATACTTTAATAATCAACTGAATTTTGAAAGTACTTGCATCTCTCAATTCCCACGGCAAGTGCTATTTAAGCCTCTACATTTAAAAAGCTTCAGTAGGCCAGGCGCAGTGGCTCATGCCTGTAATCCCAGCACTTATGGGAGGCTAAGGCAGGCAAATCGCTTGATCTCAGGAGTTCGAGACCAGCCTAGGCAACATGATGAAACCCTGTCTCTACTAAAAATACAAAAATTAACCAGGTGTGGTGGTATGCATCTGTGGTCCCAGCTACTTGGGAGGCTAAGGTTGGAGGATCACTTGAGCCCAGGGAGGTAGAGGCTACAGTGAGCCATGATAACACCAATGCACTCCAGCCTGGAAGACAGTGAGACCCTGTCTCAAAAAAAAATTTAAAAATTTTTTAAAATGCTCGACTAAACCACTTTAATATTAAGTATACGGGAAAACATCAACTATTCTATAACAAAGAAACATGAGATGTCAGTTACTAAAATATAATTGTCCAGTTAAAGATTCCAGCATTCCAGGGAAAAGTATTTTCTCTACCTAACCTGTGTGATATTCCCCAAAACAATGAGGAAAGAGGGCGGAGAGAGAATCAGAGTCCTGGTCATTCACAAACTAGTGGCATTTGAAATTGAATTAACACACAGACTCAACCATTATGCATAAACTACACAAGGAAACATTTAAGACAGCTTTTATTAAATACAAAAGCAAAATAAGCTCTAAGGAGTAAGGTAGGGCTACTTAAGGGCGTTTTCTGTGGACAGCGGACACAGCACCATTAAGGTTAGCTTAGATTTGAACAAACCATGAGCAGACAGCTAACTACATGTTATGTTTCTCTTAGTAGTTTTAGGGTCTGCCCAGTAATCAAGAAATTTTACTTCTCCAGAATACATGAACATGGGAACCAAAGAAATGTAAATATTTCGAAAAAGCACTACACAATAAAATGAGACGCAATCCTTATGCAGGTCAAGATGTTCTCCACATCTACAATGTGCATTAACAAAATTAATGCAGATAAGACCTTCACTCCAACCCCAAAGATCTTACATGGTTAATACTATTTTCCAAAATCAGCAGAACAAGCTGCAGTTACTTCTTTTAGACATTTAGCTTTGGAACTTTGAATTTCAAAGTAAAATTGTTATAAGAAAGCTAGTCAATATATTTAGCAATAGAACCACTCTTTTACTTTTGATATCATTCTGAGGTATTAATTCAGAACCATCTTCCAAGCTATACTGGTAGCACCACAGACTTACTAGCTGCTGGTCATACTGCACATCAATGATTGGTTTGAGCAAAGGAGCTTAAAATGATCTAAGGCTAGCATGATTAATAGTTTCCAAAAAGGATGAACATGAGTACTTTTATGAGCAATGCTAGATAAGGTATCCATGTTTTTCTTTCCCCTGAAGAATGTTGTTTTAGAATATTTTTGCCATCAAAATTTCTGATTTACAATCATGATATACAACTGAGAGATGTACATTTATGGATGTTAAATGACATAAATAAGTAAACTAGACACATACTTTTAAATATAGACCATTATTTGAGTGGGCTTGATACACTGCTAGGATATAACCACACCTAAGGTGAAAGCTCACCCCTACAGGGTATAAGTGATACACGGAAGTCATTATTTGCACTATGGCAATATTCCACGAACTCTATTCATAAACATAGAAGGAGAAGAGAGGTGTTGTACAAAGGATTTTGCTGGTTTCAAAGCACATACAACTTTATTTCCTTTCTATGTAAATATTTGACATAGCTTCAAAATATATTGATTTGGGGAGCAGAGAAGAGCTCTATGAGAACTGTTTGCAGGAGTGGTCGTCAAGGTGAAAACACTGAACTGGCTTTAAAAGAGACACATACTGCAAACTGCTGTGTACTTTGTTGCCATGTGAGAGACCATTATCTGGGTACATGAATTTGACTGGTAGGTCTGTCAGTTCATGGTACAATCAGTGAGGCTAGGAAACTATTACTTATACTCGATCCATACTCAAGTCAAAAGTGGATGGTCTTGGTCATTTCCTATCACTTCCCTTTCCCATGAAAAATAATTCAAACTTCAAACAAATTAGCAGTTTGTCCATAGCCTGGGACCAAACCCTCCTCTACCCTGGAATGAGGAGTGAGGAATATCATTAAGCATTGAGAAAACTGTCAAACATCATTAATAACATTTGGATATGAGTGTTCAAATAATTTCTACACCATACCTCCTTAGTATTAAAGGGCCATACTGCCACAATATAGTATTATTACTCAGTAAAGTAACGGCTAAACAGACATTTATTATGTTAGGGTTTTAATTCAGGACAATCTGTGGTATCCATAGCAACAAAAAGTTGTTGGTATAGATATAACCACAGTGTTACACAAGATGCAATAAAATAGACACAAACAGGGAAAACAATTTCCTAGAGCTAGAAAGCTTTTAAAGATAAAGCACATAATACCAAAAGTAACTGTAATAAGGAGAAAAAAAAAAAGAGTACCTAAATGAACAGCTGTTGCTGCACAGGGAATGTTTAACGTAAACTGAATTATAAACCCAGGCTAACCATGCCTCAGCTGAACCCACAGGAATAATAGGCTAGGGCCACCCCAAAGAGATTGATGTGGAAAATAAATCCAGAGCAATGAAAAGAGCCAGTCGGATATTGTCAGATTCAAGTATTTCGTTTCTGCTTTCTCTTGGTAAGTGATCTAATTCATAAAACACTGACATGGTAAAAGTGGGTAGATATTAGGAGAGCAGGTACTCAATCTTTTAATCACTTACATGCCTAGGAACTCACAAACTACCACAAAGATGGGTGAAACTCCCTGTCAATCATCTTTGAGGAATCAGCTGAAGACTACATATCTTATTTGGGAAACATGAGAAAATGGCTTCCACAAATCCCAACCAGTAAACTTACTCCTGGAGAATATTCTGGAATAGATTATTAAAAGGATGTTTGTTAACACTTATGAAGTAGTGTTTGCTAAGAGAGGCAGGGTTCACGAAAATATTTTGACAGGAATACTCAAGTAACAGCCCCAGGAAACCCATCTGGATTATAGAAGACTTGGCCAGGTCTTGCATGATCAAAAGTCCTTGTGAACAAGAAAGAAAACTAAGTGCATGCTGATGTAATCAGGTGGACTGGAAACTGAATGACTGCCTGTGCTCAAAGCATGAATCTTGAGAGCCCAGCAAGTACTCAATAAATAATTTGTTACATGAACTGACCAAGAGTCAGATCCCTCTAGTTCTCCAGACTGTGAAATACAAGGTCTTTAAAGCTTTCCTTGTTATGGAACAGTTTGAGTCTCTTCACTCTTCTGGTTCTAAATCTCTTCCTCAACATACTCACCCCCATTACCCAGAATAGTTAACAGCTACTCTCTCCCAACCATGGGAAAGCACTGAAATAAAGCACTTTTCACTTAGTAGAGAATAAAACAGCATCTAATCCAACAAGTTCATAGAGTAAGATTTCCACAAACGCATCCATAAACTTCCTTGATCATGTGAAATTTCTATATATTGGTTCTCTTTCTTTTGATCCTCTTCTCAAGAAACTTCCAAACCACTTATTTTATTTTCAACTGCCTTAACTTCCTCATCCCAAATAAAGCACAAGATTTATTTATGCTTATGAAAACATGCAAGCCATAATTTACCTGCCTTACAAGCAGCAGCAAAAACTCAAATTTACAAGCCATTTTACCTTAAAACTGACTGTTCCAAAAAGGAAAAATCAAAGTAAAATATTTTAAGTGCCACCATAATTTTTCTTAATTGGTAAGAGAAATGATGATGCTATGCCATCCACGTTTATGAATCTTGTCAAATGACAAAAGAGGTTAATGTGCTCGGCATTTAAAAATTTTCCTTTTTAGATCTAGGCATGGTATTTTTCAGAAAACCCATAATGTAGTACGTCACTTTTTAAAAATGACAGCAACATGTCTTTATCATGGATTAAGCAAGTTTAAGAAATACTATTTTTAATCTCAAACAATGCACTGAAAGTGAGTCTTAATTTCAGAGTTTTATTGTATTGCACTAAAGGAACAGCAGGATGGTTATACAATTTTCTCTCATTCAGTTTTGAAAATCTGTAGTACCTGCAAATTCTTAAGAATACCTTTACCACCAGATTAGAACAGTAAGCATAATAACCAATTTCTTAATAAGTAATGTCTTACAAATAAAAACACATTTAAAATAGCTTTAAATGCATTCTTCACAAGTAATTCAGCATATATTTTTATATCATGTTTACTTATGCTTAAGAATTAAAGCAAGTATATTTATTACTCTGATGGAAATATGGGAAATCTCTCATTCATGCAATATACAGGGATAATATTCAAGCGAAGGGAAAATTCCCGCTTTTTATTTTTGTAAATGTATCCATATATAATCATCGACATGACAGATGAGGAAACCCATGAAGTTTCCCACTAGTCAGATATACATTTTCACTTCATCAGAAGCACCTGATATCTACAGCTAATTTATAATTAGATACTGTTTCAATGAAACCAAAATGAGCCCTACAAGTTCCTATAAACAAAAGCTTCCAATGTACTAGGACAGTCAGTAATTAATGCATCATTCAGAGGATTATGGCTGTTCCTTAAGAAGTGCAAGTTCAAACCTGTCAACACCAGAGGTAATCATTTTATATTAATTTATACGTAATACCATTTAAAATCTTTATCTGAGTATAACATATGAAAACAGTCTTTCCACAAGCAAAAATGTGGAAACATTTAAAAAATAAGGAGTCATTTTTTAAAGTAACTGATCAGATTCCACAGGCTACTCTTGGACAGGATCTTGCTGGATAGAATCCCTTCATTTGGTGGCTTTTTGCATGCACTTAACTGGACCAATTCTTCTGTGTGTTGTTCTAAGAGCTCACCAAAACATAGATCATGCTGAAAAGAAGAAAAAAGATGTTAATTTGAACATTACTAATTATTAAAAAAAAACTCAGAGCATGAGAGAGTATGCTTTATATAGCAAACTAGTATCACAGAAAATGACAAGACTAATGACAAGTTCACAGTGATTTTAATTTGCATTTATGGACTTTTGCCTAACATATGACTTGGCTCAGTGCATATGCTGTAGTTGTCCCCTATTCCCTTCCAATTTTAGCAAGTAGAACGGCACAGCTGAAAGCTTAATGGCGGATCAGAGCTTAGAGAAGCCATCCAAACATCACACACTCTGGAGTTGTGTCTAATAATAGAATGAGTATCTCTGGAGGGCTCACTTCACGCCAGGCCCTGTTAGGTCTCTTATATACATTACCTTGCTTAATCCTTCAAGGAGTCCTAGAAGGCAGGTACCATGTGTATCCCCATTGTATAGAAAGGAATGATCAATCAAGGATCTTTCCCATTACAGAAAGGATCTAAGCAATAGCAACTTTTAGGAAGTGGTTAAAAAAGAAAAGGGGGGAAAACAGCAAAATAAAAGGCAATGACCTTTTGATTTAGGTTTAAGAACTGCCAAGGGCAATTCTACAGAGTGCTATGGGAACGGCATAGGGGCATGATTCAAAAAGCACATAACTCTAAACAGAAATACAAAGGAGTTGAACAAGCTTGATAGACAACCTTAAAACACAACAAATGTCCTGGTGCTACCATATCCTGCTGAACATTTTCCCACAACTGCACATCTCCAACTTTATCATTTATTCAATCATTCATTTCATTTCTTTCATTCAACAAATACGTATGAAGTGCCTATCATACACCAGCCCGTTCCAGACATTTGCTATGGAAACTTATGAAATGAAAATTAACAGGAAATTAAAGTGACACATAGAATTTCACTTTTCAGAGCACTTCTTTGTTTCATAGATGAGTAATATCTGCATATGCACTAAAGGATACTCATTTTCACAGTAATAGCCTCTAAAGGCATAAAAATACCAAAAATACCTTTTTCCTAAATTTCAGTCTAACCATTCATCTTTTCTATGATGGAAACTTATGTATGAAGAGAAATATGAATATGAATATAAGCCTATCTTAGCAAGTTTTCAAGTAATGAAAAAGAGAAGGGAAGCTTATGCTGTTTTTTAAAGCTTACAGCTTTTTTGGAAATATTCTGAAAATCAAGGAGAAAGTCCTCTCTAGTTGAGTATGTATTAATAAAAAATGAGAAAGTATTTTATATAAGTGATGTGTAAAAGTATATTCACATAGCTTAAAGAAATATATAATTCTACATTTAACAGTGTCCTTTTCTAGTTTTAATAAGCAGTCATTTCACTGCACCTACAACACACCTACAGCAGTGGTTCTCACCCAGGGCAATTTTGCCCCTCAGGACATCTGGCAATGTCCAGAGACATTTTTGGTTGTCATGAGGGGGCAGGAGGGTGCTCATGGCAACTAGTGGGTAAAGGCCAGGGATGCTGCTGAACGTCCCATGATATACAGGACAGCTTCCCACAGAAATTCCCACACAGCCCAGAAGCGTCAACAGTGCCGAAGCTGAGACACCCTGACCTAGAGGAACAATGAGTCCATGAGAGTATAAAAGGAAAAAAATCAGGCTGGGCGCGATGGCTCACGCCTGTAATCCCAGTACTTTGGGAGGCCAAGGTGGGCGGATCACCTGAGGTCGGGAGTTCAAGACCAACCTGGCCAACATGGTGAAACTCTGTCTCTACTAAAAATACAAAAATTAGCCGGGCGTGGTGGTGCACGCCTGTAATCCCAGCTACTCAGGAGGCTGAGGCAGGAGAATTGCTTGAACTTGGTGGGGCGGAGGTTGCAGTGAGCAGAGATCGCGCCACTGCACTCTAGCCTGGGCAACAGAGACTCCGACTCAAAAAAAAAGAACAAAAATCGGAAACTGCACCACCCTGTAAGGTAGAACTACTTCTTTCATTCATACCACTCAAATCAAGCAAATCAGAAAATAAAGGGCAGAGCACACCACTTATGAAGAATGATAAGGAAAAAATGAAACATAATGTCTGGAGAGACCCTGAAGACAAGCAGAAATTTCTGCAAACTCACACATCCCTATCCTTCAATGACATCACTTTGCCATGGAGAATGAGGACCATCCTTTACTGACTGAATGTGTCTGAAAACTTATGAAGCAGCATCCCTGACCAAACCTTCTGCCTCTGATGGCAGGCTGGTTTACTGCCTTGACAAGCACCAGTGTGGGCCACACTGAATGTGTGCGAATTTGCTGGTGTGCACCATGCACACTTAAGACACTAAGTTATTCTTCAAATGGATTTTGAGGTGTGAAAACCATAATGCCTGCAAACTTTTAAAGCAGCAAAGTGAAAGCATATTTCATTTTACCTTTTCAACTTACCCATATAGGTAGTAAAAAAATGCTAGAAGATAAAAAGCTAATTTGCACCATCCTTCCTTCTGACAATATGCTAGAATATCTGCATTCATGATGGTTGTAGGGTCATAGAGTCCTGGGCCACTCATCACTGGTCTACTCATATACCTGGAATAAACACAGTCTATTAGGCATTCAGAAAGGGCAGTAAATGTTCAGATAAGAAAGCAGGTCTTTCTTCTAAAACATCTGTTACGAGAGGTGGTCCATAAAGGGAAGCATTCTTTTACTTATGGGTAAAATGCTTTCCTTTTACCATCTTAATTTTAAAAGTAGAGCCCCTAAATGAGCAGAATGAGATAGCTAAACAAGTTTCTTCTAGTCTCTGCCTTTTCAGAAATCCATGAAAAATAGGAAGAACTGTAAAAAGAAAATAGGTGTTTTGTTTTTACTTATCTTGGCATAATTTTAGACTTACAGAAAAGATACAAGAACCTTTCACCCAGATATTCCAAATGTCCATTTTTACTATATTTGCTTTCTCCTTCTCTTTCTCATTCTGAGTACTGGTTTTTTTTGGTTTTTTGTTTTGTTTTTTTGTTGTTGTTGTTTTGAGACAGGGTCTTACCCTGTAACCCAGGCTGCAATATAGTGGTGCAATCTTGGCTCACCACAATCTCAGATTCCTGGGCTCAAGCAATCCTTCTGCCTCAGCCTCCCAAGTAGCGGGGACTACAGGCACACGCCACCATGCTTAGCTAATTTTTTTTGTAGAGGGGGGTTTTGCCACGTTGCCCAGTCTGTTCTCCAACTCCTGGGCTCAAGTGATCCACCTGCCTCAGCCTCTCAAAGTGCTGGGATTACAGACATGAGCCACTGTACCTGGCCCTGAGTAAATTTTTTTTTTTTTGAGACAGAGTCTTGCTCTGTTGCCCAGGCTGGAGTGCAGTGACACGATCTTGGCTAACTGCAAACTCTGCCTCCCAGCCTGAAGCAATTCTCTGCCTCAGCTTCCCAAGTAGCTGAGTTTATAGGCGCCCGCCACCACTACTGGTTAATTTTTGTATTTTTAGTTGAGACAGGGTTTCACCATCTTGGCCAGGCTGGTCTTGAACTCCTGACCTTGTGATCCACCCACTTCGGCCTCCCAAAGTGCTGGGATTACAGGCGTGAGCCACTGCGCCCGGCCAAGTACATTTTTTTCTGAATCATTTCAAAGTCCATTGTAGACCTGATAACACTTTACTTCTAAATACTTCTTCAGTATATGTCTCCTAAAATCAAGGGCAATAAGGTTTTGACATGCCTATTTAAAACAAAAACTTCTAACTCTATATACGGCAGATATTACTATGGAAGTTATAAAATATTATCTTTTACAAATAACCAAAATTAGTCATAAACACAGAAAGAAATTAGACACATACTGTACATTTTGACTTACCTGAAGTTCAAGGACAAGCAAAGCTAATCTAAGTTGATAGAGGTCAGTGGTCTTGGGAGGTGTGGAGGGTAACTGACTTAAGATGGGGCATAAGTGAATGCTCTGGAGGCTACAACTGTTGTGTATCTTGATCTGGGTGGTAGTTTAACAGGTGTATACGTATGTAAAAATTCATTGAGCTATATACTTCAGACTTGTGCACAACACTAAGTTATACTTCACTTTTTAAAAAAATTCCTTTAAAAATAAAGTAAGCTCTATATGAGGTATTGAAATAGTTTTTGTTCACCCACTTGATTTTTAAAAAAATAAATGCCAACTGATCTTCCATTTTTATGTAGGTGACTAGCATGTAAGATAACCATATCAACCACAGTATATTTAAGTTTTAATTTAAAAAAATATTAAAAGTGTATCTAAATATTACCTCCAAATATGATATGCCAAGAGGGGCATATTGAGACCCAGTGTAAGCCACTCTGCTGCACAAAGAAACATGACACAGAAGAAAGCGTGGATGAGGTACTCTGGGAGTACAAGCTGGAAGGAAAACACAAGCCAGTTATCAAAATGCCTCAGCATTAAGTCAACTACTAATCTGGAAAGCAGGTGGCAACCAAGTTTCCATAATGAAAAATCACTGTTTTCTTAGACTCAGAAATAAAAGATGCTACTGAGTTTTATTTCCATGTTTAACTTTTTACCAAAAGTAGGATTACAGGCAAACTGACCAGAGCATATAGCTTGCACTAACATAGTAAGATACATGACTTAAAATTCAAAGCTCAAATCCTTAGAGAAACAGATCAAATTATATAAAGTTACCACCCAGATTGTTAAACAATATGCTAGTCAACTAGAATACTTTTTCTTTTCACCATTCAACAATGATAGAAGTACAAAAATGAGATATCTGATCACATGCAACATATTAAAAATTCCACAGAAACAAAACTCCCCTTTGGAATTTTACATATCAGTGTTTTTAAGCCTTTAACAAAAACCAGAAATGCTACATACACAATATTTAGCAAACCACATTGCATTCCCACAGAAGTAATTTTTTAATGGAAAGCCAATCAGCCAATAATCTCAGCACAGTGAGGGGAAGAACACTAATATGCGCAAATGTAAAAGATTCGCTTTCTGCAATGTAGGAGGGAAAAGACTGAGTTCTTAACCATGAAATTAAGATTTTCCAGGTTCCCAAGTTCTCATTCTTAGGTGGCCTTTCCGTTTCTTTACCCCTGCTTGCCAACAAAATGCTACAGACACAACAGAAGACCAGTAGAAGCTCAGAACCCAAAAACAAAATAAACCTTTTGGTACTAGGTAATATTAAGTGAAGAAAAATTAATTCGAGCAAAATGCTTTTTATAAAATGACCAGGAGTTAATGCTTTATGTTAAATTATCTTTCTCATCCTAAAGATTTCAGCCTGAGGACTTTGTTAAATAAAAATACCAAAACCTCTCATTGCAAGTTTCAGCCGAAGTATCTCCTGTAAGTCACAGCTACAAAGCCAGTTTCTCAAATGTTTACTTCATACCAAATGGAAATCATATGAATACTTATCATCATCAGATCACTCCTGAGGGGAAACCATGGCTGTAGATATTGTAATCACACTACATACTCAGACCCATTTTCTCATACTCCCAAATTACTCTTTCCAATTTAAAGCTGTAGAGGGGACTTTCTAATGAATACTATTTTTAAAAAAAATCCAGGTAAACAACTCATCTACACCACTAACCAAATATTTTCTACAAACTTAAGCAATACAATAACAAAGGATAAACTCGGCATATGTACCTAAACTTCTAAATAACATTTAAGCCAGCATCTATTTAAGATCAAAGTTCTCTAAACAAGAAAAGGGCCATAGGACTCTGAAACTCAAGGACTATAACCAGAACAAACCAAGAAAAATATACATTTTATTAAGAATTCCACTAGAGTTGCTTTTATAATACTTGTTTAAATTACAGACGTTGTCTTTAAAATATAAGCCTATTTCAGCCCTAAAAAGCCATCTGATACCTAACAAACAAATCCTCATGCAAGGTTTTATCCTACACTTACAGAATGAAGTATGGAAAGAATGATTTTGAAAGCATGAACCCCTCCCGCTCTTAATATTACTTTAATAAAAGTGTTAATAAAGATAATCTACAACTCTACCAGTTCTAATATGAAACAATGCCATTCCCTCCCTTCTCCTCAAAAGGAGTCCAGAAACATTTACTACCCATCTCTCTTAAAAACCAACCCTCTCCGAGCATTCTTTAATGACAAAATTTCCCCATAAGAGACACAAAAATTATTCAATTTAGGAACCAAGGTTCAAACAGAAACTAGTATCCAGAAAAAAAACCTCAAGCAAATATGGCTGAAATGATAACATTTAAACATGCAAAATATAATATTCTCTTGTTAAAGTTCACAATTTAAAAAATAGTGATATTTGTCTTCCCCCATACTTTGGCAGAACTGTCAAAACAAATTTAAATAGGGAAAACTGTCAGATGCACTGCTATTCAGCCAATTATTGGCACCCTATCCAAAAGGCAACCTGTGCTGCTATAAAAACGTCCTTCAACCTCCTGCAGCATTAGGATGTCCCAAGCACATGTCTCTTCTCAGTGAGAATTTCTTTCCGTTAAGAAAAGCCAGGAATCGCACATTACCTGTTAAAATGAAACCTGTCCCTCCTAAATTTACAATACATTAGGAAAATACAAGAACTTGAGCTTCAAAAATTAGGCTGTCTTGAGTTCAAGTTCTGACTCTATCTTAGCTGTATAACATTCGGCAAAGTGCTTTAACCTGGCAAAGCTTCAGTTTACTCTCCTATTCATGAGATAACAATTTACCTACCTCAGGATTGTCATGAGAATTAAATTTAAAAATTCAGGCAAAGTGCTTACCACAGAGCCTAGCACCCAGGAAAATCCTCATCTGATTTCAAATATTTTTACCTTCATCATCATTTGGTTATTGAAGTAATGAAAAGACAAACAGCACAGAATACTATTAATAAACAGCTATCAAAAGGGGAAATTTCAGTTTCTTCATTTCCTGGTAACAACTTCAACTACTTAGGTTAAGATGTTTTAAAATTAACACTTAATGCTTTCCAAGAGAAGGCAAATTCATCTTCTTATGTCTTGTTTCATAAGAGCAAAGAAACAGCTAATAAGTTAATACTTTTAATTGTACCTACATCAACTCTTACTGTAACAGTTCTCTAAAGACAAACTAGAAATCTCTTCCACCATCCACATTTATCTGGGAAACAATAATAAAGTACCAAACTAACTTTCTAGATGCTTTTCCAAATAAAATCCCTCTAGCACCTAGTGCTAGTACACTAGTATGCTAGACAATTAAAATCTACACAAACTCTCCCCTTCGTTAAGTAATTTTTAAAGCTGAATTACTGTATTTTATTTCTTGAAGACATACCCACTGCTTTCTTATAAACAACCAACCTTTCAATTACTGACCAGTCAGGCAAAATCAAATACACAGGCTAAAAGAGTATCTTCCTAAATGCAGGCAAAAATACAAAAAAACAAACTGGGTACCCTGGTGTGTGCCTGTAATCCCAGCTACCCAGGAGATTGAGGCAGGACGATCACTTGACCCAGGAGTTTGATAAGAGCCTGGGCAATATAGAGACACCCCCATCTCAAAAGAAAATTTAAAAATACATACATATATATTTTTTCAAAAACCCTAAGCACAATGGAGCTACATTATCACTAAATTCATGATGGCTCAGAACTCAGTGTAATTCAGGCCTGTTTTAGAAACAGAAAGTAGATACACACTAGAAATAACCACATAGACATTTGTATACAAATTGTTATCTACAAAATTATGGCACCCTAAGTCCAAAGAATGGCATTGCTGCGAGATCCCAGAGCCCCCAGAACAGAGCTATCCACCTAACAGGCTCTGAATAAACATCAGCTGAAAGAATGACTCATTTATTCCAGAATATGCAAACCAAAGATAAAACTAGATATGGCAGATAAGTCCATACTAAAGATTTCACTCACATACTACCTCACAATAAGTCACAACCCGAGAATCATCTCACCATCTATTAGTCATTTTATGTTAACCAACTTTCAAGTACTACACCAAATAATTTCACATAGAAGTGCCTATGGCTATAACATAAAAAAACGCATACGCATTTAACAGCTTTCCCTACTTGACTGGGCCAGCAAGCATATATTTGCATAAAATATGAAATTTCATGAAATCATAAACCTCAACAGGCATATGAACGAGCACACTGAACAAAACGTTACAAATACAAATGCCCTAACCCTCCCCATGAAATGAATATAGCATTAAAACATTTAACTAAAAAGCAGTACACACCTTTAATGCAATTTTGACTCTTTTAATCTTTTTGACCTTTTCAACTGTCTTTGGCCGACAATGTAAAAAGCAGATTGGAAGAATGTTAGTATGACAGCTGACAAGATCACCAGCAGATTAATAATAGAATAGTCAAGCACGACAGGAAAAAGAAGATTTTTTAAATTCTGCCTACTTCAAAAAGTACAAATATATTATGCTACTCAGAATACTGGCCATTTTCAAATTACTTCAAGTTAAAAACAAACATATTTTTAAAATCTAAAGATAAATCCTATATTATAACTTACGGGATTCAGGGTATTACACTGGTCTATAGGATTCTTGTAATCAGTCTTCAGCTCATCAAATGCTATAATCTAAAATAAAATTAAAACAGTTAGGACCACTCACTTTAATTAAAAGCAGCAACAAACCTGCCCCATCTTCAAATAATTATTAAAGTTAATAAAACAAGAACAAAAGTACACCAAGATCCCAAATACCAATTTACAGTAAACTCATATATGACAAAAAGAACCAGAATGCGATTTAAAGTGAAAACACTCTTATCTCAGTATCACTAAAATTTGGTATTACTGTAATAAATACCTTCAATTTTCAATTTCGTCAATGCCTCTGCTCAAGTTATTTCAACTTATCTCTACTCGAAATAATCTTCTGAGTAGAAAAATAATTTCAACTGTTTATCCAAATTCCTCTTTATCCTAAAAAAAAAACAAACCTTCCTAGGTCAACTTCTTTCTGCAGGCTTTCCTAACTCCTTTGGGCAGAAGTAATTGCCCACATCTCCACACAGCATGGGACTCTATAATGCCATCGATATGGCTTTTCTCACCCTGGAGTGTGGTATTTACACACAGGTCTGTCTGCCCCTCTACACTCTCAGGGAGAAGGACCATTTTTATTTATCTGTGCATGCTCCTCCTCCCTTGGCACAGTGCTCAGTGGGACACTAGAGATGGATTCGAACTCTTCAATGTGTTCCCATTGGTGCCCAAACACATACATTTGTAAGGATGCTTTTGTCCACACTCTGGAGGAATGTGGCTTCAACCTCAAGGGTCACTAGAATGTACATTAAGAGTCAAAATAGGGACTCTGCACCACTTTGTGGCATCATTTCAGGTGACAAAGAAAGAAAACAAAGGCAGCAAGTTGATGGGGGAGCCATTTTAGTTGCTAACACTACTCACCCCAGGGACACACAAACTAAGCTACCCTTCCCTTAATGAGTTAGGAATAGTATCTTTATATGTGAAAGTGTTGCTCAATATTATCAGTAATCAGTAAAGTTACATATTTCCATCTTTTAACATGACTGTTTATTTCCCTGTTAAAATTTAGATTCATAAAAAGACGGTTTTTTTAATTTCTAGAGTTCCATAAAATTCACCCACCTGCCCTAATAAAAACTCCAACCAAACAACAATAGAAGGAAAATAATAAAACATTAGAATGTAATCTCTGAAAGAACAAAGATTGTTGTATTTACTATTATGTCCCAGGGCCTAAAATATAAAATAGTGCCTGGCACATAGTTAAGTGTTCAATAAATATTAACTGGAAGGAGGGGGTGAAAAAAATAGCACTAGGGATTAAAAAAAAAAAATGCAGAACTCACCAGGGGGATTTCCCTTGGCTAATGACACCTAACACAAATGTTAAAAACATACATGTGTAATTAGAAAATACTAATTTCTGATTACTTATGGACGTTATTAGTCTGCTACTTGACGTCAGCCGTGGTATATAACCCCAATGCATTTTAGTAATAAAGCTCAAGACAAGGATGATAATCATAAGTACTTGTCTATAACAAGATCCAACTTAACAGAATACAAAACTTGTCTTTAAAACTGACATTTAATTGGACATTTTCTCCAGGTGACTTCAAGGGTTTTTTTTTTTTTTTTCTTGAGACAGGGTCTTACTCTGTCACCCAGGCTGGAGTGCAGTGGCACAATCTCGGCTCACTGCAACCTCCACCTCCTCGGCTCAAATGATTCTCCTGCCTCAGCCTCCGGAGTAGCTGGGACTACAGGTGCATGCCACCATGCCTGGCTAATTTTTGTAGTTTTTGTAGAGATGGGATTTTACCATGTTGCCCAGGCTGGTCTCAAACTCCTGAGCTCAGGTGATCCACCTGCCTTGGCCTCCCAAAGTGCTGGGATTACAGGAATGAGCCACTGTGCCTGGTCACAGGGATTTTTTAACTATGTTGTTGAATGGGTTTCTCTTTGAGTGCTATAGGCTAGGGTTTTCGAACCTCTTCTGAGAATATTCTTAATGATTTTCAAATCTTTTTGCAGCTATGTGGCTGAGCAAAGACACCCACAAAATTTCCTACAGAAGTATAACAAAAATAAAACAGATAAATCCCTAAAGATGCCCAAGTACACAATTCAGAATACCTTCCAATTTAATACACATCTTTAAGGAATGACTTTTAAGCTTTTAATTTTTCAAACAATCTATGCTCCCGACTCTATTCTCCACAGAGCATCAATGACATGAATTAGGACTAAATTGACAGATATAATCATCAGCATAAAAAACATTCTCTAATACAGTGATTAATGTAAATAAGATTTTTGGAATGTAATTTAAAAATTGTAAAATGAGTCTTCTGAAAGATACTTCAACTACCTGCTAGAGTTTGGTTTAACTCCTCCAAATCTCAGGTTGAAATCTGATCCCCAATGTTGGAGGCGGGATCTAACGG
The DNA here is from genome assembly GCF_000001405.40 of Homo sapiens. NCBI lineage: Eukaryota > Metazoa > Chordata > Mammalia > Primates > Hominidae > Homo > Homo sapiens. The sequence continues at coordinate 54,438,804 of NC_000014.9, forward strand.
GAGGTGTTTGGGTCATGGGAGCAGATCCCTCATGAATGGTTTGGTGTCATCTTGGAGGGAATAAGTGAGTTCTCCTGCCATTAGGACCCAAGAGAACTGGCTTGTAAACAGCGCCTGGCACCTCCCCCTCTTTTTCCTTTGCTTTCTCTCACTATGGGATCTCCACACACTACTCCCCCACCATGAGTGGAAGCAGGCTGAGACTTTCACCAGATGCCCAGTCTTATAGTCAGCAGAATCCTGAGGTAAATAAACCTCTTTTTTCTTTGTAAATTACTCAGCCTCCCGTATTCCTGTATAGCAACACTATAAACACTATAAAGGAATGGACTAAGATACTACCTAAGATGATAAACATAAGGTTATATGGGTAATAGAAAAATTAAAACTATCTATTTATTTAGAATTGTTTCCAAAAGGATACTAATTCTCTGAATGAAGAAATCCCTAAGCATAAAAGCTCTCCACGAATCTGCGGTATAATTTTTTTTTCATTGTATAACACGACTTAAAATTATTTACTTCACCCAGACACGCATTTGTTTAAGCTGAAATTACCCATTTTTTGAAAGTGCGGTTCAGGTTTTCCTTAAGCCAAACACAACCTGGTTCAAAACGTAAAAATGTGAAAAAGCCTACCCCACCACTCTAAGAATCCCCATCATCCCAGAAAAAAGGAATACCCATCAAGCAGAATGACTTAAAGCTACATCTACAGATGGAATGGAACCACACACTTTCTTTCTTTCTTTTTTTTTGTTTTTTTTTTGAGACGGAGTCTCCGCCCAGGATGGAGTGCAGTGGCGCCATCGCGGCTCACTGCAACCTCTGCCTCCTGGGTTCAAGTGATTCTCCTCCGCCTCAGCCTCCCGAGTAGCTGGGATTACAGGCGCCCACCACCATGCCCGGCTAATTTTTTTGTATTTTTAGTAGAGACGGGGTTTCACCATGTTGGCCAGGCTGGTCTCGAACTCCTGACCTCGTGATCCTCCCGCCTCGGCCTCCCAAAGTGCTGGGATTACAGGAGTGAGCCACCGCGCCCGGCCATGGAACCACACATTTTCATCAGAGGCCTACTAAGGTTGAGCTAGTCTGTATCCCAAATTATCTTAGGTATTGTTCTTCCATCAAAGCAGGGCTGAAGATGCTCTTCAAATTACTGCTCCTACTGACAAGCATTCTGAGGTAGCAGTTATTTCCGACACAGTTAATAGCCTACATAAGTATTCCTGATTACAATAAGCAGTCAGGTCCTAAAATAATTGTAAACATAATCACACTGCTTAGCAAAAAGGAATGGATTTGTGATATGCTTCCACTTTCGAGACTTTTTTGCACAAGACGCTGCTGCTGTTTAATCATTCTGCCCCTCCGTATGTTTCATAGAAATCCTTGTTACTGGCATGATGAAACCTGACTTAAAATCTACGTAAGAGTGAACGCGGTCATTCAAATTAAAAGCAACATTCCAGAAGGCACTGGAATATGGGGAAAAGAGAAGCAAGTATGAGATAAATTTTTAATGAATGATTTCCAGAAGGCTCTCAAGGCTTTTAATTTTGTGCTAAAGCAACAGAAATTCTTATCTCTGTAGAACTATGTCACAGGGAACTTACGACTTTTTCCTTAGAGGGACCAGTAAGGCTGTGCTTCCACCCTGCAATAGTGATGATGATGTGTGTAACAGAAATAAATACTGCCCCAGAAAAGCTTAAGGTTTCTGAGCATCTCAAAATCAAATGAAAACTCCCTCTACTAAATCAAGCAATCCTGAATATAAGGGTGGCTTGGAAAGCTGCCTGTTGAAACTCCAGCGGTCAAAGTATGATTTGGGGGGGAAACGCGCACATGCAATCAACAAAGTAATCAATTGAACTTGCATCAAAGTTCACCAGGAAACAACAATCTGGAAAAAGAGAAAAAAAGTGATTTGATTTGAAGAGCACCGAACAAGTGCTGAAAAGTAGAGTTGGAAATTCACCCTAAGTAGGTTACATTTTGGCCACAGTTCTGTGGAAACCCTAAAAGAAAGTCAATCTGTATTAACAAAAATTCGGAAAACTTCATTCACACTACGGCCGTCCCACCGCGCTGTCGACATCCTCCCCGGGAATGCAGGGCCGCGGGCCGGCAGAGGTCGGTGCGAACGCAGCGCGGAACCGCGGGCGCCCGCCTGGACCGCGGCCGCCCCATCCAGTAGGGGAGGAGTAGCGGTGCGCGCGGCCTGTGCCGAGGCAACGCGGGCGCGTCCACCTGGCGACTGCGCGCCCCGGCTCCTCCAGTACCCGCGGCCCCCAGACCCCTCGCCGCGCGGCCCGTGCCAGCCGGGCCGCATCCCCGACGCGCAAAGCCCCGGCGGCCGTGGCGGCCCGGACCGCGGGCCCGGGGCGAAAAGAGGCTGTGTTGCCGCCTCGCCCTCCTTTCCCCAGCCCCAGCTACTCACGTGCCAAATGGCGAAGAAGATGAGCGCGGCAGTGAGCAGCAGCGCCAGCATGTAGCAGAAGGCCGCGAACGTGAACGCCATGGCTGGGGAGGAGGAGCGGGGAGCGGCGCCGTTGCCAGCGGAGAAAGGCGGCGCAGGGCCCTCTGGGTAAAACCATTCACTTCCCCCGGCCACAGCCGCGACCGCCACCGCTACCGCCGCGGCGCCAGCCCTCTCAGCGCGCCTGCGCACCAGCCCAGCCGCCCCGGCGCCCTCTGATGGCCGGAGTCTGCGTTGCACTGACATTGTCCGCACAGTTGTTGATTGATTTTTCCTTCCTTCTTGCGTTTATTCTTTCAACAAATATTTATTGAATGAATGCCTAGTTTGTTACAGGTACCGCGCTTCTCGCTTCAGATACAAAGATGAATAAGATAGTACCTGCACTGAAAGAACTTAGTATAGTGCCGGAAATGAACACCTAAATAAATAATTACGTTATTATAACCCCGTAAACGGATGTGTGTGGGATGCTCTGAAAGGTCAAAGAAGGACAGCCAGCCCGCCCTGGAGCATTTAGGCAGGATTCCTGCTGTAGGTGTTTCCTAAGTTGGCCTTAGATGATGATAAGTTCTCCAGGCAAAAAGAAGGTAGAACTGGCAGTCCAAGGAAACAGTTCAGAATGAGGAAACGCAACAGAGATGGAAAAAAGAAAAGAAAAATAAAGCTTCGTGTCTCAGGTGAAACCAGCAGCAATTCTGTATTAATGGAACCTAAGTGCAAGACAGTGGTGAGACTTAGAAATGAATTAGCAAGGGATCAGATCATAGAGGGCCTTATAATGCTTCATTACGGAGCTCAGACTTCTTATCCCATAAGCCCAAATTTTTTGCTCACCACACACAACTAGAAAGATTTTTTTCATTGCAACCCAGTGGAATATCATACAGACATCAAGTTATGAAGAGGTGGAAATCTAGTTATAGAGGCAAAGAAATATAGATATGACCAAAACAAAAATTTCACAAAACTGTACTAATGATCCATAAGTACTTTCCCTTCTCTCTTTTGCTACTTGTTTTTAATGCTGGTCTTAACACACAAAATTGATTCAAAATTGATTTAACTTTCCATTACAACCATTTTTAAAAGAAAAAAACTCTATTAACTGATTGCTGCTGATGGAAGAGAAAATCATTGAAGGCTTTTGAGCAAAAGAAGACCATGTTTAGATTTGCATTAAAGATCGTTCACCTAGCAAATTGCGTAGAATAGTTTAGAAGCAGGGTCTGTCCAGTGCTGTGCAATAGAACCTTCTGTGATGGTGAAAATTTTCGATACCTAAACATTGCCCAATACAGTAGCCACTAGCCACATGTGGCCATTGGGCACTTGTAAATTGTCTAGCATGACTGAGGAACTGAACTTTAAATTTCACATCACTTTAAGTAAAATGTGGCTAGTGTATTGGACAGTACAACCTGTACCACCAGGATTATGTGGCACCTGTGTGCAAATTATCAAGTTACTTTTGGCCAGGCACAGCAGCTCATGCCTGTAATCCTAACACTTTGGGAGGCCAAGACAGGAGGATCACTTGAGCTCAGGAATTCAAGACCAGCCTGGACAAGGTAATGAGATCTTGAGAGGTGACAGCGTGCTGGCAGTCCTCACAGCCCTCCCTCACTCTCGGCGCCTCCTCTGCCTGGGCTGCCACTTTGGCGGCACTTGAGGAGCCCTTCAGCCCACCGCTGCACTATGGGAGCCCCTTTCTGGGCTGGCCAAGGCCAGAGCCAGCTCCCTCAGCTTGCAGGGAGGTGTAGAGGAAGAGGCGCGAGGGGTAACCGGGACTGCGCAGGGTGCTTGCGGGCCAGCTGGAGTTCCGGGTTGGCGTGGGATTGGCGGGACCCTCACTCGGAGCAGCCGGCCGCCCCTGCCGGCCCCGGGTGATGAGGGGCTTAGCACCCGGGCCAGTGGCTGCAGAGGGTGTACTGGGTCCCCCAGCAGTGCCAGCCCACCGGCGCTGCACTCGATTTCTCACCGGGCCTTAGCTGCCTTCCCGCGGGGCAGGGCTCGGGACCTGCAGCCCGCCATGCCTGAGCCTCCCACCCCCTCCATGGGCTCCTGTGCAGCCCAAGCCTCCCCAGCGAGCGCCACCCCCTGCTCCATGGCGCCCAGTCCCATCGACCACCCAAGGGCTGAGGAGTGCGGGTGCACGGCGCGGGACTGGCAGGCAGCTCCACCTGCAGCCCCGGTGTGGGATATGCTGGGTGAAGCCAGCTGGGCTCCTGAGTCTCGGGGGGAAGTGGAGAACCTTTATGCCTAGCTCAGGGATTGTAAATATACCAATCAGCACTCTGTATCTAGCTCAAGGTTTGTAAACACACCAATCAGCACCCTGTGTCTAGCTCAGGGTTTGGGAATGCACCAATGTGCACTCTGTATCTAGCTTCTCTGGTGAGGCCTTGGAGAACCTTTATGTCTAGCTCGGGGATTGTAAATACACCAATCAGCACTCTGTATCTAGCTCAAGGTTTGTAAACACACCAATCAGCACCCTGTATCTAGCTCAGGGTTTGTGAGTGCACCAATGGACACTCTGTATCTAGCTACTCTGGTGGGGCCTTAGAGAACCTTTGTGTGGATGCTCTGTATCTAAGTAATCTGGTGGGGACATGGAAAACCTTTGTGTCTAGCTCAGGGATTGTAAACGCACCAATCAGCGCCCTGTCAAAACAGACCACTCGGCTCTACCAATCAGCAGGACATGGGTGGGGCCAGATAAGAGAATAAAAGCAGGCTGCCGGAGCCAGCGGGGACAACCCGCTGAAGTCCAGTTCCATGGTGTGGGAGATTTGTTTTTTCGCTCCTTGCAATAAATCTTGCTACTGCTCTCTCTTTGGTTCCACACTGATTTTATGAGCTGTCACACTCACCACAAAGGTCTGCAGCTTCATTCCTGAACCCAGCAAGACCACGAGCCCACAGGGAGAAACGAACAATTCCAGACGCACCGCCTTAACAGCTGTAACGCTGCGAAGGTCTGTAGCTTCACTTCTGAGCCAGCGAGACCACGAACCACCAGGAGGGAAAAAACTCCGAACGCTTCCGAACATCAGAAGGAACAAACGCCAGACGCGCCATCTTAAGAGCTGTAACACTCACCACGAGGGTCCGTGGCTTCATTCTTGAAGTCAGACCAAGAACCCACCAATTCCAGGCACAATCTCATCTCTATTTCTTTTTTAAAATAATAAAATCCAATAACATTTTTTGTAAAGTTACTTTCTGCAGATGGACAGAGGCCCACCCCAGAGTGTAGGAACACAAGCTATACTTCAGCCCCACCAACCCTGGTCGTGCACCTATGTGCAGTGCACAAACTGCCCAACTGTGCACAATGACCCTGATTAGAGGAGTGTTAGATTGGAAATCGGGTCCCACGGCAATGGTCCAAGCAAAAGTTGCTATGGATCTGAACTAGAGCAGTGGAAGGTGGGAAGGAAAGGGGTAAACATGCTTGATAGTAGTTGGGAGACAAGCTCAGCTGAACTTGATTAACTGGATGCCCTGGTGAAAGCGAAGAAGGAGGCAAATGATATTTAATTCAGTACTTAAGGCCACGGGCACGGCAGAACGCAGCATCAGGCAATATTTATGCAAGAGAACTCACAATCTAATGAAAGGCAGATGCAGCTTTCTGGGCTCGGGAGAGAGAGTTTGCAGGGAACTACTCAAGCCAAACCATGAAATCGAACCCCCTTTTTCCAGATGAATCCCATCTACAACTTGGGAAATGATGTTTCATCACCAGATACCAAGAAATCCTACCTTTTGGCAACAAGTTTTTCTCCGGCTTCACTTGAAATGTGTGTTTTCCTTCTCTGCTGACTAGGCTAGCACCTTATCTCATAGAATGAAACTGTCTCCCAGGCACCCACCCTTAATTAGAAGGGGCTACCCCTATTTCACCTGAGGAGAAAGGAAATTTGTAAGAGAAATTTTGCCTGCCTCAACCCCTACAGCGGTTACATAAAACCCAGGTTCCCCACCAACTTTCTTCAAGGGTAGCATTTTAGGTATTTCAACAAAGGTTTGTTGAGCACCTGTTCTATGCCAGGTGGAGTGCTGACTGATTCACACAGTTATATAAGCTGCAGTAGGATGAAGCCCCCTTCACATATTACCAGAGCACACAGGTAAACTTTAGGCTTGTGCTGTCTAATACAGGAGCCACTAATCATGTGACTATTTAAATTTAAATTAAGCTGGGCAAGGTAGAACACACCTGCAATTCCAACACTTCAGGAAGCTGAGGCACAAGGATTGCTTGAGGCCATGGGGTTGGAGGCTGCAGTGAGCCATGGTTGCGCCACTGCACCCCAGCCTGGGTGACAGAATGAAACCTTGTCTCCAAAAAAAATTTTTAATTAAAAAATAAAAACAAAATTTAAAATTCAGTTCCTCAGCTACGCTAGCCATATTTCCAGCGCTCATATTTCCAGTATTCAATAGCCTCATGTGGCCACTATATTAGACAGCATAGATATAGGATACCTCCAACATAGAAAGTTCTACTGGGCAGCAGTACTTTAGACAATATTAAGCAGCTATAATCTGTGAGAGAATACACCCTTTTGAAAGAGGATAAAGAGCTAGTTGGATCAACCAACCATAGACAAGGTAGTGAGGAAAATAATGAGTTTACTTGACATTTTGGAGGACCATTATAGACAGTGAGAAATCTATACTCTCTGTGTTCAAACAATTCCTAGTATTCTTTGGAATTTGCGTTAATTCTTTTAGCCCATGGGAGTACTTTTGCAGTAAATACTGAATTAAGTTCCTGCTTTGACTTGCATGTATGAATGGGGCTGGATAATATTTCAAAGAAGGATTAATTTATATGCTTGTTCTCTCTCTCTCCCTCCTTCTTTCCCCTCCTCCTTCCCTCAAATTCCTTTGTTCAAATTCTTTCCATCAATTTACCATCACTGCCCCCACTAGCCATGTTCCCAATCTGGACAGCTAGACACAAGTCAGCTGCTTGGAGCCCTGGAAAACAAAGCCCGCAAATACAAAGCATCTAGTCTAAGAAAAACTTCAGATACACAGAAAAAGTTCAGATACACATCTGAGAAATTTTCCAGCACCCTCCCCAACCCCCAACTAGATAAAGCTGGTATTGAGGAAGGGAAGGGGGAGGCGCTGAGCAGTTAGGAGAACGTGACCTCAAGAAACTTGCAAGGCTCTAAGGAAACAAGCACCACCTTGCCAAACTCCAGGGAGTTGCTTGGCAGCTCAGCTCGGGGTTTCTGCCAATTGACAGCAAGCCATACTTCACCACTGATCATCCAGGTGGGAGTGAGGCTTGGCACTCTGCCCAGCACTCCTCCAGTGCCAAGGGCAGGGCAGGTGGGGGCGTAGGATGCTCAGAGACATGGTGGTAACATAAAAGGGAAAGCTCTGCATTGGTGTAAATTTATCCTCAACCAACTAACTAGTGAGGACTCCCACAAAGGGAGAATAATAGGAGAACATCTCATCCCAGTTACAAATGCCATATGCAATCCACTATGCTTTCGGATGATCTGGGCCCTTGCCTTGAATAATGAGGCACTTCCAAGAGGAAAGAACCCTGGGCACAGAAGACTATAGGTCATCAGTCCCCAGTCTTCCAGAAGATGTTTGTGTAATTGGGGAAGAAGCAATTTCACCTGGTAATTAGTGGTGGTTGTGGGTGGGCTATGGATCTAGACATGTGACTCAGACATAAGACTTGGAAAGAATAGTTATGAAGCTGGGGAAAATGGGATGCGTAACCGAAAGTGTTGGTTGCTCCCAAACCCACTCCCACTTCTTTCTTGTTGGCAGAGCTCAGAGTTTGTTCAAGGCTTTATGCCCCCTATGCCACATACTCAGAAGAGAAGCCTTTCCCAGGATTCTCTTTTTTTTTTTTTTTTTTTTGAGAAAAGGTAGCTCTGCCCCTCCAGAACAATGTGTGATTCTCAGTTATTTTCTGTATGTGGCAGAGCTGACAATGTGTTCATGTTTTTTTCTGCTCACTATGTACCTTTCCAAAACCTTGGGTTACGGCAGCATGCAAGTAGAGAGCTTCAGGCTGCCCAGCAGGATGTAGTTTCTCAATATTGGTGGCTGTGTCATCCATTCTGCCCTTTGCACTGGGAGTGCCTGTTACACAACCATGATGAAGGGAGTTAATGTACAGAAATGACTTAACAATTTCATATGTGCAAAAAAAGTCACTTTGTTTTGTTTTGTTTTTGTTTTTGGAGACAGTCTCGCTCTATTCCCCAGGCTGGAGTGCAGTGGCACGATCTCTGCTCACTGCAACCTCCGCCTCCCACGTTCAAGCAATTCTCCCGCCTCAGCCTCCTGAGTAGCTGGGATTTCAGGCACCCGCCACCATGCCCGGTTAATTTATTTATTTATTTATTTACTGAGACGGAGTCTCACTCTGTCCCCCAGGCTGGAGTACAGTGGTGTGATCTTGGCTCACTGCAACCTCCGCCTCCCAGGTTCAAGCAATTCTCCTGCCTCGGCCTCCCGAGTAGCTGGGATTACAGGTGCATGGCATCAGGCCTGGCTAATTTTATTGTATTTTTAGTAGAGACAGGGTTTCACCATGCTGGCTAGGCTGGTCTTGAACTCCTGACCTCAGGTGATCCACCTGCCTCAGCCTCCTGAAGTGCTGGGATTACAGGCGTGAGCCACCACGCCAGGGCTATTGTTCTTAATTTGTATGTGTCTTTCATAAGCCGCATAGTTTAAAGATGGTGAAATGCACAGATCTTAAGTGTATAATTCAAGGAGTTTCAATACACATATACACCTACGTAACCTCCCTCCTAAAGACAGAGAACATTTCCATCACCCCACAAAGTTCTCTCATGACCTACCCCCTAGGCAACAATTGTTCTGCTTTCTAGTACCATGGATGAGTTTTACGGGTCCTTCAACTTCACTAAATGGAATCATATGATATGTATTCTTGGTGTCTGCTTTGTTTTGGCTCAGCATAATCTTTTGGGGTTTTCTCTTCAAAATTCATCCATATTGCTGCATGTATCAGCAGTTCATTCACTTTTTAAAAATCAACTTTATTAAGGTATAATTTACAGAAAATAATATTTACCCATTTTAAGGGCACAGTCAATGAGTGTATGGAAAATTATACACTCACCCACCCACAATCAAAATGTTCAACATTTACAATACCCAAAAAATTTCCACCATGGTGCTTCCTAACCCACAGCCAAGGCAACCACTCATCTGCTTTCTGGCATTATAGATTAGATTGGTCTTTTCTAGACCATCATATCATTGAAATTATATAGTATGTACTCTTGTCTGGCTTCTTTCATTCAGCATATTTCTGAAATTCACCCATCTTGTGTTTTCACAGGGTTTTTTTTCATTGCTCTGTAACATTCCACTGTATGAATATATCACAATTTGTTTATCTGTTCTCCTATTTATGGACATCTGGGCTATTTTTAATCTGGAGCTATTATAGACAAATCTGTAACATACATTCTTGTACATGTCTTTTTCTGAATATGTATTTTCTTTTCTCTTGGGCAGATACATAGGAGCGAAACTGCTGGGTTATGGCAAAGGTGCTATATTCTTTATTATGTTTAAGTAACTTTATTCCAACTCCATTTCCCTTTCCAGTGGATTAGTGAAAAATTCTGTCTCAGGCATTATTGGTGGTCTCCCTTCGGAGAGTCATACTAGTGTCCTGGAAATGTATGTGATCACTGTAGCAGAACGGACAGATATTAGAATCTTTGCCAAGGTTGGGAACTCCGGTACCTCCTGGCACCCCAGGGTTGTCCTCTCTATGATGCCACTGCCTCCCCACAGCCTACAGAACAGGGGACGGATCCTTACTGCCTGCAGGACTCACAGATCTCTCTCTCTGATCCCTTCCCAGTTTAGGAAATTAGCTGCTCCCTCCTCTCTCCTAGACCCCCAAAAGCCTTCACTCACCATCCTCCCACTCTGGGACACCTGGGAAATTCTCTTCAGTGCAATGAGGGCTTTCACAGGAGGCAAGAAGAGCTGTTGATCAGATGGCTTCTTCTTTCTGTCCTTCCTGCAAAAATTCCCAAGGCAAGGAAGCCTAAAGGGATTCATCACTGTCAAAGTGTGGAGGGAGAGAGGAACACAAGGGGAAAACACCAATAATTAGTTCAAGAAATGATTTAGCCACCTTTTAAGTACCAGGGAGTACTCAATCTTATTTTTGGTAGTTTTGCACATTTGATTTCCTGAAGTTGTAAACTGAATGTCCTCTTTGTTGAATGAAAGAAGTTTTGAAATCTTTGAAAGAAACTAAATGATTCTATGGGACATATTGCTCTCTAATTTCCTTTATTGAAGATTTTACCATTTGATGTGTGAGTGGGTTAGTCAGGCTCATTGGGATTGCAAGGAAAAGAGTCATGCCCAGGTTTTATCGTTCTACGGAGGTAGACCATAAGGACACACTCAGAAGTCGAGGAGCTTAGGAAGGGATTGCAGCCTTCGCAAATAGCCTTTTAAAAGACTCTGGAATGCCAGTGACCCAGAACCTGAGAGCCTCTGAGTGACTAGCATGTGTTGTCCCTCATTCCAGTGGCACATCCCTATGGTAACAACATTATCTCAGGCCCAGGGGCAGCTTTCAGGGGCCATAGAACTCAGAGAGTGTTGAACCCACATAGGAACCTAGACCCACCTTAGCAAACTTGACGTTACAGCATCATGCAGCAATTTCTGGGCTGTCTTAGTCCATTTGTGCTGCTACACTGAATAATTTATAAACAACAGAAATTTATTTCTCACAATTCTCGAAGCTGATAAGTCTAAGATTCAGGCACCAGCAGGATTGGTGTCTGGTGAGGGCTGCTGTCTCCTTCCAAGATGGCGCCTTATTGCTGCATCCCCTGAAGGGGAGAAACACTGTGTTCTCACCTGATGGAAAGAAAGGAAGGGCAAGAAGAGCCCAGGCTAGTTCCCTCCAGCCCTTTCATAAAACATGAATCCATTCGTAAAGGCAGAGCCCTCATAACTTAATCACTTTCCAAAAGGCCCCAGCTCCTAATACCACCACAATGGGGATTAAGTTTCAACATGAATTTTGGAGAGGACACATTCAAACCATAGCATGGGCTTAGGTTAAGCTGGCAGCCAGCAGCTTGCAGAGCACCTAAGATGGATGCCAAGCTTTCCAGAAACATTGATCCATAAAGACTCTGAATTTTAACGTTGAACACATACATAATCAAAAACCGAAAAACTCTATGAATAATAAAAGCTTCTGAATGCCAGCCTTGTAAGTGGGAAATGAGACTACAATGTAGGACCTTCTAGAAAATCCCTAGTAGCTGCAAACAGAAAAATCAAGCTACCACCTAAACTGTTCCCCTAGCCACGTGGGTTGAGTCATCACCACCAGTTCCTTATTAAGGAAGAACTAGACATCGACATTGAAACCAGATGTGGGGAAGCATTGCTGAAGGTTAAAAGGGCACCACTGGAGTCAAAAATCACTGCTCTACTCATAACTCTAGAGTGACCTTGGGGAAGTAACTCTGACTCTCAAAGTCTGTTTCATTTTCTGAAAAATGTGGAAGATAATAACACCTACCTCATAAAGTTGTTTTAAGGATTCAATGAGGTATAAAGGTGTTCAGCTCCGATAAATAAAAGTGTTAGTAATCCCTGCCAAGAAGACAACAGACTCAGTATGTTTGACGAAAGAAAACTTCAATGCAAAAGCAAAGATAAAAAGGGAGGAGGTGAGATTCAGAGCCCAAGTGAAAAAAATGTATATTTAGGAGAAAGACGTTTATCCACACCCAGAAAGAAATCCAAGGTCATGTTCAGACATTCACTAACTTAAAGAGAAGTTCATTAGGTTATGAAGGCTTGCCAAACTCATAGCGTCTTCTGAGGAAAACCGACCATGCAACCATCCTGTGACAGCTGATTGGACCCAGGCTATGCCTGGGCCTGCCAATCAAGCCACCAGCTCCCCCAGGAGCAAGGACACAGCAGCAGTGGTGGAGGCCACCTCCGTGATGCTCTGCCTCAGCAGATGCATCTGCCATACAACACCCCAGAGCCGAACACACAGATCCTTTGTCTCTTGGGGAGTTTGACTGTGAGACATACAAGGACACTCAGTAACTGTGAGCAAGGCCACAGGTGGAGAGATACTCAAAGAGAAAGCAGTTCACAGAGCCCAGGAGTATGCGCAATCCCAGACTAAGCTGAAACTCTAAATAATAGCCACATTTAAGCAGAAGCAGCCCACTTCCCCGACAGGCGCTTGCTTGCCTTCCTAAAAAGAATGTGGCCATGGTGGCTCACACCTGTAGTCCCTGCACTTTGGAAGGCCAAGGCAGGCGGATCGCTTGAGCCCAGGAGTTCAAACCAGCCTGGGCAACATGGGGTGAAAACCCTGTCTCTACTAAAAATACAAAAATTAGCCAGGCATAGTGGTGCATGCACACCTGTAGTCCCAGCTACTCAGGAGGCTGAAGTGGGAGGATTGCTTGAGCCCAAGAGGTTGAACTTGCAGTGAGCCAAGATTGTGCCACTGCACCCCACCCTGGGTGATAGAGTGAGACCGGTCTTAAAAAAAAAAAAAAAAAGTGGGAAGCTATTCGGAATCAATAATAGTCAAAGGTTCAATCTTGCCTTAGTCTGTTATCTCATAGTTCTGGAAGCTGGGAAGTCCAAGATCAAGGAGCTGGCAGATTCAGTATCTGGTGAGAACCCAATTTCTGATTTATAAATAAGGCCTTCTAGCTGTGTCCTCACGTGGTAGAAGGGGCAAATGAACTCCCTTGAACCTATTTCATAAGGACACTAGCCGCAGTCACAAGGGCACCACCCTCACGACCTACTCACTTCCCAAAGGCCCCACCTCCTAATACCATCACTTTAGGGGCTTAGGATTTCAACATAAGAACTTGGGCTGGGACATAAACATTCAGACTATTGCAAATATGTTTGATGTCACTGTCTGGTTGCCACTTACATCTCCTGTTCATGTCAATTTAGGCCAACCTCTTTAGATCTTGAAGCATCATAGAATTTGACTTTGGGAGTCTAGTACCTCAACAGGCTCAGAAAACAAAAAAAAAGAGCAAACCTCTGCATATGTAAAACAGCATGTCCTAGTGCATGGAGGTGCCATTCAGTTGATGCTGAGAACCCTTCTCAGTGCTTCTATGTGTGGTAATTCGGTTGGATAATGATGCATGAGTGTATATTTTATCTTTGTTAATCTTTAAAAAAAATTTTTTTCTTTTTTGAGATGGAGTCTCGCACTGTCACCTGGGCTGGACTGCAGTGCTGCCATCTCAGCTCACTGCAACCTCCACCTCCTCAGTTCAAGCGATTCTTCTGCCTCAGCCTCCTGAGTAGCTGGGACTACAGGCACCCGCCACTACACCTGGCTAATTTTTTGTATTTTTAGTAGAGACAGAGTTTCGTTATGTTGGTCAGACTGGTCTCAAACGCATGACCTCATGATCTATCTGCTTCATCCTCCCAAAGTGCTGGGATTACAGGCATGAGCCACTGTGCCCCGCCATTGATCTTTAAATTTTACACTCTTCTGTGATTAATCTTTAAATTGTAGACTTTTAATTTTTTTTTTTTCCCCGAAACACGGTCTCACTCTGTCACCCAGGCTGGTGTGCAGTGGTGCAATCATGGCTCACTGCAGCCTCCATCTCTCAGGCTCAAGTGATCCTCCCACCTCAGCCTCCCGAGTAGCTGGGACTACAGGCACACGCCACCACACCCAGCTAATTTTTTAATGTTCTGTAAATATGGGGTCTTGCTATGTTACCCAGATCTCAAACTCCTGGGCTCAAGCAGTCCTCCTGCCTCAGCCTCCCAAAGTGCTGGGATTACATGTGTAAGCCACTGTGACTGGCCATTAAAGTTTTATATACTTCTATTATTAGGAATATTTGTAACTTTCTTAAGTAAAAATGTCATAATTTTAAAAGAAGAACCATTTGCCTCTGATTCAATTAGACTAATTCCATTTCTGTTTCTCAGAGAGGCAGGCCCACAGGCCAGAAGAACAGTGATGAGATTGCATCTCTCACTTCCAGCATTATAAGGAGTCTTACCTAAGGAAGACTGGCTGCATCCTAGGCAGGATAGGCCTGAGGCAGGTGCCAGCCCAGTCATGTACCACATTGCAATGCACTGAACTGTTTGCAAGCGTGTGAGCAAAGTAGGAGGAAACTAATAGGGGGCGGTACGCTGTGGCCCCAATAGCCAGAAGCCATTACCACTCAGGCCTAAAAGTATTAAAGAGAATTTATATTCCAAGAAAGGCAATGAGGCAGGAGGACTAAAATGGACTGTGAGTGAAGGGAAAGCAGGTTGGTTTTGAGTAAGCCAAAGCAATAAGATGAAGAAACTATTAAACAAAGTAGAGGTTGAGGTGATTTGTCTGCAGGAATAGTGGAACTAGACAGGGAAATGATTTATTACTCTAATGACAAATGATCAACAAACTTCTGCATCTGAAGTGAAAATGAGAAAAATGAGTCTGCAACGAGAGCTGGATGCTTCCAGTTCCCAGGCCACATTAGAATTTTTTTTCTTTTCTTTCTTTTTTTTTGGAGATGGAGTTTCACTCTTGTCACCCAGGCTGGAGGGCAGTGGCACGATCTCGGCTCACTGCAACCTCCGCCTCCCGGGCTCAAGCTATTCTTCTGCCGCAGCCCCCCGAGTAGCTGGGATTATAGGCGCCTGCCACCATGCCTGGCTAATTTTTTGTATTTTTAATAGAGACAGGGTTTCACCATGTTGGGCACGCTGGTCTCGAACTCCTGACCTCAGGTGATCCACCCACATTGGCCTCGCAGAGTGCTGGGATTACAGACATGAGCCACTGCACCCACCCCCACATTCAAATTCCTGTGAGGCTTGGCTGTACAGCCACCCCTAGGTTCAGTCTCTTTACTATGATGAGTAATCTCATAGTTAATCCCAGGACTAAAAGTTGCCCAAGTGAATCTTTATTCCTGGCAATCTTAAGAGCTTGATTAAAATGAATAGCCAGAAGCTTCAACAGGAGTGTGTGCTATCAATGTGAAAAACATTTTACTACCTCATTGAGAAAAACAAAAGGCCTAAATAAAAGATTTTCCATGATGGAAGTTTATAAAGATGTCATTTTTCTCTCAAATTGATCTGTATTACCATGTTTGTAATCAAAATCCCTAAGAGATTTGGAACAAAATTATTCTAAAGATCACCTTAACAATAAATACATGAAAATACCAAACAAATATTTAAAAATAAGGAAAGGTGAAAAGAAACTAGCCTTACCAAATTTGAAACACATTCTATAAAGTTGTAATCATTGTAAGTATAGACGAGGTACAAGAATCAACAGTTATCCACATATTAACATAATTATTCCAGAAAAGACCCCATTCCATGTAAGAATTGTATACTTTTTAAAGGAGTCACCCCAAATTATTGAGAAAAATATTTGTAATAGTGTTAGACCTTTGTTGAGGTAAATTATTACTGTAAATTCTCTAGTGATAGCATAAACTTAGGTAAATCCAAGGCTAGTCAGAAACTGACAGAACACAGAAGAGTTCTGAGCATGGGCACACTTTCTGAACTAAAAATTGGTAAATTACACCCACCCCCCCAAAATTAAAAATAACAGATACCCAACAAACAGATTCAACTATGCATAAAAATTATAAACATAAAACACCAAAATAAAAAAGGAAACAGAGGCCAGGCGTGGTGGCTCCTGTCTGTAATCCCAGCACTTTGGGAGGCCGAGGCGGGCGGATCACTTGAGGTCAGGAGTTTGAGGCCAGCCTGACCAACATGGTGAAACCCCATCTCTACTAAAAATACAAAAATTAGCCAGATGTGATGACACATGCCTGTAGTCCCAGCTACTCGGGAGGCTGAGGCAAGAGAATCACTTGAACCCGGGAGGCGGAGGTTGCAGCGAGCTGAGATTGCACTGCTGCACTCCAGCCTGGTGACAGAGCGAGACTCCATCTCAAAAAAAAAAAAAAAAAAAAAAGGGAAACAGAAATATTGCCAGCAAGAAAAAGACAAAGTGTTAAGTACATTGAAAGCTCACTAAAATCATTTCCACTAAACCCTAGTTTATGAATGGACAAAGGACAGGATCACACTATTTGCCTTGTAATTGATTAAAAAGCGTTAAAAAAAAATGTGAAAAAAATGGTCAACACTTGTCTAGTAATCAAAGAAAAGCAAGTTGGAAATGAAAGACAGCCATTTGGATCAATTTAGTTAGGCAATACTTTAAATAAATGAAAGTATTTAATGTTGGCAAGCCTCCCTTGTCTCTAGTAGCTGGGAGTCTAGTTCAGTATAATAAGCATCTTCAAAATAATTCTAAGCATAGAAAATAGATTTTTTTATATATTAAAAAATAGCATACAAAAATATCTCTAGCAATAGTTTGAACCATCAAAATATCAAATAATAAGGGAATTATTAAGTAAACAATGATATATACACTCAAAAATACTATTAGACTAACTACACTTATATGTTTTTTAATGTCGAATGTTTATGTTACTCATAATACGAAACTGGATACATACCCTATACAATATCTTTTTTAAATACATGGAAAAAGATTGAAAGGAAACTAATATATATTAAATTAACAGTGATTAACGGGTGCAATGAAAATTTTCCCCTATTTTTATGTCTCTACATTTACCATATGCTCCATAGTTTAAAAAAATTTTTTTATCCTATTTTATATTTTTTACAGACAGGGTTTTGCTCTCCCTCTGTCACCCAGGCTGGAGTTTAGTGGTGTGAACATAGTTCACTACATCCTCAAACTTGAACTCCTGTGCTCAAGTGACCCTCCCACCTCAGCCACCCAAAGCACGGGGATTATAGATGTGAGCCACTTCCACCCAGCTCCAAAAACTATTTTTCAATAATTATTTTAAGGAAAGAAAGTATGCAGATACAGTTATGCACTGTATAATTCAGTTAATGACAGACCGAATATACAATAGTGGTCCCAGAAGATTTTAATGGGGCTGAAATATTCCTTTCACCTCATGACATCATAGCTGTCTACATAGCTACTACGTGTTACATGTTTGTGGTGATGCTGATGGAAACAAACCTGCTGTGCTGCCAGTTGTATAAAAGTGTAGCACATAAGATTATGTACAGTACATAAGACTTGATAATGATAACAAATGACTGTATTACTGGTTTATATATTTACTATACTATATGTTTTATTGTTATTTTAGAGTGTACTCCTTCTACTTATAAAAATAATTAACTGTAAAAGCCTCAGGCAGGTCCTTCAGGATGTATTCTAGAAGAAGGTAGTGTTATCATAGGAGATGACAGCTGTGTACATGTTATTGCCCCTGAAGACCTTCTATTGGATGAGATGTGGAGGTAGAAGACAGTGATATTGATGATTCTGATTCTGTGTAGGCCTAGGCTAATGTGTGTGTTTGTGTCTTAGTTTTTAACAAAAAAGTTTTTAAAGAAAAAAAAACTATATTAAAAAAAAAAAAACTGGTGCAGTGGTTCATGCCTATAATCCCAGGACTTTGGGAGACAGAGACAGGAGGATCACTTGAGCCCAGGAGTTTGAGACCAGCCTGGGCAACAGGGCAAGACCTCATCTCTGCAAAAAAATTAAAAATTAGCTGGGCATGGTGGCCACACCTGTGTTCCCAGCTACTCAGGAGGCTGAAGTAGGAGGATCACTTGAGCCTGGGAGGTCAAGGCTGCAGTGAGCCGTGATTGCACCATTGCACTCCAGCCTTGGCAACAGAGCAAAACCCTGTCTGGAAAAAAAAAAATGTACTGACTAAGAATATAAAGAAAAGAAATATTTTTGTATATCTGTACAAGGTTTTGTGTTTTTGTATTTTAAGCTAAATGTTATTACAAAAGAGTCAAAACTTTAAAAAAAATTTTAAGTTTATAAAGTAAAAAAGTTACAGTAAGCTAAGGTTAATTTATTATTGGAGAAAAAATGTTTTAATAAATTTAGTGTAGCTAAAGTGTATAATATTTATAAAGTCTACAGTAGTGTGTAGAAATGTCCTAGGCCTTCACAGTCACTCACCACTCACTCACTGACTCACCCAAAGCAACTTCCAGTCCTGCAAGCCCCATTCATAGTGAGTGTCCTATACAAGTGTACCATTTTTTATCTTTTATACTGTATTTTTACTGTACTTTTTCTATGTTTGGATATGTTTAGATATGTAAATTCTTACCACAGTGTTACAATTGCCTATAGTATTCAGCACAGTAACAGGCTATCCAGGTTAATAGCCTAGGAGCAATAGGCTATACAATGTAGCCTAGGTGTGTAGTAGGCTATATCTTCTAGGTCTGAATGAGTACAATCTATGATGTTGACACAACAATGGAATCGCCTAATAACACGTTTCTCAGAATGTTTCTCTATTATTAAGTGATGCATGACTATAATATGGCCTCAATCCAGTGTTAATCTGGAGGGCACTCTGAGGTTATCAACTATTGTTTTTTAAGTACACGAATAATGTTTAAACAAGTGATAAAATTGCTATTACCCTGGAGCAAATGCCCAGAGGAAGTCCAACTTTCTTACATAATTGAATATTAATTTTATTCAAAAGAATGCATCATTTATAGACTTCAACCCTTTTCTGTAGTATATTCATAATTCAAACTCAGAGAACTAAAATTCAACTTGCCTACCCTTCTCTATTTTCACTAAATGTGGTTTTATTGTCCAATCTATAACCCAAACATAAATAGTACTCATAACAAATTATTTGAATGGTGATATACTTAGGCTTTGTGTCCCCACCCAAATCTCATCTTGAATTATAATCCCCAGGTATTGAGGGACAGACTTGGTGAGAGGTGATTGGATCATGGGGGCAGTTTCCCTCATGCTGTTCTCATGATAGTGAGGGAGTTCTCATGAGAGCTGATGGTTTTAAAAGTGTGGCACTTCCTTGATCACTGGCTTTTCTGTCTCCAGCTGCCTGTGAAGAAGGTGCCTTGCTTCCCCTTTGCCTTCTGCCATAATTGTAGATTTCCTGAGACCTCCCCAGCCTTGGAGAAATGAGTCAATTAAACCTCTATCCTTTATAAATTATCCAGTCTTGGGCAGTTCTTTACGGCAGTTTGAGAACAGACTAATACAGTAAATTGGTACAACAGAGAGTGGAGTACTGCTATAAAGGTACCTGAAAATGTAGAAGCAACTTTGGAACTGGGTAACAGGCAGAGGTTGGAACAGTTTGGAGGGCTCAGAAGAAGACAGGAAGATGTGGGAAAGCTTGGAACTTCCTAGAGACTTGTTGAATGGTTTTGACCAAAATGCTGATAGTGATATGGACAATGAAGTCTAGGCTGAGGTCTCAGATGGAGATGAGGAACTAATTGGGAGCTGGAGCAAAGGTCACTCTTGCTATGCTTTAGCAAACAGACTGGTGGTATTTTGCCCCTGCCCTAGAGATCTCTGAAACTTTGAAATTGAGAGAAATGATCTGAAATTGGAACTTATGTTTAAAAGGGAAGCAGAGCATAAAAGTTTGGAAAATTTGCAGCCTGATGATGCAATAGAAAAGAAAATATCATCTTCTGGGGAGAAATTCAAGCCAGCTACAAAAATTTGCATAATTAATGAGGAGCTGAATGTTAATTGCCAAGACAATGGGGAAAAAAGTCTACAGGGCATGTCAAAGGTCTTCATGGCAACCCCTCTCATCACAGGCCCAGAGGTCTAGGAGGAAAAACATGGTTTTGTGGATCAGGCCCAGGGCCTTGCTGCTTTGTGCAGTCTCAGAACCTGGTGCCCTGCATCCCAGCTGTGGCTAAAGTGGCCAGTGTACAGCTCAGGACATTGCCTTAAAGGTTGCAAGCCCCAAGCCTTGGCAGCTTCCATATGATGTTGAGCCTGCAGGTGCATGGAAGTCAAGAATTGAGGTTTGGAAACCTCTGCCTAGATTTCAGAGGATATATGGAAATGCCTGGATGTCCAGGCAGACGTTTGCTGCAGGGGTGGAGCCCTCATGGAGAACCTCTGCTATGGCAATGCAGGAGGGAAATGTGGGGACACTGCCTAGTGGAGATGTGAGATAAGGACCACTGTCCTCCTGACCCCAGAATGGTAAGTCCACCAACAGCTTCTACTGTGTGCCTGGAAAAGCAAAAAACACTCAGCGCCGGCCCATGAAAGCAGCCGGGAGGGTGCTGTATCCTGCAAGGCCACAGGGGTGGAGCTGCCCAAGACCATGGGAGCCCACCCTTTGCATCGTCCTGACCTGGATGTGAGACATGGAGTCAAAGGAGACTATTTTGGAGCTTTAAGATTGAATGACTGCCCTGTTGGATTTTGGGCTTGCACAGAACCTGTGGCCCCTTTGTTTTGGCCAATTTCTCCCTTTTGGAATAAGAGCATTTACTCAATGCCTGTACCCCCATTGTAACTTGGCAGTAACTAACTTGTTTTTGGTATTACAGGCTTATAGGTGGAAGGGACTTGCCTTGTCTCAGACGAGACATTGGACTTGGACTTTTGGGTTAATGCTGGAATGAACTAAGACTTTGGGAGCCTCTTGGGAAGGCATGATTGGTTTTTAAATGTGAAAGGAACATGAGATTCGGGAGGGGCCAGGGGCAGAATGATATGGTTAGGCTTTGTGTCCCCACCCAAATCTCATATTAAATTGTAATCCCCAGGTATTGAGGGAGAGACCTGGTGAGAGGTGACGGGATCATGGAGGCAGTATCCCCCATGCTGTGCTTGTGATAGTGAGGGAGTTCTCATGAGATCAGATGGTTTTAAAGGTGTGGCACTTCCTTGCTGGCTGGCCTTTCTCTCTCCTGCTGCCTGTGAAGAAGGTGCTTGCTTCCCCTTCACCT